>NC_000011.10:113839091-114142121 GCF_000001405.40 Homo sapiens
TAGAGCCCAGCACTTTTTCTGAAGTACAGATTCATATAATTATCTGCCTACATGGTATCTCCTTAAACTCAACTCATTTAAGTTGGAGGATTTGCTGGGTATGTGATCAAAGGACAAAAGGGCACTCTGTGAATTCAATGAAGGGTAGTTAAGACCATAGCATACACAGGCACAGGCACCTCAGACTCGGCATATCTAAAACTGAACTGATTGTGGGGCATGGTGGCTCAGGCCTGTAATCCCAGCACTTTGGAAGGCCAAAGCAGGTGGATCACTTGAGGTCAGGAGTTCAAGACCAGCATGGCCAACATGATGAAACCTCATCTCTACTAAAAATACAAAAATTAGCCAGGTGTGGTGGCACACGCCTGTCATCCCAGCTACTTGGGAGGCTGAGGCAAGAGGATCCCTTGAACCTGGGAGGCAGAAGTTGCATTGAGCCTAGATTGCGCCATCTTGTCTCAAATGAATAACTAAATAAATAATAAAAATAAATTTTAAAAATGAAGACATTGCGCCAGGTGCAGCGGCTCACACCTGAAATCCCAGCACTTTGGGAGGCTGAGGCGGGCGGAACACCTGAGGTCAGGAGTTCGAGACCAACCTGGCCAACATGGCGAAACCCTGTCTCTACTAAAAAATTAGCCGGGTGGCCAGGCGCGGTGGCTCACGCCTCTAATCCCAGTACTTTGGGAGGCCGAGGCAGGCAGATCACATGGTCAGGAGTTGGAGACCAGCCTGACCAACATGATGAAACCCCATCTCGACTAAAAATACAAAATTAGCCAGGCCTGGTGGTACATGCCTGTAGTCTCAGCTACTGGAGAGGCAGGAGAATTGCTTAAACCTGGGAGGCGGAGGTTGCAGTGAGCTGAGATCGCACCACTGTTGCCTGGGCAACAGAGCGAGACACTGTGTCAGAAAGAAAAAAACAAAAAACAAAAAAACCTGAACTGAAACCCACTGTTAACACACACCCAAATTATTCCTCCTCCAGGGTCAAATGGTACTATAATCCACCTGGTTACTCGAACTAGAAACCTCATAGTCTTACTCTTACTCAACTACTGCAGGCATATCCTGGATCCAACTGCCCACCAATCCTGTAGATTTGATCTCCTCAGCGCCTCAAGAATGCATTCACTTCTCTCCTTCCATGACTTCTGCCACTTCTCTACTCCAGGCCACCACTGTCGCCTACCTGGATAGCTATGATAGCCTTCAACAACTGATTCCTCCTTATTCACTCTCACTGCTATAATATAGTATCCACTAAATGCTTATCCAAAACACCTATTCAATATATTTACAACCACAGCAGATTTCTTTTTAGTACTGCCCAACTTAGACATCAAAGCATCTAAATCCATACACAATAATGCCAGAAAAACTCCCCTAATTTTAAATATCTATTTTAATCCTTTGAAAGCTATGTTTCTACATTTCAGTTTAATAAATTACAAAGTTATTTCCAAAAGACACAGTTATCTCTTAAAAATATCATACCTGAATAACAGCACTAAACCAACATGTATTGCCAACATTTTTCAGCCCAACTGGCCAACCATCAACTCTCCTCCAGTCATTGGGATTGGGGTTTTCTCCCCAGACTTCACAGCGTTTTCTCTTTGAGCGTTTAGTTTCTGCAGAGGTTGCTTCATGCATCCTATATTGTGCAGCGTGCCACACAGCAAAAAAGAAAATAGTTAAAGAATAATATAGCATATGGAGGATGCTATAACTTTTCGTGGATAATTCAAAACACCAGAAAAAGTATTTACTGGATAATCCCTAGCTATATAAGGAACTGTAAGACTGTAATGCAACTGAAAAGCAAGATTTATACATAGAAATGTTAATCCCTCCATAACAGACATTATTACTAATAAGGTCCATGATTGAACTAAGTTGAAATTCAAGACTATTTAAGGCTACCATATTAGAAATTTTAGATTTCAACACAGTGTACTATCTAAGACCTCACCATCGAATAGGGCAGGAGAGACACTGTGCTAAAGATAAGAGCCTCCAAATTGCCCAGGACATAAAACACAGCCCTGTGTTCCCTGAAATAAACATCTCAGCAGTGTGAGGGAATAAACATGTCCAGAAACTGATAGGCCACCACTGGAACTGGATGTTGGTGAACAGTACCAAACAACCACCCAATTAGTACCAGTTCAAAAAAATAGATTCCTTGATCACTTATGAGACAGGGTAGTTGAATAACTTTCACTTAAAACTATGCAGCAGCATAACCCTCAAAGTTTATAAAAGAGAATATACATTTATCAGATACCTGGACTAGGTTGTTTTTAATTCACCCTAGCAATTGTAAACTGAAACACCTTGCACACTTCTACTCAAAGACACACGATGCAATAAGACCCCTTTCAGTTTCGCTTTTTCAAAAGTGAACCAAAGAGTAAGCTAATGCAAATTCAAAATTTCTCCTAAAAGAAATGTCATTCAGGTGCTTAACAGAATTATTCCTGAGTGGCATTCACAGAGCTGTTGCCTTTGAGATACACACAAATGTGGGGGGCAAGAATTATAAGTTAAATCAATAACCTGTTAAGATCTCTTCCATCAGCTTGAATTTTGGGAGACTCCAGTAGACTCAAAGCAATGGCAGCCTGAAGATCATCTTTGTTATCATGAGTAAGGTCTATAACTTCTGTAAGATAAACAGAAATTTAATTAGTCTATATATAGGAAACACTGCCCTTCTGTAATATAAGAAAAAGGTAAAGACATACTCCCTAGCTTTCACTACAACAATGGCTCAACTGTGTAACAATTTTATTACCCTACTGCATAGTCAAATGAGTAACTTCGGCTACACTGTAACCTTAGACTAGCCCACAGTACAGAAATAACAAGCTGCAAAAATCAAATGAACCAAATACCCTCTTCTGTATTCTCACTCCACAAAGTCAAAAGTAGATCCCATACATGTGGGTTAAATAGTCTCTATTATCACAAAACATCAGCCAAATATCAAACACCCAGGGAACAGATATTTTAAATCTCATACAAAATATTCCAGAGAATAGGGATATACTCCTCAACTAGTTAAGAACGGTAAGAGAAAGAAAAAGTGAAACTCACACGTGATACAAAATACTCACAGATACAAAATACCTAAACAAAATATTAGCAAATAGAACCCAATAATATAAAAAAAAAAAATTACATATTAAGACCAAGTTGGCTGGGCGCAGTGGCTTATGCCTGTAATCCCAGCACTTTGGGAGGCCGAGGCGGGCGGATCACGAGGTCAAGAGATCGAGACCATCCTGGCTAACACGGTGAAACCCCGTCTCTACTAAAAATACAAAAAATTTGCCGGGCGTGGTGGCGGGCGCCTGTAGTCCCAGCTACTCAGGAGGTTGAGGTGGGAGAATGGCGTAAACCCGGGAGGTGGAGCTTGCAGGGAGCCAAGACCACGCCACTGCACTCCAGCCTAGGCAACAGAGTGAGACTCCGTCTCAGAAAAAAAAAAAAAGACCAAGTTGAGTTTACTGCAGGAAAAAAAAATGAGTTAATACTAGATGGAGCAGTAAAATTCACTATCTTAACAGTTAAAAGAAAAAAATGATCATCTTAACAGATACAGAAAATGTATTTGATAACATTCAACTTTCTTTCAGGATAAAAACTCAAAGCCAACTAGGAAGAGAAAAAAATATCCTTAGGCTGAGAAAAAGTATCCATGAAAAGCCCATAGAAAACTTTTATACTTAACGGAGAAACGTTAAGTATATTTGCTTTAAAATCAAGACTAAGACAAACACATCTATTATCACTGCTTTTATTCACCATGGTTCTGGAAGTTCTAGGCAGGCAATAAGAACTTTTGGGCATGGTGGCTCACGCCTTTAATCCCAGCACTTTGGGAGGTCAAGATGGGAGGATCAGTTGAGGTCAGGAGTTTGAGACCAACCTGGCCAACATGGTGGAACCTCGTCTCTACTAAAAATACAAAAAATTAGCTGGGCATGGTTGCACGTGCCTGTAATTCCAGCTACTTGGGAGGCTGAGGCAGGAGAATCACTTGAACCCAGGAGGCGGAGGTTGCAATGAGCTGAGATTGTGTCACTATACTACAGCCTGGGCGACAGAGTGAGACTCCATCTCACTCTGGAAATATAGACTGGAAAATAAGAAGCAAAGCTGTCATAATTCATGGATAATAATCACCTACAAGGGAAACCCAAAATAATCCACAGCTACTCTGGCACACTGCCTGTGTGGTAGCCCTGTTCCACAGGAGCAGTTAAAAAAAAATAAAAAGAGGCTGGAAGCAGTGGCTCATGCCTATAATCCCAGCACTTTGGGATGCCAAGGCAGGCAGATCACCTGAGATTGGGAGTTCGAGATCAGCCTGACCAACAAGGATAAACCCCCTCTCTACTTAAAATACAAAATTAGCCAGGCGCGGTGGTGTATGCCTGTAATCCCAGCTACTCAGGAGGCTGAGGCAGGAGGACGGCTTGAACCCAGGAGGCGGAGGCTATGGTGACCCAACATCATGCCATTGCACTCCAGCCTGGGCAACAAGAGCGAAACTCTATCTCAAAAAAAAAAAAAAAAAAACTAAAAAAAAATTTTTTTAATAAAATAAAACACAAATATTACAAAACTGTAGTAATCAAGACTGTGTGCTGCTGGCATAAGGAGACATATACATCAATGGAATAGAATTTATAGTCCAGAAATAAACTCTTACATTCCCGGTCAATTGATTTTTGACCTAAGTACTAGACAACTCAAGAAGGAAAGAATATCTTTTCAACAAATGGTGCTGTGACAACTGAACACCACATGCAAAAGAATAAAGCTGAACCCCTACCTAGCCCCACATACAAAAATTAAGTCAAAATGGATCAAGTCCTCAAGATGAGAGCTAAAATATAAAAGTAGAGGATGACACAGGTGTAAATCTTCATGACCTTAGATTAGGCAACGGAATCTTAGATGACATCCAGAGCATAAGGAACCAAAGAAAAAATAGATTAAAAAATCCTTTGGGCTTCAAAGGACACCATCAAGAAGTGAAGAGACAGCCGGGCATGGTGGCTCACATCTATAATCCCAGCACTTTGGGAGGCCCAGACGGGTGGATCACGAGGTCAGGAGTTCGAGACCAGCCTGATAAAAATAGTAAAACCCCATCTCTAATAAAAATACAAAAAAATTAGCCGGGCGTGGTGGCAGGTGCCTGTAATCTCCGCTACTCGGGAGGCTGGGGCAGGAGGCTTGAACCCGGGAGCCGGGAGGCAGAGGTTGCAGTGAGCCGAGATCGTACCACTGCACTCCAGCCTGGGCAACAGTGTGAGACTCCGTCTTAAAAAAAGAAAAAAAAAAGAAGAGACAACTCATAGAAAGGGAGAAAATATTTGCAAAACATGCATCTGATAAGAGATCTACACACAGAACATACAAAGAACTCCTGTGACTGAATGAAACACACAAATAGTGATTTCAAAAATGGGCAGAAAATCTGAATTGACATTTCTCCAAAGAATACACAAGATAAATGACCAATAAGCATAAGATGCTCAACATCACTAATCATCAGAAAAATGCAAATCAAAACCACAATGAGATATAATTTCACACCCATAGGGACAGCTATCAAAAAATAATATTAATAATAAAACTGGCAAGGAAGTGGAGAAACTGGAAACTTTGTGCACTGTTGGTGGGATTTTAAGATGGTGCAACTGGCCAGGTGCGGTGGCTCACGCCTGTAATCCCAGCACTTTGAGAGACCAAGGTGGGCAGATGGCTTGAGCTAAGGAGTTCAAGACCAGCCTGGGCAATGTGGCGAAACCTTGCCTCTAAAAAAAATTCAAAAGAAATAAAAATAAAAAATATCTGGGCATGGTGGTGTGAGCCCATAGTCCCAGGTACTTGGGAGGCTGAGGTGGGAGGATCACTTGAGCCTGGGAGGTCAAGGCTGCAGTGAGCCCTGTTTGCACAACTGCACTCCAACCTGGGTAACAGTGAGACCCTTCTCAAAAAAAAAAAAAAAACAACAAAATAAATAAATAAAATACGGCCAGGCATGGTGGCTCATGCCTTTAATTCCAGCACTCAGGGAGGCCAAGGCAGGCGGATCACTTGAGGTCATGAGTTCGAGACCAGCCTGGGCAACATGGTGAAACACCGTCTCTACTAAAAATACAAAACTTAGCTAGGCGTGGTGGGACATGCCTGTCCCAGCTACACAGGGGGCTGAGGCACGAGAATCACTTGTACCCGGGAGGTGGAGGCTCCACTGAGCTGAGATCGCGCCACTGCACTCCAACCTGGGCGAAAGGTAAAGACCCTGTCTCAAAAAAAAAAATTAATAAATAAATAAAATAAAATAAATGATGCAACTGCTACAGAAAACAGTATGGAAGCTATTCAAAAAATTAAAAATAGAACAACCGTATGAACCAGTAATCCTACTTCTGGGTATCCAAAAGAATCTAAAGCAGGGTCTTTTTTTGAGAGAGTCTCACTCTGTCACCAGGGCTAGAGGGCAGTAGGTACAATCTCAGCTCACTGTAGCCTCAACCTCCAGGGCTCAAGGGATCTACTTGCTTCAGCCTCCCAGGTAGCTGGGACTACAGGCATACACCATCACACCTGGCTAATTTTTCTATCTTTTGTAGAGACAGGGATTCACCATATTGCCCTGGCTGGTCTTGAATTCCTAGGCTCAAGCTATCCACCTGCCTCAGCCTCCCAAAGTGCTGGGATCACAGATATGAGCTACAGTGCCCGGACTAAAACAGGGTCTTGTAGAGATATCTGTACATCCAAGTTCACAGCAACACTATTCACAAGAGCCAAGAGGTGGAAACAACCCAAATGTCCATTAATGAATGGATAAACAAAACATGGCATATACATACAATGGAGTATTACTCAACCTTAAAAAGCAAAGAAATTTGAGGCATACTGTAACATGAAGTCTGAAGACATTGGTAAGTGAAATAAGCCCACTGCAAAAGGACAAACAGTGTATTTCTACTTATACGAGGTTCTTAGAAATTCAGAGATAAAGAGTAGAATGGAGGACAGAAAAAATGGGGGTTACTATTCAACGCATACTAAGTAAGTGAAATGTTTTGGAAATGGATGGTGGTGACAGTTGCACAACAATATGAATTTATTTAATATTTCTGAACTGTACATTTAAGTAGTTAAGATGGCAAACTGTATGTTTTACCAAAAAAGACTGGAAAAAAGAAGAAATACTGTCACATGCTACAACATGGATGAAACTTAAGACAGATATTATGCCAAATTAAATAAGCCAGTCACAAAAAGACAAATACTGTATAAGTCCACTTATATGAAGTATTTAAAGTAGTCAAATTCATAGAAACAGAAAACAGAATGGTAGTTACCAGGGGCTGGGTATGGAGTGCAGATTTGCAATATGGTAACATTCTGGGGGTTGTTTCACAACAATTTGACTATTCTTAACACTACTGAACTCTACATTTAAGAATGGATAAAGTATTTAAAAATCGAATATTTGAGATATCCTTAGATTTTATGTAATGTGTTTTTTACTAAAATAATAATTTCAAGTAATAAATTATCCAATTATCAGGCTGGGCACTGTGGCTCACATCTGTAATCCCAACACTTTGGGAGACTGAGGCAGGCGGATCACCTGAGGTCAGGAGTTTGAGACCGGCCTGGCCAACCAATATGGTGAAACCCAGTCTCTACCAAAAACACAAAAATTAGCTGGGTGTGGTGGCGTGTGCCAGTAATCCCAGCTACTCGGGAGGCTGAGGCAGGAGAATAGCTTATACCCAGGAGGCGAAGGTTGCAGTGAGCCGAGATCACACCACTGCACTCCAGCCTGGGTGACAGAGCGAGCTTCCTTCTCAAAAATAAATAAATTAATAAATAATCCAATTATCACTATAACTATTCCAATTACCATAATTATGATAGAATATTACCATTCTATTTCCATTTATTTTTACCAAAATAATGAATCTAGGTAACAATCATCAATGGCTGCTGAAAATGCTAAGTGAGAAACTTCATAATAGATAAATTAACCTGACAATACCTAAAAACAATTACGATTTTAACAACACAAAAGAGGGCAACCAGACATTATATGCTTCTCAATGTAACAAAATAGAAGATATATACACAACACTACCGATGACACAGTCATGCCAGATAAGCATCTACATTTATAGGAAAGACAGGAGACAGAAAAATCCATTGAAAGATACCACAGTAATACAATCGCCAAACTCCAGAATGTGTGAAAACTGACATAACAAAGGACTTGATTTCTTTGGATATTAAGCTGCAAGAAACGGGACGGGGGTGGGGGGGCGGGGTGGAGATTTATAAATAAAGAGAGTCTTAAAAGACACTTCAAACATACTTAATGTTCTAATTTATTTGGATCATTGTTCTTAACAAAAACTGCCAACACTGTTAATGAGATAACCAGGGAAATTTCTACATGGGGTATTTGATGAGATTAAGGGATTACTGATGATATTAAGGGATTATTTTTAGTGTGATAATGTTGCAGTTTTAAAAAATAAACAGTCCTCTTTTAGAAATGTTACCCAAAAAGCTAAATATAGAATTATCATATGACCCAGCAATTCTATTTCTAGGTATATACACAAAAGAACTGAAAATGGATACTCAGTGAAATAGACACTGGCTTTATCATGACAGGGATATTCACTCACTGAATATGCCCATTACCCAGGTCATGCTGGTTAAGGACACCCCTTCAGTGTGGACCCCTCATACAACATGACTGTAGCAAAACTGACAAACAGTTCTGGAAGCCTTATTAGATTTGCTATCTCAACTTCCTCTCATGGGTCTCACAGATGCTAATAAAAAAACAACAGGTTCATTAACAGGAAAATGGTGAAAGGCAGATGGGAAAAGTCAAAGGACAAAGGTGGAAATGTTTAAAGGATTATTAAGGAAGTGAGTAAAGAAAACACTGATGGGGTGAAACTAAAGGGAAAAAGAAATTTTGAGATAACACAGAATTGATACTGCAGATCAGTGGGGAATTACAGTCTTTCAATTAAACATACTGATTAAACATTTTAATACAGCACTACCAAAGGTGGGTGGACCAAAGGGAACTCTGCTGATTAACCAACATTAAAGGGCTTCAAACAAGTTTCTTGCATTTACCCCAGTTTGGAGAAACTTTACAAGCTGAAAGGCAGAGACCACAAAGAGAAAGATGATCAACAATTGTGTGGGGCAATGTTGAGGCAGGTTAATCAAGATAAAGACTGACAAACAGCCAAGAGTACTTTGGCTCAATCCCTTGCTGGGGACCCAAAGCCTTATGTACACCAGTGGTGAAGGGGTCAGGGTGTGGAGTAGAAACCTTTCTGGGGCTTCGTGACACAGAAGCACAATGCACTGTGATTTCAAAACCTGTTGATAAAGTCCTAATGGAGGCTATACTTAGGAAAGTAAGTGTTGATGGAATTAGGATAAAATTTTATAGGCGAGTTGTTATATCTGAAGCTGCTTCAATGTGAAGTGGTTCCATCTTTTCTACTTGATTGTATTATGGGGATGGATACTGTATCTGCCTGGAGAATGTTCCCTCTACCTACTCCTGTAAAACAGAAGGCATGTAAACTTGTCCTTCAAGCAATAATAATTAGACATGCTAAATGGGAACCAGAAAGATTCCCTGAGCCTACACAACAGAGAATTGAAGCTGAAGTGCTGGTAGGGACAAACTGATTGCGGAGCGTTTACCAGGGCTTATGGCAAAAGCCTGTGAGTGCCTCCCAGAGATGACTCCTGAGACTTTGGACTAGAGAATTACCACTTGAGGGGCATTTATTACCTTGCTATGAGACATTAATTGAAGCTACCCCTATAATTGAGGACATAAAATAATCTTGAAACCTGAAATACTCATGCTGTCTTGCTGGCGGATGTCAGAGAAACACTTCAGTGAGGATGGCAGTGCCCAAGAGAGTTCCATAATACAATGGAAATGGTTTATACAGGCTCTTGCTACCTGGAAAATGCAAGGAGGTCTTTGCATTCCCCAGGTAGCAGAAAGCCTCTTTTCCCCTAGGACTGACTCTGGAATTGTGTGAGGAACTGCTGGATCCTATCCACACTTTGACAGTTTCCCAATAAACAGCTCCCAATAGACCAATAAAGAGCTGCTTGGTTTGCAGATGGCAGTTCCAAGGTGAATGGACAACATCCTATTTGGAAGGAAGGACGCCAATGGGATCAAAGAAGGTAAAAACAAATCAGCAGCATGTGTTGATTGCATGTTGTTTTTCTAGCAGTGATGGAAGAATTGAACAGTGATAAAAGCCCGTGTTAGGCTTTTTACTCACTTATGGGCAGTGGCCAGTGGTCACATGATCAGGCAGGAGAGCAATGGAAACCTGGCCTATTAAAGGGATGTCCGTATGAGGCATGGCCCTATGGAAATTTGAAGGGCGCATTAAAGTAGGACATGTCGATGCCAACCAGAAGAAATCCCTTAGATGTGTTGATATGGGGGTACTGCAACAGTGCAGAGATGGGCTGAGTCTAGACATGTTCCTTTTCCACCCTCTCAAGAACAAAACGCCAATAAGAACTGTTCTGTCTGCCAGGAAGAGAAAGATAGTGCCGACAGCTATGGGGAGATTCCCTGGTGGCAAGGCCCTGAACGCTGCTGGCCAGTGAGACTGATGCTGGCAACCCTAGGGGACTACAAATGGGTCCTGACAGGTATAGGCACTGACTCTGAACTGGGTTTTACTATCCCAACAGACCATGCAAATGCTTTCAGTGCTAAAGAAATACCACAATAGAACCATTTAAAAATTTCCACCTTCCTGGAGTGAGCCGTTTGACTCTCCCCTTCCCCATTCTTTTGTTAATTAACCTAATGTTTTTATTAGCATCTGTAAGACCCATGAGGGGAAGCTGAGGTAGCATTTCACAGGAGAAGGGTGACAATTTCCCAATCTAAGATAACAAATTTGAGAGCAATGGTTACTCTCAAGCCCTGTTAAAGAGAGTATAAATAGGTAAAAAATTATTTTGGAAAAGACTGTCATTACCTATAAAGTTGAAGATAAGCGTATCTTAATACCTACCAACTACATCACTAGATATATACACTAAAAAAACTCTCGCATACAAGGACAAGCAGCATGAATCCGAACAGCTCACAGCAGGCTTGAATAGCAAAAGCTTGAAAACAACCCCAAAGTCAATCAACAAATACATACAATGTGGTATATATTCAGACCATGGAATACTACACACCAGTGAAAATGAATGAACTACAGTTATAATCCTCAGCATGGGTGAGTCTCAAAAAGAACAATGTTGACCGAAAAAAGTTGCAGTGTGTACCAAGAGAAACATATGAGAATACTCACAGCAGCATCATCCAGAATAGCTCAAAACTGTTAACGGCCCAAATGTCCATTAACACCACCTCGCCTTCCTCCCAGAAGGTTCCAGAAGGTTCTCCTTGGTCTCTCCTCCCAGAAGCCTCCGTGGCTTCCAGAGTCCCATTCTCCTGGCTTTCCGTGGGCACTCTTCACCTCCCCAGACCTCTGAACATAGGCAGCAACCAGTGCTTAAGCTGCAGAACCTTTTCTTTCCCCTATACCCACTCCCTTGGAGAGCTCCTCAGTCTCACAGCTTTACAGAGCCTTTATAGGTTACGATTCCAAGTCCACCTACCTCCAGCCTGGACCTCTCCTCTGAACTGTGCACCTGGGTCTCCACCATCTTTCTGACACTTCTGCCGTGAATGTCTAACAGGCATTTCAAATTTAGTATTCCCCAAACTGATCTCTTCATCTACCATCTCAAATCTGCTCCACCTACAGTGATTCCCATCTTGGTTAAATGCTTCAGTTGCTTAGGAAAAAAATTTTTGAGTCACCTTTAACTCCTCTCTCTCTCACACAACCCTACCTCCTCAGTAAGTAAATCCTACTGCCTTTACCTTAAAAATAATATATGCCGGAATGCCAGCACTGCTTACCCTCCACCACAGCAGCCTGGCCTGGGTTCCCTAATCTGACCCATGCTTGTCACTACCTCCTCCCCCACATTCTGTTCTCAACACCACAGTCAGAGTGATGGAAAATGGAAATCAGTTTATATCATTCCTTTGCTCCAAACTCTTCAAAGGCTACCCACCTAACTCACAGCAAAAGCTAGTACTTAGGAAGGTTCTGAATGATCCACCTCCTTCTCTTTCCATGGCCCCATCCCTTTCGGCCCTCCTCACTCACTAAGCCTTAGCCCTGGCCTCCTTGCTGTTCCCTGAGCAAGCCAAGGTGCACTCCCATCTTAGGGCCTCAAATGACTTACTCCCTCACCTCCCCTGCACATTCTTAAAAGTCCATCCCAGCCAGGAGCAGTGGCTCACACCTGTAATCCTAGCACTCTGGGAGGCTGAGGCGGGTGGATCACCTGAGGTCAGGAGTTCAAGACCAGCTGGCCAACATGGTAAAACCCCGTCTCTACTAAAAATACAAACAATTAGCCAGGCGTAGTGGTGGGCGCCTGTAATCCCAGCTACTCAGGAGGTTGAGGCTTGAACCCCAGAGGCAGAGGTTGCGGTGAGCGCAGATCGCGCTATTGCACTCTAGCCTGGATGACAGAGTGAGACTCCATCTCAAAAAAAAAAAAAAAAAGTCCATCCAATTGGAAATACAGTCCCCAGCACTCTTTTTTTCATTTCTTTCTTCTGTCCTTTTTCTCCATGGTATTTATCACATTCTAATATATTAATAATTTATTTACTTGTTGATCTTCTCCCACTAAAAAACAAGCTAAATGCAGGCAGGGCTTCAAGAGTGCTTGGCACATAGTTGGTCCTCACTAAATAAATGCTAAACAATGAGTAAATGAACAAATGAAACTTTTTTTTTCTTTTTAAGAGACGGAGTCTTGCTCTGTCGCCCAGGCTGGAGAGCAGTGGTGCGATCTCAGTTCACTGCAAGCTCTGCCTCCCGGGTTCATGCCATTCTCCTGCCTCAGCCTCCCGAGCAGCTGGGACTACAGGTGCCCACCACCACACCCAGCTAATTTTTTGTATTTTTAGTAGAGACGGGGTTTCACCGTGTTAGCCAGGATGGTCTCGATCTCCTGACCTCGTAATCCGCCTGCCTCGGCCTCCCAAAGTGCTGGGATTACAGGCATGAGCCACTGCACCCGGCCAGAACTTTTTACGTGCTTAGAATTGTGCCTGCCACATAGCAATAGCTCAGTAATAAGCTGTTATTACTATTATTTTCAAAGGGCTGATGTGATTGACAGGGAACTCACATATACTTGGTTTGTTATTTTCTGCTAGTTCAGCAAAGGACCAAGACAGGATATATGGTACCTACTTGCTAATACTTCCTTGTTGGCAGCACTCCCCTCTACTTCAGATGGTTCTGTAGCAACAGTGTCTTGACTGGGCTCCTTAACTCTCTCATCAGTGAGAAGGCTGACTGCCTGAGTAATGTCACCATTACTGGCCTATGGGAGAAAAAGACAATAGAAATTTCAAAAGTAATCATAGAATTTAAAACCAGTTTTGAGTATTAACTTTATTACCCTGGTGACACACTGAGTACTTTCAGGCATAATTCTAGGGTAGAATTATGAGACTATGGTGGACAGTAGGTCTAATGTGCTTGAAGCGTCTATTAAATGCCTCATTACAGGAGGGAGTTTCCATGCTCTGACTTCCCACAACACCCAAACAAAAGTGAAATCTTGATGGAGATTTGTTCCCATTGCTTCGGATACTACTACTCATGATTTCTCTGAACAGTCTAAAGCACGATGTGTCAAAAAAGGGGGCTGGCAATTAACATAGACATTCTAAATGAAGTCAGCCCTACAATAAAAATGCCAAGCAGGGCAGGCGCAGTGGCTCACACGCCTGTAATCCCAGCACACTGGGAGGCCAAGGCGGGCAGATCGCTTGAGCCCAGGAATTGGAGACCAGCTTGAGCAACTTGGCAAAACCCCATCCCTACCAAAAATACAAAAACTAGCCAGGCGTGAGTCCCAGCTACTAGGGAGGCTGAGGTGGGAGGATCGCTTGAGCCCAGGAGGCAGAGGGCAGAGGCTGCAGTGAGCCGAGATCACACCACTGCACTGCAGGCAAGGCAACTGAGTGAGATCCTGTCTCCTGTCTCAAAAAAAAAAAAAAAAAAAAAAAAAAAGCCACGCAGTTACCTGTTTTCTAGTGGTGATCATTCTTGTTTTTAATGTTTTATGAGGAAACATTTCTAACATATATACCAGGAAAGGGAATAACAGAACCCCATGTACCTATCACTCATCTTCAACAATTACCTAGTCACTTAGTCATAACCTTTCTTATTTTCTCTAAACCTCCTATACTCTCGTAGATATTCTGAATCAAACCCTAACCATCTTATCACTGGTCAACATTTCAGAACATATCTTTTAAAAATATAACCCATGGCCCGGCGTGGTGGCTCATGCCTGTAATCCCAACACTGTGGGAGGCCAGGTCGGGTGGATCACTTGAGGTCAGGAGTTCAAGACCAGCCTGGCCAATATGGTGAAACCCCGTCTCTACTAAAAATACAAAAATTAGCCAGGTGTGGTGGCGCATGCCTGTAATCCCAGCTACTTGGGAGGCTGACTGAGGTGGGAGAACAGCTTGAATGCGGGAGGGAGAGGCTGCAGTGAGCCAAGATTGTGCTACTGCACTCCAGCCTGGGCATCAGAGTGAGACTCCATCTCAAAAAAAAAAAAAAGTATATATATATACATACCTTAAGAATAACAACAGGTTTTTTCAATATCAGATAACCAGTTCAAACTTCCCTGACTCAAATATTATTTAGTTTGCTGGTTTGGATCAGGAAATATAAGGCCTAAACAGTGCAACTGGTTGATGTTTCTTAAATCTCTTTTATACCCTGCAGGGTTACCCGAACCACAAATCTCCCCCAGCCCCTTATAATTTACATGTTGAAGACATTGGGTCAGTCATTTGACCTGTAGAGCTTCTGTCCCTATATGTGCTTTAATTTGGGAATAGAAATAGCTTGAACTGACATAACTATAATATAGACAGCTGCTTTAAAGCCTCCTGACTAACAGAGATCTGGAAACCAACCTTCAGAGCTTCATGGAGAAAGGAAGGGTCCTGAATGCCTGTGATTTCTCTCAGTTGATTTAACAGCATTTGGCAGCTCTATATTTGCAAAACAAAAAAACCACAAACATGTCAGTCAGAAAGTAAACCTGGGTACATTTAAAGAATAACTAAAAGCATCTTGGATAAACAGGCCTGAGGCTTGCCCAGGCTGGAGTGCAGTGGCCGGATCTCGGCTCACTGCAACCTCCGCCTCCCAGGTTCAAGCGATTCTCCTGCCTCAGCCTCCCGAGTAGTTGGGATTACAGGCACAGGCCACCACGCCCAGCTAAGTTTTGTATTTTTAGTAGTGACGGGGTTTCACATTGTTGGTCAGGCTGGTCTTGATCTGCTGACCTCGTGATCCACCCGCCTAGGCCTCCCAAAGTCCGCTGGGATTACAGGTGTGGGCCAATGCAAACGGCCCTGCATTTTTTTACTCTAAAGAACCAACAAGCTCCAAGAAACAAGGTATTGGCTGTCAGAAATATTCTGAAATGCCAAATCTATTTCTCTTTTAAAAGTTCAATCATGGAAATACCTTTGGTACTTACGAAAGAAATAGATGACAGTAAAATTACAAATATATAAAACATTTAAATGTAATATTCTAGCCTTAATGGACACTTAAAAGTTCTCCAGGTTTTTCTTTTGGTAGGCAGTGCATTAAGTAGGGCATATAAGGAGTCCGGGGAATTTGCATGGATATAAAGATGTGCTATTTTAAGCTTTCCTGCACATGCCATTAGTGTGTATCATTTTTCACTGACAATAAGTTTCCAATCATGTAATTAACCAATGATAACACCAACATATTTAAAACTCTGTGTTTGACTAATTAAAAAGTACAGCTAAAGCTAGAATTTTCTCAATTAAATACATAATTTCAAAGGGTATAAAGTATGAAATGTTTTCTCTTCATTAACCTAAATCATGGAAAAACCTAAATTGTTAACTTCCAGCTAACACAAAATCAGTTTACAACCCCTTCAGCCTTAACATCTTCACTCTATCATTTTATCCTGTTTTACACAAAGACAATACAAAACACCGATTTGCAAGTACAGCTCAATCTAAACAACTGGCTGGCCCAACTTGAGACACAATGATCTTTTTAGATGAATGTTGAAAACAAAGTAGTTCGAAATTAATTCAGCAACAAGAAATCTAATTTATACCATTCCTAAGGTTATGCTTAAATTAAGTTAGTAGTATGTCTCAGAGAGATAGCCTACATTTACTCCCAGCTATAATAGAAACAGTATCTTATGTTCTTCAACAGCTGTGGGCCCAATGCAACACTAAAGTATTACACAACTAGAAATAACTAACTGAAACATCCCTCTAAAGTCCTAAAGAGGTCGGGCATGGTGGCTCATGCCTGTAATCCCAGCACTTTGGGAGGCCAGGGTGGGCAGATCACTTGAGGTTGGGAGTTCGAGACCAGCCTGACCAACATGGCCCCGTCTCTACTAAAAATACAAAATCAGTTGGGCGTGGTGGCACGTGCCTGTAATCCCAGCTACTCAGGAGGCTGAGGCAGGAGAATTGCTTGAACCCAGGAGGTGGAGGTTGCAGTGAGCCAAGATCGCGGCATTGCAACTCTAGCCTGGGCAACAAGAGCACAACTCCGTCTCAATAAATAAATAAATAAAGTCCTCAAAGAAGCACCAACAGTCGTTCTGCTGTAGTCAGACTATAGTCATAGGCTACAAATGGAATCCTACCCTGCTGAGACCAGCAGACTTTCACGCTATGAGTCTTGTCAACTCCAGTCATTGCCTGTGCACTGGGAGAGTGATTATCATACTAAAAGGTATCCAGATTCAGCCTGAGCAAAAACTAAAATCGCAAGCATGTAATTTTTAGAAAAATTAAATACTAGTTGTTTTAAACTAATTCTAATTCCATTTGATTTTACTGTATAAAAGCGGTATGAATCTATGTATCTCACACAAATCACACATAATTTTCTAAAAGATCAACATCAATATACCCAAAAAAGGGTGGAATAATCGAGAGGGGGAATCAGTAGTATATTAATACCAAACTAGCGTCAAGAAGGTAACAATGGGATAATCCCATCTTCATTGGGAATTATTCTGTATAAAAATTAACATTTATGATTCAGAGAAAATAATCCAGTAAAAAGTAATAGCTAACATATACTGCTTACTTTTAGCCAGGTGCTGCTATAAACACTTAGCAAGTATTAACTAATTTAACTCACTGAACCCTCATAACAGACCTATGACATAGGTATTACGCCTGTCCTACAAAAAGCTGAGGCACAGAGAGATTAACTTTACACAAAGTTACTGCTGATAAGGGATGCACTATACCACGCTGTATCTGAGAAGACAAAAAGATAGGCAAGAATACCTATCTAATGCAAAAAAACGCAAATATCTTATTCTTGTATGTTTTATTTATTTTTATTTATTTATTTATTTCTGAGACAGAGTCTCACTGTGTCGCCCAGGCTGGAGTGCAATGGAGCAATCTCGGCTCACTGCAACCTCCGACTCCCGGGTTCAAGCGATTCTCCTGCCTCAGCCTCCCAAAGTGCTAGGATTACAGGTGTGAGCCACCACACCCAGCCTATTTTTATATTTTGACCTTGATCTTTGCACCCTAACAAGTTTATTTTAAAAATCTGCTTGTCCTTATACAATCACAAGTTTGATTACTTAGTAGTGCAATCTGTTCTAAACCAGCTATCATCAGAAGTAGAGAGGTAAATATTACATTTGACTAAATCTAAGGTGCCATCGGTTGAAAACAAAGAAAGGAAAACTGCTGCCACTTGAACTATGACACAATGTCTTCACGGCAGTCCTGGGAGACATATAAATAAGTCACACTAGCTTCTTAAATCTCTGAACTTTTTCATTTATGTTGAGGAATACAGCAATTTCCCCTGCTTCCAGGTGCACTGCTTGGCATGTGATAGGCAATTCTTTCACATATTTCTCGGCAACAAAACTTAACACAGCATAATACATTTATGCTATCTTCCCTTCTGGGTTGCATAAAGCACTTGACTGTAGCTTTGCAAGAAAATCTGAAACTGTAAACATTCCTCCAAAGGTAAATATTTTGCTTCATATAAAATCAAATTTATACCCCGCCATTCTGCTTCCATGCCTTTCTTCATACACAGGTTTTTTGGTTTTTTTGTTTTGTTTTAATCTCAATGTTGAATCACAGTGTAAATTTTTAAGTGACATACGCAATGGCAAGTAAACCATGTGGTACTAACAGACTGTCAACTGTTGTTATAACAATAGTAACAGCTATGACCAGGTTCATACAAGTGCAGACAATGACAACATCACATCTGCTACTTGGATGATAGTAAAAATGTTAAGAACATCTTGATCTCAGAGATCTCAGAATGCCAAATAAATGTGAATCAATGAAATATAGTATCCAAATACTAATTTACTAATTATTTACATTTGACCTTGGATTAAAGTCAGTTACACTGTAATATTACCATTCCTCTTTCTCCATTTTGTAATAGGTAGCAGTGGACATCAATATATCTGGGATAACACAATCAGGAAAGGAAAATAAACTCTTTCGTTTCCTTTTTTTTTTGAGACAGGGTCTCGCTCTGTGGCCCAGACTGGAGTGCAATAGCATGGTACAATCTTAGCTCACTGCAGCCTCGGCATCCCAGGCTCAGGTGACTCTCCCACCTCAGCTTCCCGAGTAGTTGGGACTACGGGTGCCCACCACCACGCCCAGCTAGTTTTCCTATTTTTAGTAGACATGGGGTTTCTCCATGTTGGCCAGGCTGGTCTCAAACTTCTGGCCTCAAGTGATCCACCTGTCTCAGCCTCCCAAAGTACTGGGGTTACAGGCGTGAGCCACTGCACCTGGCCTAGTGACCTTTTTTTAAAGGCTACTGGGTAGAGATGACAACTATGTAAAATAATTTTGTATAGCTCCAACAACAATGTTCTACATGGAAATTCAAATCCAAATTCCTCATCTTGTCATTCAAAGACCATTACCTGATCCCCCCTTAGCCTGTTCCACCTTTTCTCCTCTCAGTTCCTTACTGCAAACTCATTCTCTCATGCATAGACTGTTGCTCCTAAAATCACTAGTAATACCACCTACATTATTAAACTATGGTATGCCAACTACATTCAGGGGTTATATTTGTCTTACCTCCTCCATATGAAGTCCTTCTAAGAACTCTGGCCCATACTGTTCTCTCCCCTTTCTCATCTCCCATGTTAAGGAAATGAATACGCCTGTGACTGAATGTGGCTCCCTGTCTTCACTTGATATTCCTCATCATGTGGTTCTCTAATTGTTTTATTTTATTTTAATTTTTTTTGAGACGGAGTCTTGCTGTCACCCAGGCTGGAGCGCAGCGGCGCAATCTCAGCTCACTGCAAACTCCACCTCTTGGGTTCAAGCGATTCTCCTGCCTCAGCCACCTGAGCAGCTGGGATTATAGGCACCCACCACCACGCCTAGCTAATTTTTGTATTTTTAGTAGAGATGAGGATTCATCATGTTGGCCAGGCTGGTCCCAAACTCTTACCTCAAGTGATCCACCCACCTCGGCCTCCCAAAGTGTTGGGATTACAGGCATGAGCCACCGGGCCAGGCCTGTTCTCTAATTGTTTTAAATATGAAATTCTTGCCTTCTTTAAAGGAAGAATCATGCAGTACACTGCCTAATTTGAATCATCCATAGGACAGTGCTGATAATAATGAGAACTAACATTTATTGAACAACTACTTTAATTTTTTTTTCTTTTTGGAAATGGGGGTCTCGCTATGTTGACCAGGCTGGCCTAACTGCTGGACTCAAAGGATCCTCCCACCACAGCCTTCCAGGTTGTTGGGACTACAGGCACACATCACCATACCTGGCTTAACATATGACAGGAAACAGGCACCTTACATGCATGTAATCCTAATAACAAAGGCAGGCATTGCACACGTTAGGAAATTAAGGTTTACAAAATCTATTTATCATCAAATGACTTGAATTAAAAGCTAAATCAAAGATAGCTATAAAACACATAGCTATTAAGGGTCTAAGTGCTTGCTTGAGCAGTACATTAACTAAAATTGGAACAATACAGAGATTAGCATGGACCCTGTGCAAGAATAACATGCAAATTCATGAAGTGTTCCATAATTTAAAAATAAAAATAAAATGTAAAGAGTATGGTATGAATAACAAATTTCACATGCATTATTTATATACATATACAAATGCTATGACATGACCCAGTCTTGTAAAGATTTAGCTAAAGTTCTTAACAGAACCCGCACTCCAAATCCTCGTACTATATATATATATTTATATAAATATTAATTTTACAGTAACACTAAACCCATCAGGATCCTACCATATTACTAACTCACTTCACCTGAACTTCACAGAAAGAGGATTTAAATATTAACTTCACTCTACCTTGCTATATGTAAAGTACACACCCAACAAGGAGACAAGACAAAGCCTGTACTCCTCTCACAATGAAGTCAAATAACTTGCAAGAGCCAACAGGTTTGCATTTCCTGAGCTAAATTCACATTGTTTTCACAAAACAAAAAGTACTCCCTTTTCTTGCCCAGAGGCAGTAAAGAAAGACAGGCAAACACAAACCTTTACCAGGAAGGAACTCAAGCTTTTTGACCTCACTGCTACTCAGTGGTTTTGGTGCAATCTAGCCCACTTCTCAGGAAGGAGATTTTCTTAGAGCAAAAACAACTCACCCACAATCAGCAATTAACAAGATTATTCAGACACTAAAAACCTTAAGCTATCAAGTTTCTGTAACAATCAATACCTGGCCTGATCCCACAGTAACTAGGTTAAAACTCTCTGATGAAATAATGCAAAATATTTCATTACTAATCGTTAAAACTCCTAATTTAGCATTGTGATGAGAAGCTTTATAGGTTATTCCATTCCTTCAAACAGTGATGCTATTTTCATCATTCTGATGCACATATTTCCTGATATCAATTGTCTAGTCTTACAAAGACATTTCTAAATTTACAACTAAGTAAATAATTAATAAATGTTCCCTTACTCCAAAGAACTACCAAGGTGTGCCTAATAAAATTCCTTCCAAAGCTAAAGATCTGGTTCGCAATTATAAAATAAAACTTAAGTACCCAAGGGAAGCAAAAAAAAAAAAAAGAAAAAACAAAAAACAAAAACAAAACCAACTGAAGAGTCAAAGAAAACATATAGTATCAATGCCAAAAACTCTGGCCAGGTGCAGTGGCTCATGTCTGTGATCCCAGCACTTTGGAAGGTGAAGGCAGGCGGATCACAAGGTCAGGAGTTCAAGACCAGCCTGGCCAATATGGTGAAACCCCATCTCTACTAAAGAAAAAAAAAATACAAAAATTTGCCAGGCATGGTGGCGGGCACCTGTAGTCCCAGCTACTCGGGAGGCTGAGGCAGAGGAATTGCTTGAACCTGGGAGGCGGAGCTTGAAGTGAGCCAAGATTGCACCGCTGCACTCCAGCCTGCACAACAGAGCAAGACTGTGTCTCGAAAAAAAAAAAAATAAGGGCCGGGCTTGGTGGCTCATGCCTGTAATCCCAGCACTTTGGGAGGCCGAGGCAGGCAGATCACGAGGTCAGGAGCCCGAGGCCATCCTGGCTAACACAGTGAAACTCCGTCTCTACTAAAAACACAAAAAATTAGATGGGCGAGGTGGCAGGCACCGGTAGTCCCAGCTACTCGGGAGGCTGAGGCAGGAGAACCTGGCGTGAACCTGGAGGTGGAGGTTGCAGTGAGCCAAGATCGCACCACTGCATTCCACTCCAGCCTGGGCGACAAAGCGAGACTACACCTCAAAAAAAAAAAAAAAACCACCTCTGTCTGGACAACAGAGATGGTTGCTAACCTTTCCAACCTCCATAAAACAAGGAATGGCCCTCAAAAGCCTTGGTATTTTTTCAGTTTTTCTTCCAGCAACAATGCCCTGCTGATCCAATTTATTCATGGAATAGAAACCTAAAGTAGCCATAAGAATATGGCTGTCTAAAAAAGATAAACAGCAGCTTTCTGTGGACACAGCTAAATTCCCTGAAATAGACTACTTGATAATTTTTGTGAATGATGCAAATGTCAGTACATGATGAAAATGCCTGTTTGAGTTTATTAACTGGCTTAAAGTTTTTAAAAACCATTAAAAGTGTTTAAAATTTAGCCACTATTATATCATGTAGAGGGGTTAAAACTGGGACTTAAAAACAAGAAAAAAAAGGAATTAATCATTATTTACTTTTTAAATTTTTTCCATCTCTTTCTTCACATGTACTAAGAGATTCCAATAGTACAAAAGGGTATAAAATGAAAAGGAAATCACCTTCTTCCCGACCTAGTTCTATTTCCCAGGGGCTACTACCATTAACAGTTTCTGTTATCTTTCCCGAAATTGTCTATGCACATGAATATATTTTTTCATATGATACATAATGTCCTATACCTTGCTTTTTCCTTATTTTAGAATACATTAAGACAATATTTTTCATTTCTTTGAATACATGTTCCAACTAAATATGAGAAATGAGGCTGACAAACATATCGAACACATCTCCAAAAATGAAGGAAAATACAATTTTTAACAACATATTGGTAGGGCTAATTGAAAAACTGGGAAAATATCAGGGAAAGATATGAGAAATCAAATTTACATGCTTACAGTTTTAGAAATATAGCAATGGTAAAATTTTAAGTTATTACTAGCTGGGTCTTCGTGTGTAGTTTCTATTTTTAATAAATAACAGAGATTGCTGGGTGTGGTGGCTCACGCCTGTAATCCCAGCACTTTACGGGGCTGAGGCGGGCGGATCACCTGAGGTCAGGAGTTCAAGACCAGCCTGGCCAACACGGTGAAACCCCATCTCTACTAAAAATACAAAAATTAGCTGGGTGTGGTGACAGGTGCCTGTAATCCCAGCTACTTGGGAGGCTAAGGCAGGAGAATGGCTTGAACCCAGGAGGCGGAGGTTGCAGTGAGCTGAGACTGCGCCACTGTACTCCAGCCTGGGCGACAAGAGCAAGACTCTGTCTCAAATAAATAAATAACAGAGATCAGAGAGGTGATGTGGGATTGGATTACAAAGGGTTCTAAATGTCAGGAAGAGTTTAGGTTTGATCTGATGAACAATGGATAATCACTGCAGGCTCCTCAGCAGGGAAGATATACGAAGGAAGAAAAGGCATTTAAGTGGATTAATCTAGCCCACGTGAACAACTGGTTCAACGTGGGATGACACTAGGAAAAGAAAGCTTGAGTTACAGGGCTACTGAGTAAACGAACTGTGACGAGAGAGGCAGGATGCTGGTAGGCAAAACATCAAAGTAGGACATACTCTGAACATCTCAAAGAATGAAGAGAGAAAGCTTAGTCATACATTTGCAATGGATGCCTAAGAGAATGCCATTGCCAATAACATAAAAGGAAACCAAACAATGTGATATACCACACCAACAGAATGAAGGAGAAAAAAAACAATGGTCACCTTGATTGATACAGAAAAACATCTGACAAAATCCAACACACATTCATAATAAAAACAATCAGAAAACTAGGAATAAAAGGTAATTCCCTCAACATGATACAGGGCCTTTATAAAAAAACCAAGAGTTAAGATCATATTCAATGGTGAAAGGCTGAAAGCTTTACCCCTAAAATCAGGAACAAGACAAAGATGCCCACTTTCACCACTGCTATTCAACACTGTACTGGAAGTTTAAGCCAGAGCAACCAGGCAAGAATAAAAAATAAATGGCACCTAAATTATAAAGTATAAAAAAGTAAAACAGTATTCACAAAATGACATGATCCTATATATACAAAATCCCAAAGATTCTGCAAAAAAGTTACCAGAGCTGGTAAACAAATTCAGCAGCTTCAAGGTAAACAGGCAAAATTCAGTTGTGTTTTTATAAAACAGCAATAAGAAATCAAAAAGGAAATTAAAAAAAAATTACATTTACAATAGCATCCTAAAGAATAAAATACTTAGGAATAAATTTGACCAAAGAGGTAAAAAACCTGGGCCGGGCGCAGTGGGTCACTGCTGAGGCTGGGTGCGATGGCTCACACCTGTAATCCCAGCACTTTGGGAGGCTGAGGCGGGCAGATTGCTTGAGCTGAAGTGTTCGAGACCAGCCTGAGCAACGTGGCAAAACACATCTCTACAGAAAACACAAAAATTAGTCGGGTGTGGTGGCGCGTGCCTGTAGTCCCAGCTTCTCAGAAGGCTGAAGTGGGAGGATTGCTTGAGC
This sequence comes from Homo sapiens, assembly GCF_000001405.40. NCBI lineage: Eukaryota > Metazoa > Chordata > Mammalia > Primates > Hominidae > Homo > Homo sapiens. Next base: position 113,863,568 of record NC_000011.10, read on the forward strand.
CCAGAAGATGGAGGTTGCAGTGAGCCAACATTGTGCCACTGCGCTCCAGCCTGGCAACAGAGTGAGACCCTGTCTCAAAAAAAAAAAAAAAAATTAGGCCGGGCGCGGTGGCTCACGCCTGTAATCCCAGCACTTTGGGAGGCTGAGGCGGCCGGATCACAAGGTCAGGAGATCGAGACCATCCTGACTAACACGGTGAAACCCTGTCTCTACTAAAAATACAAAAAATTAGCCGGGCATGGTGGCCGGCGCCTGTAGTCCCAGCTACTCGGGAGGCTGAGGCAGGAGAATGGCATGAACCCGGGAGGCGGAGCTTGCAGTGAGCCGAGATCGCGCCACTGCACTCCAGCCTGGGCGACACAGCGAGACTCCGTCTCGAAAAAAAAAATTGCTGGTCACGGTGGCTCACGCCTGTAATCCCAGCACTTTGGGAAGCTGAGGCGGATGGATCACCTGAGGTCAGGAGTTTGAGACCAGCCTGGCCAACATGGTGAAACCCCCATCTCTACTAAAAATACAAAAAATTAGCCAGGCATGGTGGCATGTGCCTGTAGTCCCAGCTACTCGGGAGGCTGAGGCGGGAGAATCCCTTGAACTCCAGAGGTGGAGGCTGCAGTGAGCCAAGATCTCACCACTGCACTCCAGCCTGGGCAACAGAGTGAGACTCTGTCTCAAAAAAAAGGTAAAAAAACTGATGAAAGAAGTTAAAGACCTAAATAAATTGAAAAACATCCAGGTTCATGAACTGGAAAACTGTACTAGTCAGAGTTCCCCAGAGAAACAGAAGCAAAAGGAGATAAATATAAGAGGTGAAATTTATTATAAGGAATTGGCTCACATGACTGCGGAGACTGAGAAGTCTCAAGATCTGCAGTTAGCAAGCTGGAGAACCAGGAGACCAGCGGTGTAGTGTTAGTGTAAGTATGAGACCCAAGAACCAGGAAAGTTGAGTGTGTAAGTTCCAGTCTGAGTCTGAAGTCCTGTGAACCAAAAGAGCTGATGGTTGTCTAAGTTCCAGTGCCAGGACCAAGGAAAATCAATGTCCCAGCTCAAGTAGTCAGGCAAGCAAAGTTTCCTCTTACTCAGCATTTTTGTTCTATTCAGGTCTTGATTGAATGAGGCCCACTACCCACATTAGGGAGTTCAAACTGCTCTACACAGTCTACTGATTCAATGTTAATCTTATCCAGAATCACGCTCACAGACACACCTAGAATAATGTTTGACCAAATGTCTGCATACATACCTCATGGCCCAGTCAACTGACACATTAACTTAACCATCATGAAGACAGTATTGTTTTTTGGAGATGGGGTCTGTCTCTGTCACCCAGGCTAGAGTACACCTCAACCTCCACCCTGTAAGCTCAAGCGATCCTCCCTCCTCAGCCTCCCAAGTAGGTGGGAACACAGATGTGTGCCATCAAGCCCAACTAAGATTTTTCATATTTTCGGTAAAGGTGAGGTTTCACCACGTTGCCCAGGCTGGTCTTGAACTCCTGAGGTCAAGCAATCCCCCCCGTCTCGGCCTCTTCCCAAAGTGATTACAGGCGTGAGGCACTGCGTCTGGCCACGAAGACTTAATACTGTGAAGGTGGCAATACTACTCAAAGCAATTCAAAAGTTCAATGTAATCCCTATCAAAATTCCAATGGTCCTTTGTGTGTGCGTGTGGCTGGGGGTTGCGGGGAACTCTAGTGAAAACCAGAAAACCTGCTAGACAAATTCTAAAAGAGCTGCAATGCTTTGGCCTTTCTTGCAGAAACAGAAAAGCTGATCCTCAAATTCACACAGAATTTCAAAGGACCTGGAAGAACTAAAACAACATTGAAAAGAAGAACAAAGTTGGAGGACTCACACTTCTTATATCAAAACTTAGTATTAATCCAAAGCTACGGTTATCATAACAGTGTAGTACTGGCATAAGGACAGATATATAGACCAACAGAATAGAACTGAGAATCCAGAAATAAACTCGTATCTGTGGTCAACTGATTTTCAACCAGAGTGCCAACACCATTTGATGGGGGAAAAATCATGTCTTCAACAAATGGTATTGGTACAACTGGATATCCACAGCAGAAGAATCACACTGGACCCCTACCTCACACAATACACAAAAATTCCTCAAAATGGATCAACAACCTAAATAAATAACTAAAACTATAAAATTCTTAGAACACAGAGATAAGTCTTCATGACCTTGGATTTGTCAATGGATTCTCAGCTATGACACCAAAAGCACAAGCAACAAAAGAAAAAAATAATAACACTTTTGAGCCAGGCATGGTGGTGTGTACCTGTAGTCCCAGCTACTTGGGACACTGAAGTGGGCTGATGTACTTTTCTGCATCAAAGGGCATTATCAAGAAAGTGAAAAGACAACCGGTATACAAATTCAAGAAATAAACACATACATCAAGAAATCCAACAAGAAATATACAGTGCTGGCCGGGCACGGTGGCTCATGCCTGTAATCCGAGCACTCCGGGAGGCCAATGTGGATCACCTAAGGTCAGGAGTTCAAGACCAGCCTGGCCAACATGGTGAAACCATCTCCACTAAAAATACAAATATTAGCCAGGTGTGTTGGCACGCGCCTGTAATCCCAGCTTCCTGGGAGGCTGAAGCAAGAGAATCACTTGAACCCAGGAGGCAGAGGTTGCAGTGAGCCGAGATCAGACCACTGCACTCCAGCCTAGGTGACAGAGCCAGACTCTGTCTTGGGGAAAAAAAAAGAAAAAAGAAATACACAGTGTACAAATTATCAAGAAAGTGAAAAGACAATGGGAGAAAATACTTTTAAATCATTTATCTGGTAAGAGTCTAGCATCTGGATGATATAAAAAACTCTCTTTGAACTCCCTTTAAGTCAACAACCAAAAAACGAGACAACCCAATTCAAAAATGGACAAAGAACTTAAAAAGATATTTCTCCAAAGAAGATATATAAATAGTCAATAAGTTTATGAAGACACTTAACATTAGCCATAACATTAACATGGCCAAATCAAAATCATGATGAGATGCCACTTCACACCCATTAGGATGACTGTTATCTAACAAAAACAAAAAATAACAAGTGTTTGATGAGAAAAGAGAAAAACTAGAACCCTTGTGTATTGCTGGTGGGAATATAAAACTTCCCCAGCAACCTTGGAAAACAGTCTGGCAGTTCCTCAAGAAGTTAAACATAGAATTACCATATGAGTCAACAATTCCTTCTAGGTATATACCCAAAAGAAGGGAAAACAGGTACTCAAATACAAGTATATGAAAATTCATAACAGAACTATTCATAATAACCAAAAGGTGTAAATAACTCAAATGTCCGTCAATGGAAGAATGGACAGGCAAAACATATCTATACATACAGTGGAATATTACTCAGTGATTAAAATGAAAAACTCATACATGCTACAACTTGAACAAATCTCAAAAACATTACAATAAACGACAGATGCCACACATAATAGGTCACATATTGCATGATCCATTTACATGAAATCTCTCTAATACGTAAATCTAGAGACAGAAAGTAGATTGGTATTGCCAGGGGTGGAGGGCATGGGGGAATAGGGAGTGACTGCTTAATGGTTACAAAGTTTTCTTTCAGGGTAATGAAAATGTTTTAGAACTAGACGGAATTGGTGATTGCACAATATTGTGAATATATTAAATGTCACTGAACTTGTACACTTGAACTTTTTTTTTTTGGAGACAGAGTTTTACTCTTGTCACTCAGGCTAGAGTGCAGTGGCATGATCTCCGCTCACTGCAACCGCTGCCTCCCGGGTTCAAGTGATTCTCCTGCCTCAGCCTCCCAAGTAGCTGGAATTACAGGTGCTCACCACCACATCTGGCTAATTTTTATATTTTTTAGTAGAGACGGGGCTTCACCATGTTGGCCAGGCTGGTCTTGAATTCCTGACCTCAGTGAGCCACCTCACCCAGCCCCACTTTAAAATAATTTTATGTTATATAAATTTTGCCTCAATTGAAAAAAAAAAAATCACCTGGGTGCAGTGGCACACACCTGTAGTTCCAGCTCTGCAGCAGGCTGAGGCAGAATGATCACTTGTGCCCAGGATTTTCAAACAGTAGTACACCACGATCATGCCTGTGAATAGCCACTGCACTCCAGCCTGAGCAACATAGCTAGACCCCAACTCTATGAAAAAACAAATGAATAAGGAAACCTGTATACACATCCCCACACAAAAGGAAAGAAGGAAGGGGGGAGGGAGGGAGGGAGGAAGGGAGGGAGGAAGAAAGGGAGGAAGGGAGGGAGGGAGGGGACACAAGAAAGTACTAACTTGGGCAAGAAGATTGAAAAAGAAAATGTTGTTTAGAAAATCTTCTTAGGGTTAAAGTGCCTACCAGCCATCATGTAGCATGCAGCTGGTACTTACTGAGGCAGATCTTTAGTTTGGTTTTGTGTGTCTGATATTTTGACCCCTGTTTTACGTAGAAAGCCTAGACGCTGGAAATAGTGCCATGCAGCCCAGACTCCAGCACACATCAGCCTCCTGGCAAATCTCAATCTTCCTCAGCATCAGTTTCCAGAATGGAAAATGAAGTACACCAAAAGCTTTGACAGCCCTGTATGACTATCAAAGGAAGTACTGCAAATAAATTGTTAGCAAAATGAAGAAATGCAATAGAAATGAAAAATACTGGGACTTGCCTGTTCAACTAAACTCCTCTAGAGTTTACAGTAAAAATACTGATATCCTGTGTTATAGTTTTGGTTTTATCACTTACTTGCTGTGTCACTTTGCAAATTCTACTTCCTGCTCATACTAAATTTTATTTCATAGAGTGCCTATGAGGGTTCAATGAAAAGTTATTAAAATTATTAAAGTGCTACATAGTCAAGTGGTAAGTCAGAAACTTTGGTTTTAGAAAGGCTTGTACTAAAGTCGGAGAAATGTTATGCTTCAAGTCAGAATGGCTTGAAGTCACAGCTCTGCTACTTATAATTCAATCATGGTCATAAGCTGCATTTCTCATCTGTAAGATAGAAGCAAACAGACTTCAGTTTAAAATCTCATACGAATAAAGAAAAAAAGAGATAGGTACCATGGTTCACGCCTGTAATCCCAAAACTTTGGGAGGCTCAGGCGGGAGGATCACTGGAGCGCGGGAGTTCAAAACCAGCCTGGGCAACATAAAGAGACCCCCCATCTCTACAAAAACTAAAAATATTAGCTAGGCATGGTGGCACATGTCTGTAGTTCCAGCTACTCTGTAGGCTGAGGTAGGAGAATTGCTTGGGCCCAGGAGGTTGAGGCTGCAGTGAGCCATGATAGAGCCACTGCACTACTCCAGCCTAGGTGACAGAGTAAGACCATGTCTCAAAAAAAAAAAAAAAAGACAAAAGAAAGAAAAGGAATAAATAAAATAAATCTCATATGAGGCCCTTATAAGGCATACTAACATCTGAGGTCAGGCACGGTGGCTCATGCCTGTAATCCCAGCACTTTTGGAGGCTGAGGCAGGATGACTTGGTTCATAAGTTTGAGACCAGCCTGGGCAACACAGAGAGACCCCATTGCTAAAAAAACTTTTAAAATTAACCACAGGCTGGGTTCGGTGGCTCACGCCTATAATCCCAGCACTTTGGGAGGCCAAGGCAGACGGATCACCGGAGGTCAGGTGTTCAAGACCAGCCTGGCCAACATGGTGAAACCCCGTCTCTACTAAAAATACAAAAATTAGGCGTGGTGGCATGTGCCTGTAATCCCAGCTACTTGGGAGGCAGAGGCAGAAGAATCAATAGAACCCGGAAGGCGGGGGTTACAGTGAGCTGATCTCACGCCACTGTACTCCATCCTGGGCAACAGACTGCGGTCCGTCTCAAAAAATAAAATAAAACAAAAGTAGCCAGGTGTGGTGGTGCATACCTGTGGTCCCAGCTACTCAAGTGTCTGAGGATTGCTTGGGTCTGGGTGGTCAAGGCTGCAGTGAGCCTTGACGGTGTCACCACACTCCAGCTTGGGTGACAGAGTGAAACCCTATCTCAAAAAACAAACAAGACATCTCAGTTTCCTCATCAGTAATAGGGTAATAGTTCACACCTTGCTGGGTTTTTGTAAATAAAAATGTATGGAAAAGTGCTTAGGGTGGTACATAGCATATGGCAGACACGAGTAATACAAGTGTACATTCCCATGCCTAGTATAACAACCCTGGGAAAATAAGTATGAAGCAAACGTTTATAGCCAAGGAGGTTGATATTCAAGCAGACCTGTTCAAAAAGCACTGGGAAACAGAGTATAGAAGTCATTTGCAACTCAGGATTAGAAATGTAGATTTGGAGCCAGGTGTTCACGCCTGTAATCCCAGCACTTTGGGAGGCTGAGGTGGGCAGATCACCTGGGGTCAGGAGTTCAAGACCAACCTGACAAACATGGAGAAACCCTGTCTCTACTAAAAATACAAAATTAGCTGGGCATGGTGGTGCATGCCTGTAATCCCAGCCACTCGGGAGGCTGAGGCAGGAGAATCACTTGAACCCAGGAGGCGGAGGATGCAGTGAGCCAAGATCGTGCCAATGCACTCCACCCTGGGCAACAAGAGCGAAACTCCGTCTCAAAAAACAAAACAAGAAAAAAGTAACAGCAAAAAAGTGGTAATGAGGGATCATAAAAGCATAAAATAATAAAAGTATGAGGGGGCCAGGTGTGGTGGCTCATGCCTGTAATCCCAACACTTTGGGAGGCCAAGGCAGGAGGACTGCTTGAGCCCAGGAGTTCAAGACCAGCCTGGGCAACATAGCAAGACCTCGTCTCTATAAAAAATTAAAAAAACAGCCAAGTGCGGTGATGCACGCCTGTGGTCCCAGCTACTCAGGAGGCTGAGGTGGGAGGATCGCTTGAGCCTAGGAGGTCAAGGCCAAAGTGAGCTATAATCACATCGCTGCACCCCAGTCTGGGTGACAGAGGGAGAGATCCTGCCTTGGCAAAGTAGGCTGCTGAGCAGATTCTGATTACATAAAACCACTCACTGCCTTTCAACCTAACCTGCTGCTGCCTAGTCAGTCCCTCTGCAGGCCTCTGAACAATCAGCCATTTGCTGGAGCCCAGACTGGTCCACACGGCCATCTCATTATTTGGCTTTTGCAGAAGCTGTTATTGCCACCTTAAGCTCTGTAGCAGAATCTGGGAACCAACCTTCCTCAATCTCCTGTCAGCTAAGAGTTAGTCTTGCTCAAGTCTGTCTTTTCCAAGTTTTGTATATTGAGTCTGAATACATTGTCACTGGAAAAATGTTTTAGAAATGAAACAGGTGGGGTTAGAAACTTTGTTCCAAAAGCAAACAAGAGGAGGAAGGTGGAGACAACAGCTGGACTGGGCAATAGACACTTTTGTTGTTGTTATTTGGTTTCAAGATAGAGGACAAGTGCACGGTAAAATGGAAAATGCAAATTCAAAATGTAATATGCAAATGAATCACCCAAGAATCTTGTCAAAAGGCAGAAACTGATTGAATAGGTCTAGAGTGGGGGTACAGGCAGTGGTATGCTGATTGGCAGTGTATGCTTGTTTCCTTGGTATAAATATTCCCACCTTGGCACAGTTATCAACACGAGGTCATTGAACACAGAGCTGGAAAGAGATGTACAAAATCAGCTGGAGAGGCAGAGCAAGCTGGCTCTAGCACACTCAACTTTCTGCATGTCTAAATCCTAGGGGATGTGAATGCTGCTGGTCTGTGGACCATAATGTGAGTAGCAAGGGAGAAGACAGTGAAGGTGTCTGGGGGTTAGACTAGGACTAAGGAGAAGGGACATAATAGAAAGAGAAGAGAGACATCATCTAGATCAGAGTTTGTCAAGCTCAGCACTATTTTATACAATTTACACATAACTCTGTTTAGAGGGGCTTACTCCTGTACACTGCAGGATGTTTAGCAGCATTCCCGGCTTCTACGCACTACATTCCAGTAGCATCCTCCCTCCAGAGTCACAATCAAAGTCTCCAGACATTGCCAAATGCTTCCTAGATTACAAAATCTCTCCCTAGTAAAAACCATTAATCTAGGTTTATCTCTAAGAAATGAAAGGGGGAAAAAGGAAGGGAACCTTTTCCACTGAAATAAGAGAAAAGAGATGAGATGGCGTAGGGAGAGGGGGACAAAACAGAAGGCAGGGAGCTCTTTTTAGACATCAGCGAGCTCAGTCAAGTAGAAAAGAAGATTATCTATTTAGAAAGACTGTAGGGAGGACTGGAAGTTTAAAACATTAGGAGAGTTCTAGAAAAGGCATTATAAGAGTAGTGGAAAGTCTGTGATCCAGGGCAATGGGCCCATCAACTATGAGATAGGACCAGGGGCGCCTTGGGCTCTTGGGGTCAGAACTGCCTAGATACAATTCCAACTGTACCATATCCTCACTGGGTGACCTTGGACGAATTACTTAACAAGTATAAGCCTTCTCATAGAAACTTCATGGAGTTGTGTAAGTACTGAGAGAATGCTATGTTAAGTTCTGAGCACCGAGTCTGGCACATAGTGCATGCTCAATTAGCATTAGCTATTACTATTACCAGCATTATTTTCCTTGTTAAGTACTTGCTTCATTTTACTATTGATTTAATTTCTTTGATGAAACAGAACACATGGAGAGATCTCGCCTGGTAAGATGCTATTTGCCAGTAAGTCTTAAAAATACTGTTTGCAGACCGAGGCGGGCGGATCATGAGGTCAGGAGATCGAGACCATCCTGGCGAACACTGTGAAACCCCGTCTCTACTAAAAATACAGAAACATCAGCCGGGCGTGGTGGTGGGCACCTGTAGTCCCAGCTACTCAGGAGGCTGAGGCTGGAGAATGGCATGAACCCGGGGGGCGGAGCTTGCAGTGAGCAGAGATCGCGCCACTGCACTTCAGCCTGGGCAACAGAGCGAGACTCCGTCTCAAAAAAAAAAAAAAATACTGTTTGCATTTGGGGGCAGAGGGGCATGAGAGTTGTGGAACCAATCACTGACTTACTGATGTTTTAAAAATCAGTTAATGAGACAAAAGGAAACGAAAGGTCAATAAATCAAGAGAAAGCAAAAAGGGCATTAAATTTTCACTGAAACTGGCAGGTTTTTATAAGGCTTCAGCTGACATAAAGAATGTGTGATGTGAACCCTCAGTACAGCTGCCAAGAATGACAGGTTTATAAGAACCAAACTGACTTCAAGTTGTTTCTCCTGTAATAACAGTAAATTTTGCTGCTATCGAAGTCAAGAATTGATTAAAATACAGGAATCTGTCACTATGTAACCTCTTTAGATATTCGAATACCAGTTTGCAGTCTAGAGGATTTAGTGAAATCATAAAGTGTCTACTCTCAGATTCGAGTCCATACTGATAGCATATTTCAAGAGTACTACATATTTCTCGCACTAAAATTCTTGGGAGGCCATAAAGGGTTTTGTCTGTCCTGTGTACAACTGACCAATAAGGGAAGGGAAGCAGTCTAGGCTTTAAATAGCTTCTGAGTGTCAGGGAAGGATAGCTCTCCTCAACTAGAACAATGAAATATCCTTTAAGGGAAAGGTAGAATGCCTCAGAGAGTTCAAAATAAAAGAATCCATTCTAACATGAAACTTACCAAGATGAGGAAGAAGTTATTAAAATCTTTCCTGTAAGATCAAAAGGTACTTTTCCTGTAAGTTCCTTCAACCTATCCTGGTAACTTGAAGCATTTTATTAGCAAAAATAAAAGGGGCAAACATTATCAAGCATTCCAAGCTTATCAGCTTTCCGTATAGGGCAAATCACTGGGAAGAACAGTAAATGTCATCACTCTGCAGGTGGCCAGGAATCGGAGTACTCCAGCCAGCCACAGCCACTGGAGTTCCAAGCCTTCCCAAAATAGCTATGACTTACATACAAATGCTCATCAAGTAGCTCACACACAGTCTCAAACGGAGAATGCTGAAATAGGGTCACTACTCAAACTGCGGCAGAGGTAAATGAAGATGCCACTGATTAATAGGCACATGGTCTTAAATGACTGAGCCACGACAAATTTAAATATGACTTCTCTCTCCCTTAAAATAGTCTCTTCTCTAAATCAATATGATAGTCTCCAAACTAAAATTTTCCCATGTTTTTAAATCACTGTGCTAAAAACAAATAGAACTGACCTCTGAAGCCAGAGAAAAATCTTGACACATTTCAATAGGCACTTGTGAACATCTAACAATATTTCCATTAGAAGTCAGTGCATGATACTTTCGTTTCGGAGCCCAGGACCTGGAAGTATCTTTTTCTACATGAGTTTTAAAAAGCGCATCCAGGCTGGGCGCCCTGGTTCACGCCTGTAATCCCAGCACTTTGGGAGGCCGAGGCGGGCGGATCATGAGGTCAAGAGACCGAGACCATCCTGGCCAACACAGTGAAATCCCATCTCTACTAAAAATACAAAAATTAGCTGGGCGTGGTGGCACGCGCCTGTAGTCCCAGCTACTCGGGAGGCTGAGGCAGGAGAATCGCTTGAACCCGGGAGACGGAAGTTGCAGTGAGCCGAGATCGCGCCACTGCACCCCAGCCTGGGCGACAAAGTGAGACTCCGTCTGGAAAAAAAAAAAAAAAAAAAGTGCGTCCAGACTGGGCGCGGTGGCTCACGCCTGTAATCCCAGCACTCTGGAAGGCCGAGGCGGGCGAATCACCTTAAGTCGGGAGTTTGAGACCAGCCTGACCAATATGGTGAAACCCCGACTCTACTAAAAATACAAAAATTAGCCGGGCCGGTGGCAAGCACCTGTAATACCAGCTACTCAGGAGGGTGAGGCGGAGGATGCAGTGAGCCGACATCGCGCCACAGCACTCCAGCCTAGGCAACAGAGGGAGACTCTGTCGAAAAAAAAAAAAAAAAAAAAAAAAAAGTGTCTCCATGCTAAATACTACTGGCCTTCCAGACAAAAGAGTAAAAAGGTATAAAAGGATTCTCACCTGAGGGTATCTGTCTGCCAGCTTTGTACGACAAATATAGTTTCTCATCTCCAAACTCGTATTTGAACAACTGGCACAGATTTCCCGTTTTCTCTTGAAAAAGTGCAGTACTTGAGGGGTGAGGAGGTGGTGTTAAGTTATAACATTCCGAAGTAACACTAGAAGACATGCTCAAATTGCCCTCTTCCCAAGTTTCTTCATACAGACATTAGCTTTTCTCTCAAACCAGGGTTCTTTCACTCTCACCAGATTCTTAGATCAGAAGTCCTTATATTGATTTCAATCTTCTTAGACATTGGGAACAGGAGATCATCATCAGTAGACTTTCTATTCATCACGCAGCTCCTCCCCCTCCTTAAAAATCTAGAGCGATGAAGGCAATAATTGGGGAGGCTGCGCTGTTTTGTTTTTAAAGCCGGGTTGGGAGGGAGGGAAGTGGTGGTAACTGGGACCCCTGGTCTTATAGAAGACGGTGATTAATTCCGGACTTTAAGTGAGATAACTTCGGTCTGCTTTAACCTTTTAAAAACGCCGCCATAAAACTGATTTAAAAGTCAAAGCAAAACAAAACCAACCAACGCTGCCGCTTTCGGAAGTTTCTCACCCCGGACGGGGCCCAGGAGGGCTCACCTTACTGATCCCTGCGGCGGAGAACCCCACGTCCAGCCCTTTATATTTGGTTTTCCAAAATCTGGAAATCCCCCTACAACTTCAGCTCGCCCACGGACGCGAAGATGCAGTCCTCAATCTCCGCGGCCCGAGCCCCGCAGAGCCCTTGGCCTTCTCACCCACGCTGGCGGGCGCACCCCCTGTCCCGCCCGGCCGGGGCGCCCTCCGCAGCCCGCAACCCGCAGCCCTGCAGGCCCCGCACGCTCCCCTCAGGGCCTGGAGCCCGCCCCCAGCTCCCGCTCGCCGCCGCGGAGCCCACCGAGCCGTGGCCGTCTGCCGCGCCGGCCGCGTCGTCCTGCTGCAGCTCCGCAGTCATGGCCGAGGCGCCCAGCCGCGGGTCACCGGTCTCCCGCCGCAGCCGCCGCCGGCCCAGCCTCTCAGGACTAGGCCCCGCCCCCGCCCTCCACCCCGCTCCGTCCCGCCCCCGCCCGCAGCGCGCGCCGGAGGCTTGGCCCACATGCCCCGCCCCCGGCATGCGCGCGCACGCAAGGCGCGCGGCCCGGGGCCGAACAGTTCTGCGTGCTCCCGCGCACGCCCGGCTGACCAGACGTCGGTCACGTGATCCCGGCCCCGCCTGTCGCTGTTGGTCAGCTTCACAGCCGGTGGAGGCTGCGGGCCGCGCTGCCAGTGTCCGGGAACTGGGTTTGCGAATCCTGGGAGCCGCGTTCCTGAGTCTTCTCCGCTCTCTGCCCTCAAAACCTCATTTGTAGGACTGACCTCCGGCTCCACCCTCCCCACGGGCGAGTTAAAACTGTTCCCCCGCCGTGGGAAACTGCCGAATGACCGTGGAATAAAGGATTTCCCATCAGGCTTTGTAGCCATTTCCAACTCCAATGACATGAAGAAGTGTTCACCATCTTTAAGGAGAGAAGGAGGATGAATGCAGTCGCTTGTCTAAAGCTAACCAAACGGACCAAAGCCTCCGTTCATGGGTGTCCCGCTTGGTGCCCTTAACCCTGATGCTCTTAACCTGGGCATGATAAGGAAAATTGCAGTTTTTCCATTTTCGATTTTCAGAAGTTCAAACTAAAATTTTGTGTTACTTTGTTACGTTTGAGCCAGATATTTACGATTTCATGTTAAAAGACCAGGTGCTCCTATTGAATTGTTTTTTGTTTGGTTGGTTTCGGTTTGTTTTTTTTTTTTTCTTTTTTTTTGAGACGGAGTCTCACTCTGTCCCCTCAAGCTGGAGTGCAGCCGCACGGTCTCGGCTCACTGCAACTTCCGCCTCCTGGGTTCAAGCGATTCTCCTGAGTAGCTGGGATTACAGGCACGCTGTACCACACCCAGGGTTTCACCATGTTGCCCAGGCTGGCCTCGAATTCCTGACCTCAGGTGATCCGCCCGTCTCGGCCTTCCATAATGCTGGGATTATAGGCGTGAGCCACCGCGCCAGGCCTGAATTGTATTTTCAACAACTGTGTGGGAATTGTGATTACTGAACCATGTTTCACATTTAAGATACAAATGTGTTATGATGGCAAACCCACTTGACAGGCTGCTGGGTGTCCCAAATCTGCGTAGAGGCTGAGTGTGGAAGCGCGTCTTTTAAGAGTAGCACCTACACCCTTGCCCTGGTCTGGTCTGACTCTCAAGCTACACTTTTAAGTGTGAATTTAACATGGACGGTGGCCTTTCCTATACTCCTGGCATTGTTGTCGCTGGGATTGTTATGTTTCACCTGCAGGCCTCCCTAGTCTGCATGCGGGCGCAGTTTTTGACAAAAGGAAACAGGTACAGGTCAGGTGCAGCTCCCAGGAGAGGCCAGATTACTCTCTGAGGCCTGAACTAGGACTCCTGCAACTTCCACCACCTGGAGATACAGGGATCCGCTTCCCCTGGCAGATTAACTGGCAGATTGGCATGGCTGCGGTGATACTAACTTGGAATCTTCCACATTCAACAGGCTGACTGTGTTTGTGTCTGCGAGTAGTAGGACATTTTATGTATGTGGCTCTGCCATTTTTCCTTTCCTCATGAGTGACTGTGTTTATGGCCTCAACCTGGGTGTCACTGTAGAACAGGTTGATTTCAGGTTGATGCTGGTTTTCTTTTTTTTTTTTTTTTTTTTTGAGACAGGGTCTCACTCTGTCACCCAGACTGAAATACAGTAGTGAGATCATGGCTCACTGCAGCCTTGAATTCCTGGGCTCAAGCAGTCCAACTGCCTCAGCCTCTGAAGCAGCAGGGACTTCATGCATGTGCCATGCCCAACTAATTTTTGTGTCTTTTTTATGGAGATGGGATCTCACTGTGTTGCCCAGGATGGTCTCAAACTTCTGGTCTCAAGCAATCCTCCTGCCTTGGCCTCCCAAAATTTGGGGATTACAGACATGAGTCACCACGCCCAGCCCACATTGATTTCTGAGTCTAGCTTATTTACAGCATTGCCTATTTCTACACTGCTAGAATGCTTTATTTACCATGTCTCTGGAGCAACCCTTATTTGTCTTTACACATTCATTTTAGGAAATTGCATGTTTATTGTGTGTAAGTGCTGTCAAAACCTATAATCCTTTGTATTAGTCTGTTCTCACACTGCCATAAAGAATTACCTGAGCCTGGGTAAGTTATGAAGAAAAGAGGTTTGACTCAGGGGCATAACAGGAAGCAAGACTGGGAGGCCTCAGGAAACGTACAATCGTGGTGGAAGGCAAAGGGGAAGCAGGCATGTCTCACCATGGCAGAGTAGGAGAGATAGAACAAAAGAAGTGTCCCCCCCGACCCCCCGCACACACACACACACAAAGATCTCATAAGAACTCACTATCATGAGAAATGCATGGGGGAAATCCACCCCATAATCTAATCATGTCCCACCAGGTCCCTCCCCTGGCAAGTGGGAATACAATTCGACATGAGATTTGGGTGGGGACCCAGAGCCAAACCATATTACCCTTATTCATTAAAATTTTCTTTTTTTTTTTTTTTTTTTGAGACGGGGTATCGTTCTGTCGCCCAGGCTGGAGTGCAGTGGTGTGATCTCAGCTCCCTGAAACCTCTGCCTCCCGGGTTCAAGCAGCTCTCCTGCCTCAGACTCCCGAGGGACTACAGGCGCCTCAGACTCCCCTGGGACTAAGGCATGCACCACCACGCCTGGCTAATTTTTAGTAGAGACAGGGTTTCACCATGTTGGCCAGGCTGGTCTCCAACTCTTAACCTTGTGATCCACCTGCCTCTGCCTCCCAAAGTGCTGGGATTACAGGCATGAGCCACCGTGCCCAACCTTCATTAAAATTTTCTTAAAAGACCAGCAGACCTAGGCCAATCACAGGTTCATGCCTGTAATCCCAGCAGTTTAGGAGGCTGAGGTGGGCAGATCACATGAGCTCAGGAGTTGGAGACTACCCTGGGCAATGTGGCAAAACTCCATCTATACAGGAAATACCAAAAAAAAAAAAAAAGTATTAGTCCGTTTTCACGCTGCTGATGAAGACATATCCAAGACTGGGCAATTTACAGAAGAAAGAGGTTTAATTGGACTCACAGTTCCACATGGCTGGGGAGGCCTCAGAATCATGGCGGGAGGTGAAAGGCTCTTCTTACATGGCAGCAGCAAGAGAAAATGAGGAAGAAGCAAAAGTGGAAACCTCTGATAAACCCGTTGGATCTCATGAGACTTATTCACAATCACAAAAATAGCACGGGAAGACCGGCCCTCATGATTCAATTACCTCCCCATGCGTACCACCCACAAACACGTGGGAATTCTGGGAGATAAAATTCAAGTTGAGATTTGGGTGAGGGCACGGCCAAACCATATCATTCCACCTCTGGCCCCTCAAAATCTCAGGTCCTCACATTTCAAAAGCAATCATGCCTTCCCAACAGCCTCTCAAAGTCTTAACTCATTTCAGCATTAACCCAAAAGTCCGCAGTCCAAAGTCTCATCTGAGACAAGGCAAGTCCTTTCTGCCTATGAACCTGTAAAATTAAAAGCAAGCTAGTTATTTCCTAGATACAATGGGGGTACAGGTATTGGGTAAATACAGCAGTTCCCAATGGGAGAAATTGGCCAAAACAAAGGGGTTACAAGGCCCAAGGAAGTCCAAAATCCAGCGAGGCCGTCAAATTGTAAAGCTCTAAAATGATCTCCTTTGACTCCAGCTCTCACATCCAGGTCACACTGATGCAAAAGGTGGGTTCCCATGGTCTTGGGCAGCTCTGCCCCTGTGGCTTTGCAGGGTACAGTCTCCCTCTTGGCTGCTTTCATGGGCTGGCATTGAGTGTCTGCAGCTTTTCCGGGCACACAGTGCAAGCTGTCGGTGGACCCACCATTCTGGGCTCTGGAGGACAGTGACCCTCTTCTCACAGCTCCACTAGGCAGTGCCCCATTAGGGACTCTGTGTGGGGGCTCCGACCCCACATTTCCCTTCCATGCTGCCCTAGTAGAGGTTCTCCATGAGGGCCCCACCCCAGCGGCCAACTTTTGCCTGGGCATCCAGGTGTTTCCATACATCTTCTGAAATCTAGACAGAGGTTCCCAAACCTAAATTCTTGACTTCTGTGCACCTGCAGATTCAACTTGGAAGCTGCCAAGTCTTGGGGCTTCCATCCTTTGAAGCCACAGCCCGAGGTGTGCATTGGTCCCTTTCAGCTATGTCTGGAGCATCTGGGACACAGGGCACCAAGTCCCTAGGCTGCACACTGCATGGGGACTCTGGGCCTGGCCCACAAAACCACTTTTTCCTCCTGGGCCTCCGGACTTGCGATGGGAGGGGCTGTTGTGAAGGTCTCTGACATGGCCTGGAGACATTTTTCCCGTGGTCTTGGTGATTAACATTAGGATCCTTGCTACTTACGCAAATTTCTACAGCTGGCGTGAATTTCTCCCCAGAAAATGGGTTTTTCTTTTCTTTCTTTCTTTTTTTTTTTTTTTGAGGCGGAGTCTTGCTCTCGCTCTGTTACCCAGGCTGGAGTGCAGTGGTGCAATCTTGGCTCACTGCAACCTCTGCCACCCAGGTTCAAACCATTCTCCTGTCTCAGCCTCCCAAGTAGCTGGGACTACAGGCACCCGCCACCACGCCTGGCTAATTTTTGTATTTTTGGTAGAGATGGGGTTTCACCATGTTGACCAGGATGGTCTTGATCTCTTGACCTCGTGATTCACCCACCTTGGCCTCCCGAAGTGTTGGGATTACAGGCGTGAGCCACCGTGCCCAGCCAGGTTTTTTTCTTTTTTATCACATTGTCAGAGTGCAAATTTTCCAAAATTTATGCTCTGTTTCCTTTTTAAAACTGAATGCTTTTAACAGCACCCAAGTCACCTTTTGAATGCTTTGCTGCTTAGAAATTTTTTCCACCAGATACCCTAAATTATCTCTCTCCAGTTCAAAGTTCCACAGATCTCTAGGGAAGGGGCAAAATGCCACCAGTCTCTTTGCTAAAACACCTTTGCTCCAGTTCCCAACAAGTTCCTCATCTGCATCTAAGACCACCTCAACCTGGACCTTATTGTTCATATCACTATCAGCATTTGCATCAGAGCCATTCAACAAGTGAGGTTGGGTGAAGGCACAGCCAAACCGTGTCCAAAAATTAGCCAGGTGCAGTGGCTTGTGCCTGTAGTCCCAGCTACTTGGGAGGCTGAGGGAGGGGAATCACCTGAGCCCAGGACGTTAAGGCTGCAGTGAGCCCAGATAGCACCACTCTACTCCAGCCTGGGTGATGGAGTGACACCCTGTCTCAAAAAAAAAAAAGAAAAAGAAAGACCACCAGACCTCCTATACCCTTATCTCTGAAAGAGATGTGTACAGGCCCTTTGGTAAATGTAGGCCCTGAGTTTTGATTAAACCTCTTTCTGCTGGATGGTTCTAAACAGCGCTGCAGATCTAATAAATATAATTAATTTGGGGCTAGATGTGGTAAATCCTGTTAGCCTCCTTTAACTTCCACTCGGTGCTGGACATGGTAATCAGCTAGACACACCCTGTCCTACCACAGCATTTAATGAGCAAGTCTACATCAGTGCTTGGCCATCAGTTGGCAAGTCTCACAGTGATCAGATATCAAAAGTGGATATCACGGAACATGTGCTGTCACCACAGAAAATCCCATCTCATTCCTCTAACGGGCTTATACATGAAGGCTCTAGAATAATTCTATTATTAGTCAATAATCATTTCAAGAGTATCCAGGGGAGAAAATAATATTGATAAGAAGCAATAATAAATAATTGGTGTGTTTAAACAGGGAATAATTTGCAGCGTATTTTCCCAGAGAGGAAATTGATTTTTTTTTCCTTTTTCCTTTTCCTGGAAAACCTTTTGTCCCAATGCTAAGTTATTTTTATTTTTTTATTTTTTTCCTGAGACGGAGTCTTGCTCTGTTGCCCAGAGCTGAAGTGCAGTGGTGTGATCTCAGCTCACTGCAACCTCCACCTCCCGGGTTCAAGCAAGTCTCCTGCCTCAGCCTCCCGAGTAGCTGGGATTACAGGCATGCGCCACCATGTCTGGCTAATTTTTGTATTTTTAGTAGAGACAGGGTTTCACCATGTTGGCCAGGCTGGTCTTGAACTCCCCGCCTCGGTCTCCCAAAGTGCTGGGATTACAGGCATGAGCCACTGCGCCCAGCCTATAAGTTATTTTCTGAGTCAATGGATTTCTCTTCTGATTTACTGCAAACCCAAAATATAATTTATATTATAAAATGATCTTGTTTGAATGATTGAATTCTTGTGTGGATTGAGGAGCTAAGTGACAATGAAGGGAAAATGTTGGGAAAAGAATAGAGAAAAGAAGAAATAAAGAAACATGCACTTATGTTTCTTCTCTGCTTCACTCTTGTAAATGTTTTTTGCCAGTGGCTTCTGAGCAGCTGGGTTTGAAAGCCGCAGGCTATGGCTGATTGACAGGTGTGACTGGTCTTTAAGCTATGGATTCCTTTCCAGGAATGATTAGTCAGAAATGTCCTTAAGGGCCAGCTCCTCAGCAGCTAGGAAAATGGCCTTTGGAGGATAAAACACAGATATTTCAGTAATAACCCCTAGATTAAAAAGTTCACTTATTTAAGGTTAAATTACAGGTGTTAAGAAAATGTTTCAGAAAAGGATCTATGGTTGGTTGAAAAATAAATGGATTTCCAACCTGCGTCAAATGTGTAATGCAGGCAATGTAGTGTGTGGAGAATTGAAATAGCTTTTGGTAAAGTTAATGAGTTCATTTTAGAAGTACAGTTAACTAGGCCGGCGTGGTGGCTCACGCCTGTAATCCCAGCACTTTGGGAGGCCAAGGTGGGTGGATCACGAGGTCAGGAGATCGAGACCATCCTGGCCAACATGGTGAAACTCCATCTCTACTAAAAATACAATAATTAGCTGGGTGTGGTGGCGTGTCCCTTATAGTCCCAGCTACTCGGGAAGCTGAGGCAGGAGAATCGCTTGAACCCTGGAGGCGGAGGTTGCAGTGAGCCAAGATCGCGTCACTGCACTCCAGCCTGGGTGGCAGAGCAAGACTATGTCTCAAAAAGAAAAAAAAAAAAAGAAAAACAAAAGAAAAGAAGTACAGTTAATGAGTATACACAGGGGATTGATTCCAGGACCTCCACCTGACTCTACTATAACAAAGTCTGCACATACTCAAATTGTGAAGTTGACCCTGCAGAACCCACGTATAGGAAAAGTCAGCCCTCTACATACTCGGGTTTCATAATCCTTGAATACTGTTTGTTTGTTTGTTTGTTTTTGAGACAGGGTCTTTCTCCGTTGCCCAGGCTAGAGTGCAATGGCGGGATCACAGCTCACTGCAGCCTCGAATTCCTGAGCTCAAGCGATCCTCCCAACTTGGCCTCCCAAAATGTTGGGATTACAAGTGTGAGCCATTGCACCCAGCTTGAATACAGTATTTTTGATCCATGTGTGTATTTTGATCTGCATATAAGTGGATCCATGCAATTAAAACGCACGTGGACTCTATTTGGCTTTGGTATTCAGAATATGAACTCTCCGTGGCTGACATATGTACTTCCAGCACCTTGAGGGGGCTGAGGTGGGAGGATCACTTGAGGCTAGGAGTTCCAGACCAGTCCAGGCAATATAGCAAGATGCCATCTCTACAAAACCTACAGAAATCAGCTGGGTATGGGTGGTGCACACCTATAGTCCCAACTACTCCAGAGGCTGACGCAGGAGGATCACTTGAGCCCGGAAATCAAGGCAGCAGTGAGCTATGATTATGCCACTGCACTCCAGCCTGAGTGACAGGGTGAGACCCTGTCTCTAAAAAAGAAAATAATAATTTTATTGATCTGGTACTTAACTCTGGAAGAAAAGAGAACTATTATTATTATTTATTTCTTTATTTTTGAGATGGAGTTTCGCTCTTGTTGCCCAGGCTGAAGTGCAGTGGCGCGATCTCAGCTCACTGCAACATCCGCCTCCTGGGTGCCAGCAATTCTTCTGCCTTAGGCTCCAGAGTAGCTGGGATTATAGGTATGTGCCACCACGCCCAGTTAATTTTGTATTTTTAGTAGAGACAGGGTTTCTCCATGTTGGCCAGGCTGGTCTCGAACTCCTGACCTCAGGTGATTCCGCCCCCCACCACCGCCTCAGCCTCCCAAAGTGCTGGGATTACAGGTGTGAGCCACCGCGCCCAGCCTGAGAACTATTTTTAATTGGGAAGCTGAAGTTCGGGGATCACTTGAACACGGGAGTTCAAGGCTGCAGTGGGCCAAGATTGGGCCACTGCACTCCAGCCTGGATGACAGAGACAGACCCCATCTATAAAAGTAAATAAAATAAAATAGAACATTTTTAGAGGAAGTAATAGCTAACATTATCGAGCACTTAGGTCAGGTGGTTCTCTGAGTACTTTGCGCATAGGAACTGACTTTATTCTCACAATACCCTATAAAGTAAGTGCTGTTAGTATTACAGTTGTACCTGCTTTACAAGTGAGGAAACCACCACAGACAGATTAAGTAATTTGCCCAAGGTCTTTCTAAAACAGCACTCTAAATCAAGCATTTAAGCTCTATCTTTCTGTAGCCCAAGGTTAAAGATAAGGAGATTCAGGTTTAGAGAAACCCTAATTGGGAAAGATGAATAATTAGAGAGAAAACTGCCTGCAAAGATTTATCTGGCCAGGTGGCAAGGTGGCTCACGCTTGCAATCCCAGCACCTTAGAAGGCTGAGGTGGGTGGATCACCTGAGGTCAGGAGTTTGAGACTAGCCTGGTCAACATGGTAAAACCCTGCCTCTACTAAAAATACAAAAAGTAGCCAGGTGTGGTGGCGGGGGCCTATAATCCCAGCTACTCAGGAGCCTGAGGCAGGAGCATCGCTTCAACCCAAGAGACGGAGGTTGCAGTGAGCCAAGATTGCATCATTGCATTCCAGCCTGGGAAACAGAGCGAGACTCCTGGGGGTGGCACTGCAGCTGAGTTGACAAAGATAGGGAAAGCTGAGGGGAAAAATGGGAGTTTTAGCACTGCTAAGTTTAGCTTAAAGCTGCCTCCTTACATACTTTAAGTTCAGCCCAAAGGTTTCTCCATACACAGTAGACCATAACTAACTGGATATGTAAATAGGCTGTTACGTACTCTTTTTTTTTTTTTTTTTTTTTTTGAGAGGGAGTCTCACTTTGTGACCCAGGCTGGAGTGCAGTGGTGCGATCTCAGCTCACCACAACCTCTGCCTCTCTGGTTCAAGCGATTCTCCTGCCTCAGCCTCCTGAGTAACTGGGATTACAGGTGCCTGCCACCATACCTGGCTAATTTTTGTATTTTTAGTAGAGACGGGGTTTCACCATGTTGGCCAGGCTGGCGTTGAACTCCCGACCTCAGGTGATCCACCCACCTCGTCCTCCCAAAGTGCTGGGATTACAGGCATGAGCCACTGCCCCCAGCCTGTTACCTACTCTTGTACCAACCAGATAGTTTCAGAAATCACAGGCAGACAACTGTTCAAATCATGTTCAAATAAGGCAAACGCCAAGCTGCAACCAATCCAGCTATTTCTGTACCTCACTTCCCTCACTTCTGTTTTCTTTTCTTTACTTTTTTTTTTTTTTTTTTTTTTTTGCGACAGAGTCTCACTCTGTCACCCAGGCTGGAGTGCGGTGGCACAACCTCGGCTCATTGCAGCCTCCACCTGCTGGGTTCAAGCAATTCTCCTGCCTCAGCCTCCCAAATAGCTGGGATTACAGGCATGCCCCACCACACTCGGCTAATTTTTGTATTTTTAGTAGAGATTGTATTTCATCATGTTGGCCAGGTTGATCTTGAACTCCTGGCCTCAAGGGATCTGCCTGCCTCCTTGACCTCCCAAAGTGCTGGGATTACAGGCGTAAGCCACAGGGCCCAGCCTCACTTCTGTTTTCTGTAGGTCATTTTCCTTTGTTTGTTAATAAATGTTATCAAGGCCGGGCCTGGTGGCTCACGCCTGTAATCCCAGCACTTTGGGAGCCTGAGGTGGGCAGATCACGAGGTCAGGAGTTCAAGACCAGCTTGGCTAACATGGTGAAACCCCATCTCTACTAAAAATACAAAAATTAGCCGGGCATGGTGGCACACGCCTGTAATTTTAGCTACTGAGAAGGCTGAGGCAGGAGAATTGCTTGAACCTGGGAGGTGGAGGTTGCAGTGAGCTGAGATTGAGCCACTGCACTCCAGTTTGGGCAAAAGAGCAAGATTCCATCTCAGAAAAAAACATAATAAATAATAAATAAATAAATATTATCTGATCAGGTAGCAGCCCTGGAGTTACTCTGAACTTTTTCTGGTTCAGGGTACTGTCCAATTCTCAAATTGTTCTTTGCTTTGTTAAACGCTGTTAAATTCGTCTAAAGTATTTTCTTTCAACAGCACTCAATCAGAAGACTAGTTACAATTACAGCAACCACAGGTTCCAGTTTGCCTGGGGCAATCTGATTTTCCCTTGTTTTCCCGGTATGCTTATCAGTAACTCCTCCTTTCTCAAATTTCCAGATTTGAATGATAAAGCAGTTTCATCTTAAACTTAAGCAAAGGTCCTAGAGAATATTGACATTGTATTCCCAAAAGTCTTCCCCCGCCCCCCACCCCCTGCCCCCCCCGCAACCCGGAGGTGGAGTCTCACTCTGTGACACATGCTGGAGTGCAGTGGCACAATCTTGGCTCACCACAACATCTACCTCCCAGGTTCAAGCCATTCTCCCACCTCAGTCTCCCGAGTAGTTGGGATTACAGGCGCCTGCCACTACGCCCGGCTAATTTTTGTATTTCTAGTAGAAGTGGGGTTTCACCATGTTAACCAGTCTGGTCTCAAACTCCTGACCTCAGGTGATCCGCCTGCCTTGGCCTCCCAAAGTGCTGGGATTACAGGTGTGAGCCACCGCACCTGGCCCCAGAAGCCTTATAGATACAGCAAAAATGCAAATTGTGAGCCAAGTCTGAGAAATATGCTTTATTAACAAGCACTGGTTAATCTGTTTCTAAAGAGCACAGATGGGAAACAGAGGGCACCTCCCTGAGAGTGGATGGGATCATTTATTGCCATAAGTTTCATTTGCTTAAAGGACTGCAGCTTTTTCACTTTTGTAAAGGATTGTAAACCAACAACTATTGGCATTTAAGATTAGGATTTAAGGATGCCAGATGGCCATCCCTTGGGAGATAGAGATGATGTGGAGTTGGAAGAAGAGACAGTATTTGATGGCCCCTGCCAGAGGGGTAAAATGCTAAGGACTGAAGTTGAGTGGGTCTTTTTTGTTTCCATTTGTGAGGAGAGTTCAGAATTTCAGACCTGAGATGGCCGTGGAAGAACTCTGAAGTCCTGGAATCATTGTTTTTTTTGTGGTATTTGTAGTCTCCTATACTTCTCCAGGAGTAATCCATAGCAAGAAACTTAAAACCAAAGGAACAGGGTGCTTAATATAAAGACTGTTTGGACTTTTCCACCATTTTTTGTGTAGAGAGGGTGTCAGTTGCTCTAAGGAGAACAAGTATTGAAATCTGGAGCCAGCAGATCAGAGAATTAGTCTATGCAAATGAAGACTTTCTGGTAACAAAGAATAAAAAGCTTTAGAAAAGGACTTCAGGGCAGGGCGCAGTGGCTCACGCCTGTAATCCCAACCCTTTGGGAGGCAGAGGCAGGTGGATCACCTGAGGTCAAGGAGATCAAGACCAGCCTGACCAACATGGTGAAACCCCGTCTCTACTAAAAATACAAAAATTATCTGGGAATGGTGGCGGGTGCCTTTAATCCCAGCTACTTGGGAGGCTGAGGCAGGAGAATCGCTTGAACCTGGGAGGTGGAGTTTGCAGTTAGCTGAGATCAAGCCATTGCCCTCCAGCATGGGTGACAGAATGAGACTCTGTCTCAAAAAATAAAAACAAAAATACAAATAAATAAATAAATAAAATAAAAAAGAACAGTACTTCCGCTTAAAATTGCTAGCCATAGGCCGGGCACAGTGACTCCTGACTGAGGTCAGGAGTTCGAGACCAGCCTAGCCAAGATAGCGAAACCCTGTCTCTGTTAAAAATACAAAAAAATTAGCTGGGCGTGGTGGCGATTGCCTGTAATCCCAGCTACTCAGGAGGGTGAGGTAGGAGAATCACTTGAACCTGGGAGACGGAGATTGCAGTGAGCCAAGGTCGCGCCATTGCACTCCAGCCTGGGCAACAAGAACGAGACTCCATCCCTAAATAAATAAATAATAAATAAATAAATCAAATTGCTATCCATGGGCCAAGCACAGTGGCTCATGCCTGTAGTCCTGGCACTTGGGAAGGCCGAGGCAGGTGAACCAGACCAGCCTGGTCAACATAGTGAAACCTCATCTTTACTAAAAATACAAAAATTAATCAGGCGTGGTGGTGCATGCCTGTAATCCCAGCTACTCTGGAGGCTGAGCCATGAGAATTGCTTGAACCCAGCAGGCGGAGGGTACAGTGAGCTGACATTAGGCCACTGCACTCCAGCCTTGGTGACAGAGTGACACTCTGTCTCAAAAAAAAAAAAAAAATGCTAGCCATGTTATTTAAAGTGGAGGAGTCTCAACTTTTATTTCCTCAGCTTTGTGGAAAGATGAATAGTATTACCAACAACTCTTCTATTATACTAAATATTCTTATTTCATTGGCAA
This sequence comes from Homo sapiens, assembly GCF_000001405.40. NCBI lineage: Eukaryota > Metazoa > Chordata > Mammalia > Primates > Hominidae > Homo > Homo sapiens. The sequence continues at coordinate 113,888,249 of NC_000011.10, forward strand.
GACAGAGAACGGAATGATGGCAAAAACCAACCCTATCTGACTTGATCATGATGAATCTGAATGATCTAGTTATGAGCTTATCTGAAGAACATAATGAAAATATTTTGAACGTTATGTGTTAGCACTTGAATACTTTTTAATTTTAATTTTAACTATGTTTTTTGGTAGAGACAGGGTCTTCCTATGTTGCCTAGGTTAGTCTTGAACTCCTGGCCTCCAATGATCCTTCCACCTCTGCCTCCCAGAGTGCTGGAATTACAGGCATGAGCCACTGTGCCAGCCAAGTTTTTTTTGTTTGCTTTTTTTTTTTTTTTTTTTTTGACGGAGTCTCGCTCTGTCGCCCAGGATGGAGTGCAGTGGCGCAATCTCGGCTCACTGCAAGCTCTGCCTCCCGGGTTCACGCCATTCTCCTGCCTCAGCCACACGAGTAGCTGGGACTACAGGTGCCGGCCAACACGCCCGGCTAATTTTTTGTATTTTTAGTAGAGACAGGGTTTCACCATGTTAGCCAGGATGGTCTCGATTTCCTGACCTCGTAATCCACCCGCCTCGGCCTCCCAAAGTGCTGGAATTACAGGTGTGAGCCACCGCACCCAGCCTGGCCAAGTTTTAATTATTAAATTTAAAGAAAAAAACTAAATATGCATTGCTCAAACTGGAAAGAGTAAAGAGCCACTTTTCTATCACTTTGAGGACACTACTGAATAAGCATACACATTCAGAGCAGATTCTGGGGATTGCCAGAGGGATTTCTTGGAACAAAATTTGTTTAACAAACATGACACTTTTGTATCATATGAGAAAAGCTATGACATATCTCTTGCCTTTTCTACCCATGTACACAGGTGTCTTATTCCATTTGTGTTGCTGTAACAGAAATGCCACAGACATGGTTACTTATAGAGAAAAGAAATTTATTTCTGACAGTTCTGGAAGTTTTTGTCCAAGGTTGAGGTGTTGGCATTTTGTGAGGGTCTTCTTGCTGAGTCATCTCATGGCAGAAGGCAAAAATTAAAAGGAGCTCACATGAGAGCAAGAGTGGACAAGAGGGGCTTACCTTGCTTTTTATCAGGAACCCACTCTTGTGAAAATGCCATTAATCCATTCATAAGGGCAGAACCCTCATGGCCTAATCACTGTCACTCAGGCTGGAGTGCAGTGGCCCAATCTCACTGCAACCTCTGCCTGCCAGGCTCAAGTGAGGTTCCCACCTCAGCCTCCCAAGTGGCTGGGACCACAGGTGTGTGCCACTACATCTAGCTATTTTTTTTTGTATTTTTTTGTACACATAGGGTTCACCATATTGCCCAGGTTGGTCTTGAACTCCTGGGCTCAAGCGACCCACCTGCCTTGGCCTCCCAAAGTACTGGAATTACAGATGTGAGCCACTGCACCTAGCCTGTCCCATCTGGGTGAGCCACTGCACCCAGCCATTACCATCACAATGGCAATTAAATTTCAACCTGAGTTTTGGAGGGGACATTCAAACCATAGCAAGATGTTGGGGGTCTCTGTGTTGGTTTTCATAAAAACTAAAAATCTAGGCCAGGCACGGTGGCTCACGCCTGTAATCCCAGCACTTTGGGAGGCCGAGGCGAATGGATCACCTGAGGTCAGGAGTTTGAGACCAGTCTGGCCAACATGGAGAAACCCTGACCAACATGGCGAAACCCTGTCTCTACTAAAAACCCAAAAATTAGCCAGGCATGGTGGTGTGTGCCTGTAATCCCAGCTACTAAGGAGGCTGAGGCAGGAGAATCACTTGAACCCGGGAGGTGTAGGTTGCAGTGAGTGGAGATCACTCCGTTGCACTCCACCCGGGGCAACAAGAGTGAAACTCTGTCAAAAAAACAAAAACAAAAACAAAAAAACCCTAAAAATCTAAGCCACTTTATTGATATAATGCCTCATCTGTGTCTTGAACTCCTGGCCTCAAGCAGTCCTCCTGCCTTGGCCTCCTGACGTAAGTGCTGGGATTACAGGCATGCGCTACCATGTCCAGCTGAGACCTCATCTTCATCTTTAACTGAGCTATAAAGAGCTTATTTTCCCTTTTCTAAATGACAGATTGAAAATAGTTTTGTTGGGCCAGGCACAGTGGCTCAAGCCTATAGTCCCAGCACTTTGGGAGGCCGAGGGGGGGCGGATCACGAGGTCAGGAGTTCAAGACCAGCTGGGCCAACATGGTGAAACCCCGTCTCTACCAAAAATACAAAATTTAGCTGGGCGTGGTGGCACACACCTCCAATCCCAGCTACTCAGGAGGCTGAGACAGGAGAATTGCTTGAACCTGGAAGACAGAGGTTGTAGTGAGCAAAGATCGAGCCACTGCACTCTAGCCTAAGCAACAAAGTGAGACTCTGTCTCAGGAAAAAAAAAAAAAGAAGAAAGAAAGAAAAAGAAAGAAAATAGCTTTGTTCTCACAAAATAATTGAAATTTTTTGTTTGTTTGTTTTTGTTTTTGTTTTTTTGAGACAGAGTTTCATTCTGTCGCCCAGGCTGGAGTGCAGTGGTACAATCTTGGCTCACTCCAACCTCTGCCTCCCAGGCTCAAGTGATTCTCATGCCTCAGCCCCGCGAGGAGCAGGGACTACAGGCATGTGCCACCACGCATGACTAATTTTTGTTTTTTCATTTTTTGTTTTTGAGACAGAGTCTCGTTCTGTCACCCAGGCTGGAGTGCGGCTCACTGCAGCCTCTACCTCCCGGGTTCAAGTGATTCTCGTGCCTCAGCCTCCTGTGTTGCTGGGACTACAGGCCTGCACCAACACGCCCAGCTAATTTTTGTATTTTTAGTAGAGATTGGGTTTCACCATGTTGGGCAGGCAGGTTTCAAACTCCTGACCTCAAGTGATCTGCCCACCTTGGCCTCCCACAGTGCTGGGATTACAGGTGTGAGCCACCACGCCCGGTCTAACTTTTTTTCTGAGACAGAGTCTTGCTTTGTTGCCAGGCTGGAGTGCAGTGGCGCGATCTCAGCTCACTGCAACCTCCACCTCCTGGTTCAAGTGATTTCCCTGCCTCAGCCTCTCAAGTAGCTGGGATTACAAGCACACACCACCACGCTCAGCTACTTTTTGTATTTGTAGTAGAGACAGGGTTTCACCATGCTGGCCAGGATGGTCTGGATCCCCCGACCTTGTGATCCGCCCCCCTCGACTTCCCAAAATGCTGGGATTACAGGTGTGAGCCACCACACCCAGCCAAACTCAGCTTTTAATTGTTGGTTAATCGCTCTCTGTTTTTCTTTATCTTTTTCCTGAGTTCAAGTCAACTCAATAGCCATACCCACTCAATTCCACTGTTTTTTTTTTTTTTTTTTTTTTTTTTGGAAACAGAGTCTCGCTCTGTCGCCCAGGCTGGAGTGCTGTGGTGCGATCTCGGCTCACTGCAAGCTCCGCCTCCCAGGTTCATGCCATTCTCCTGCCTCAGCCTCCTGAGTAGCTGGGACTACAGGCGACAGCCAACACACCCGGCTAATTTTTTTTGTATTTTTAGTAGAGATGGGGTTTCACGTGTTAGCCAGGATGGTCTCGATCTCCTGACCTCATGATCTGCCCACTTTGGCCTCTCAAAGTGCTGGGATTACAGGCGTGAGCCACCGCGCCCGCCCCTGGGTCCCATCTTATACCATAATGTCAGAATCTATAGAGATGGGACCCAGGTCATTTAAAAATACTCGATGAGCCTCATGTGCTGCCATGCTTGCAGATTACTTGCTTAGACATCACAGCAGTATAACTTAGACTTCAGATTTTAAAATTTCATATTTTATTCTTAAAATATGTGGTCAAGATAGGAACCATGTGACTCTGGTAAAATTATGGCAAAGTCATCAACAAATATTTGGGGAAAGAGCTTTTTCCAGGAGGCGTAATATTTTTTTTCTTTCTTTGAGATGGAGTCTTGCACTGTTGCCCAGGCTGTAGTATAGTGGTGCGATCTCGGCTCACTGCAACCTCCACCTACTGGGCTTAAGTGATTCTCCCGCCTCAGCCTCCCAAGTAGCTGGGACTACAGGCAGGCGCCACCATGCCCGGTTAATTTTTGTATTTTTAGTAGAGATGGGGTTTCACCATGTTGGCCAGGCTGGTATCGAATTCCTGACCTCAAGTGACCCGCCTGCCTCAGTCTCCCAAAGTGCTGGGATTACAGGTGTGAGCCACCGTACCTGGCCAGGAGGAGAAATATTAACTTGAAAAAAGCAATGCCGGGTGCGGTGGCTCACGAGGTCAGGAGTTCGAGACCAACCTGACCAACATGGTGAAACCCCGTCTCTACCAAAAATACAAAAATTAGCCAGGCGTGGTGGCACACACCTGTAATCCCAGCTACTTGGGAGGCTGGGGCAGGAGAATCGCTTGAACCTGGGAGTGGGAGGTTGCAGTGAGCCGAGATCGTGCCATTGCACTCCAGCCTAGGTGACAGAGCGAGAGTTCATCTTTTAAAAAAAAAAAAAAAGCAATAAACCAGCCTGGCCAACATGACGAAACCCTATCTCTACTAAAAAATACAAAAATTAGCCAGATGTGATGGTTATGATCCCAAGGATGCCTGTGAAACCAGGTACTCAGGAGGCTGAAGCAGGAGAATCACTTGAATCCCAGAGGCGGAGGTTGCAGTGGGCCCAGATCGCACCACTGCACTCCAAACTGGGTAAGAGACCGAGACTCCGTCTAAAAAAAAAGTAAAAAGCAACACAACACATAATTAGCCAGGTGTGATGGCATCGTCTGTAATCCCAGCACTTTGGGAGGCTGAGGTGGGAGGATCTCTTGAGGTTAGGAGTTGGAAACTAGCCTGGCCAACATGGTGAAACCCCATCTCTACGAAAAATACAAAAATTAGCCAGGTATGGTGGTGGGTGCCTGTAATGCCAGCTACTCAGGAGGCTAAGCCCCAGAATCGCTAGAACCGGGAGACGGAGGTTGCAGTGAGCTGAGATTGCGCCACTGCACTCCAACCTGGATGACAGAGTGAGACTCTTTTTTGTTGTTGTTGTTGAGATGGAGTCTCACTCTGTCGCCGAGGCTGGAGTGCAGTGGCGCGATCTCAGCTCACTGCAACCTCTGCCTCCCGGGTTCTTGCCATTCTTCTGCTCAGCCTCCCGAGTAGCTGGGACTACAGGCACCCGCCACCACGCCCAGCTAATTTTTTTGTATTTTTAGTAGAGACGGGGTTTCACCATCTCAGCCAGGATTGTCTCCATCTGGGATTACAGGCCTGAGCCACCGCGGCCGGCCCAGAGTGAGACTCTTGTCTCAAAAAAGAAAAAGAAAAGTGTTAATTGTATTTCTGTATGTTTGGGCTCTGCAAAGTTAATCATCAGGTTACTGGAAATTTAATTGTCTTCTTTTAAATTTATTTTTATTTTATTTATTTATTATTATTATTTTTTGTGATGGAGTCTCGCTCTGTCACCCAAGCTGGAGTGCAGTGGCATGATCTCGGTTCACTGCAACCTCCACCTCCCGGGTTTAAGCGATTCTCCTGCCTCAGACTCCCAAGTAGCTGGGACTACAGGCACAGTCACCATGCCCGGCTAATTTTTGTATTTTTAGTAGAGACAGAGTTTCACCATGTTGGCCAGGCTGGTCTCTTGACCTCGTGATCCGCCAGCCTCAGCCTCCCAAAGTGCTGGGATTACAGGCGTGAGCCACCGCTCCTGGCCTATTGTTATTTTGGGGGGCCAAGTCTTGCTCTGTTGCCCAGGCTGGAGTGGAGTGGCACAATCTCTGCTCACTGCAGCTTCCGCCCCCTGGGTTCAAATGGTCCTTGTGCCTCAGCCTCCCCAGTAGCTGGGATTACAAATGCATGCCACCACCCCAGCTAATTTTTGTATTTTTTGGTAGAGACAGGGTTTCAAGACTGGGTGTGTCTCACATCTGTACTTCCAGCACTTTGGGGGGCCGAGGCAAGTGGATCACTTGAGGTCAGGAGTTTGAGACCAGTCTGGCCAAATGACAAAACCCCATCTCTGCTAAAAATAAAAAATTTAGCCGGGCATGGTGGCAGGCGCCTGTAATCCCAGCTACTCAGGAGGCTGACGTTTGAGAATCGCTTGAATCCAGGAGGTAGAGGCTGCAGTGAGCTGAGATTGCTCCACTGCACTCTAGCCTGGGTGACAGAGCAAGACTCTGTCTCAAAAAAAAAAAGAAAAGAAAAGAAAGAAAGAAAGAAAGAAAAGGGACAGGGTTTCGCCACGTTGGCCACACTGGTCTCGAACTTCTGACCTCAAGTGATCCACCCGCCTCTGTCTCCCAAACTGCTGGGATTATAGGCGTGATACCATGATGCCTGGCCTTAATTGTCTTCTGAAGGAATAAGAAACTTAGTGCCTCCCGTGTGTCTGTGCTGTCTCTGAAACAGAAACTGATAGTGGTCTTTCTAGATCTTTTCAGACCTCCGTTCCTCTTCTGCACTCCCTCTCTTGGCTTCCCTGCACTGTGGCTTCCAAGGCCCACACCTAGGACTTTTGTTGGAGACGTCTCCTTGGCTACTAAAGCTTTGTCTGCCCAGGAAAAGACCAGGAAATATCTGGGAGTTCACTCCCTGTTCCCCTTAGCCAACAGCTGACAGGTGGGAGTGAGAGTGTGCAGGCCAGCTTCCCTTGTGTGGTTTTCACTGTCAAGTTTCCCTGAGGGTTCAAGCTGAAACCACGCTCCCCTTTCCCAATTTCTATTGGGAGTATTTCTAAAATTGATTGCTTGTACACAAAGCCTTATTATAGGTATGTTTCAGGGAAACCTAATCTAAGACAGTCAGCGTTACAGAGTTTTATCCCTCCTGTCAATATTAAAATTTGATATGGCTTTTAATTTTTTTAACTTTTAATTAAATTTTTATTTGACCAAGAGAAAACTGTCTAGAATTGTCTGACATTTAAAATCCACTTAAACAAAGCAGATTACCACCTTCAAGCATCACAATTATTCAGCATAAAGAACCTTTGTTGAAACATCTTTCTCATTTATTTAGGAGGAAAAATAAATCTAGAACAGAACCAAACAAAACTTTTTTATTTTTATTAAAAAATTCCAATTCTTAAAATACCATGAACCATCTACTGAAACTGTACTTCAACAAGGGGCAGGATTTATCTCAAGGCCATGTTCACCTGCAACCTGCTGATAAATCTCTTTTAGAAAACTTAAGTGGCTCTACTGCGATTATTGACTTGTGTCTGCTCCACTTGACTGTATGCAGATCGAAAGCAGGGTTGGTGCCTTCATAATCTCTAAATAATCTGAACATGGAAACGACTGCTTTGTGCTTTTAAAGAGCTCATATACTTCTAGTCCTGTTCCCTGGGGCATCCTCTGAAACCTGATACACCAGTCTGCCTACCAGGACACTGTGTTACTGGCCCGCTGGGTGGCCAGAGACGAGCTTTACTCTACTAGAAGACGCAGTTAGTCCCTCTGGGGTCCTATCTTCGTAGTAAATCCCTGATATGGCTTTTAATAATATTGTTTATAACTTTTCAGATGTGCAGAAGACTTATTCCCATTCTTAGGAAGACAGTAGGAAAGTTACACTGTAACTTTCACCCGTTCACCCTCTCTTCACCCAGCTGAATATCAGTATTCAGCATAAATGCCATTTGTGAAAAGTCACTGAGGCTGGGCATGGTAGCTCACACCTATGATCCCAACAATTTGAGAGGCTAAGGCGTCTCAGGAGTTGAGCCCAGGAGTTCAAGACTAGCCTAGGCAACATAGGGAAACTAAAAAAAAAAAAAAAAAATTAGCCAGGCATGGTGATACTTACTTGTAGTCCTAGCTACTCTGGAAGCTGAAGTGGGAGGATCACTTGAGCCCAGGAGGTCAAGGCTGAAGTGAGCTATGATCACACCACTGCACTCTAGCCTGGGTGACAGAGCGAGACCCTGTCTCAGGAAAAAGAAAAAGAAAAAAAGAAGTTACTGAGTCAGTTTCCCAGGAAACTTGGGAGCTCCTAGGGACCAAGAGTTTGGAAGAATTGCAGTAAGGAGGTAGGAGGAAGGAACTGGCCGGTCATAAGCTGTGTGAAAACAGATCGAATGGGTTGGTGTGGATTGGTGCTGGTGAACGCAAAGAGGAGAATTTACAGCAAAGACGAATAGTGGTGACATGAAGAGAGGCCTGAAATGACTTTGAAATCATTTGAAAGTGCACTGTATAATAAAACTTAAAATGAGTTGGCATAGTTTTCTGGGGTTGCGCAGAATTGGTTAAGGCAGGCACGACAGCCACCACAAGGTGGTGCTCTGATTATATTCACAGCCACCAACTCGAATTTCCTCAGAGCTTTACAGTTCCCCACTCTGCTCTCAGTCTTTCTGGGCTCTAACTAGGGGTCTGTCACACTCCAGCCATACTCAGCCAGCCTATTATTAGTGCCAAGCCTTCCTCCTGGCGCGATGACAGTGTAAATTTCAGCAATGGCAGAAGGGGGACAAATACAGCTGTTGTGCATTTTAGAATAATTGCTATAGGCCATTTGGAGACAGATTTATAATAACAGCACTTATACAGACTTATACAATATTTCACTTTCCTATTTTATCCCCGGTCAACACTCTGCATCATGAACTTTTGAATTCTTTCAACTCATGTGAGTCTAGAATTATCTTCCCCCAATTTTACAAAGTGAGGCTTGCACCCTCCCCCCGACCCCGTTCCCAGAAGGCACCATGCACTCTCATCTCAACCTCCAGCCCTTTCATGTGCAATTCCTTTTGCTGGGAGCTCCGTTCACCCTCTCCCCACTCAGATGAATATCAGTACTCAGCACAAATGCTATTTGTGAAAAGCCTCCACCTACTCCCACTCCAAGTCTGGGCTCCTTTCTTTGCCTGGGTCCTCTCCAGTTCATCCATCTATAGGCGTTTCTCTCAAAGATTTCTTATCTGTCACCTCCAATCCACCTCTCCCCAGCTTTCTTATCCATAGATTGTCAATGTCTATCACAATTTCCTACTTACTAAGTGGATGAATGAATGAATAAATAAATAAATTTCTAAAGGATCAAAGATCTTTCCTCATCTTGAGTCATAGCAGAGATGGAAATATCCAGAGATTTACACCTGAACCAGAACATCTCACTGGCTGCAGTAATTGACTGCCTTTCCCCAGAAAATGTCTAAATGGGTCTAAATGGAAATGTTGGGGGCCCTACAGTGAGCCATAGATCAGGGGAGATCCCCCAGTGCTGGCACAGCAAGACTTCAAGGCCCATAATCTGTGCAGAAGATCTAAACAACATAGTGTACAGGGTAAGACTGTCTGTCGTATATTGTAGTCTCACTAAGCGGTTTCTTGGAATTGATGTCATTGGGAGCGTAAACAGAAGCAGCAAGCTTCTGTGTTCCTCCAAGTTCCTTCCACCTTCTATTTTCCTCTAGCTTTTGGGGTACATCTTACCCCCAAGGACTGTAAAATCTCTGAACTTGGAGTACACTCTGAGTGAGTCAAAGGGACTCATGATCTGCCTGCACCGGTGTCTCATGTTTGTCTTTTGCACTAATTGCTCCCTGGTTCTGGAGCAAACCAAATAAAGGCAATCTTGCTTCAGAACCAAGTTGTCATTCTCACCCATCCTTTGTGAAATGGGTGGTGAGTGTATCTCATCTTGGATGTGGTTATGAAAAGGCTGGATTCCTCTTGGCATCATCTTTCTGGCATAAGCCAGAATTCTTTTCTGTTCATTTGTTAATTCTTTCTTCCCTGTTTTCCTCCCATCTTTCTGGAACACTCAATGAACACTTACTAGGTGCCAAGCTCTACGATGGAGATATAAAGCTGAATAACACAACATTGCTCCACCTTCAAGGTATTCACCAAATTCTAGACTGACAGAAAAGTAAACAAATACTTATAACACACCTGAATGAGTACTGTAATGTAGGAATATATGAGGCCTTGTAAGATCAAGGGAGTGGTCACAGCATGTAGTTAGATGTTTTGAAAACAGCTGGTGGGAGGGGTCCTGGTGGGAGTGTTTGCTGATTTCCATGTGACAAATTTTGTCATTATGACTTTCTTCCTTTCTTTCTTTCTTTCTTTCTTTCTTTCTTTCTTTCTTTCTTTCTTTCTTTCTTTCTTTCTTTCTTTCTTCCTTTCTTCCTTCCTTCCTTCCTTCCTTCCTTCCTCTTTCTTTCTTTCTCTTTTTCTCTCTCTCTTTCTTTTTCTCTTTCTTTCTTTCTTTCCTTCTTTCTTTCTTCTTTTGAGGCAGAGCCTCACTCTGTTGCTAAGGCTAGAGTACAGTGGCACAATCACAGCTCACTGCAGCCTTGACCTCCCCAAGCTCAGGTGATCCTCCCACCTCAGCCTCCCAGCTAGCTGGGGCTACAGGCACGCACCACGATACCCAGCAATTTTTTTGTAGTTTTCGTAGACACAGGGTTTCACTACGTTAGCCAGGCTGGTCTTGAACTCCTGGGCTCAAGTGATCTGCCTGAGTTAGCCTTCCAAAGTGCTTCCAAGGTGTGAACCACTGCTCCTGGCTGACTGATTTCAATTTACCAACTGATATCACTGGAAACAAATGAAAAAACAATGGTCTTTTTGATCAGTGAGAGCTGGCTCCAGCACGTGACCATGATTTCAGCCTTGTGAGACCCTGAGCAGATCTGTTCATTCTGTTCCTGGACTTTTGACCTACAGGACTGTGAGCTAGATGAGTGCTGTTTTAAGCCCATAAATTTGTGGTAATTTTTAATGCAGCCGTAGAAAACTAACTCAATGCTGTTTAAACCCTCTTTAAGGATGTGAAAACTAAGGCTTAGAAGCAGTAAGGAGTTTGACCAAGGCCATGAGCATCTAGCAAGCGATGAAGCTAGGATGCACAATGAGGTAAGTCTGACTTGAAGGCCTGGGACCTTATATCTTATGCTCTATGACCTCCCATAGAAAACCATGACACAAAAACCACGAAAGGCCAGAACCATGAGGGACTCCATTCCCTTGTTTATTTGTTTACTTTTTAAGGACCGTAAAATGTGCATTATTATTAAAAATGAAATTCTAAGCTAGAGGAAAATCGAATGCTGAGTGTGTCTTTGGACTTGAGGTGCCTCCTCTGTGGTTAGCTTGATATTGATTTCAGAGGAAAACACTGTGGAGTAACAGAAATTTCATATGGGACTCTACTCATTAAATGTTTGAGTTTGGCTGGAATGTCCATTTCTGCTTTTTTCCTCCAGCCTGACCAGATGTGCTCAGAAAATTTGGTTCCCCGAATATGTACATCTGTCAAAATTCCTGTCAATTTTAGCATGACTGCCAAGGGAGTGAACAAAGAGAGTTAGCGATTAACTTCAAAGAACTTTGTTGGAGAGGAATAAAGATATTTAAGGCCTATTTTTTGAACTAATTGCATTTGCATATTTATGGGATTTACTGGTATAGCAGTAATTAAAAACTATTTAGTAGTCTTAAAGGACGCATAACTCAGTTGCTGTTTGCATAATAAACACTTCCTTATTATGTTTGCATAATAAACCCTCTCCCCTTGCTTCTTCCAAAAGACATCGGTCGATCTAATAGGTGCCATATCTTACTTGAAAATAATGGAGAAACAGAGTGCAAAGGCTCATGGGGATGTGAAGTGGGGACTTCTAAAAGAAATATATTTTCAGGTACTTTCTTAATGATGGGCTTGGCCTGAACTTCTGTAAGAGAATCGCAGATTCAAATCCCAGATTAAGTCTTTGTTTCTTTTACCCAAGTAATGCCACTTAAGAAGTCCAAACACGTTTGGGTGAGGTGGCTTACACCTGTAATCTTAAAACTTTGGGAGGCCGAGGCAGGTGGATCACCTGAGGTCAGGAGTTCGAGACTAGCCTGGTGAAACCCTGTATCTACTAACAATACAAAAATTAGCCGGGTGTGGTGGCATGCACCTGTAGTCCCAGCTACTCGGGAGGCTGAGGCAGGAGAATCACTTGAACTTGGGAGGCAGAGGTTGCAGTGAGCCGAGATCACACCACTGCACTCCAGCCTGGAAAACAGTGCAAGACTCCATCTCAAAAAAAAGAAAGAAGTCCAAATGCCTAGCCCCTCATGATTCCAAATTTTGACTTACATATACTGATCTGCTGGAAAGGCTAGAATGAGACTTACCCCCACACTCATCCTTCCAAGGATGATGTCTGGGGAATTAGCAGAAACAATGCAGATAAAAAGCTTTCTCTGGGTGGATGTATTAGTCTATTCTCACACTGCTATACAGGCATACCTGAAACTGGGTTATTTATTTTATTTTATTTTGTTTTATTTTTTGAGATGGAGTTTTGCTCTTGTTCCCAGGCTGGAGTGCAATGACGCAATCTCGGCTCACTGCAACCTCTGCCTTCTGGGTTCAAGCGATTCTCCTTCCTCAGCCTCCTGAGTAGCTGGGATAACAGGCATGGGCCACCATGCCCAGCTAATTTTGTATTTTTAGTAGAGATGGGGTTTCACCATGTTGGTCAGGCTGGTCTCGAACTCCTGACCTCAGGTGATCCACGAGACTGGGTAATTTATAAAGAAAGTGGTTTAATTGACCCATAGTTCTGCATGGCTGGGGAGACCTCAGGAAACTTACAATCATGGTGGAAGGGGAAGGGGAAGCAAGGCAACATCATCCATGGTGGAGAGAGAGAGAGAAGGGGGAAGCGCCACACTTTTAAACTATCAGGTCTCATGAGAACTCACTATCATGAGAACAGCAAGGGGAAAATCTGCCCCCATGATCCAATAACCTCTCACCAGGCCCCTCCTCTGACACATGCGGATTGAAATTTGAGATGAGATTTGGGTGGGGACATACAGCCAAACCATATTAGTGGATGAAAAATGCTGTATGTAAGATAGTGAGGAGGGACCATTTTTGTGAAAAACTGAAGGGTGGGGAGAGGAGCAATACCAAACCTAAAAGAACTGAGTATGAGCTGGGTGTAGTGGTGCATGCCTATATTCCTAGCTACTGGGGAGGCCAAGGCGGAAGGATCACTTGAGCTCAGGAGATCAAGACCAGCCTGGGCAACATACCAACACCTCATCTCTACTAAAAAGAGAAGAAATTAGCCAGGTGTGGTGGCACACACATATACTCCCAGCTATGGGAGGCTGGGATGGGAGGATTGCTTGAGGCTGGGAGATGGAGGCTACAGTGAGCCATGATCACACCACTGCATTCCAGCCTGGGCGACAGAGTGAAACTCTGCCTCTTAGGGAAAAAAAAAAAAAAAGCTAAAAGTACTGAGTAAACAAAGTCCAGACAGGACACTAAGATTAGAAAAAGAAAGATCTAAGCCAGCTGACAGTACAGAGCAAGGCTGTCAAGGAAAGATCAGGAAGCATTGTATATAAACTACTTTGAAGACAAGTCACTCATACAAAATCATTGCCATCTTGACAGAATTCATCAGCCAATAAAGAGCCATAATGGGCAGGATTACTAGACTGTTGTTAAGTTAGCTAATGAAAGTTGTAATGTACCTGTATTACACATCATTAGTAATGGCCTTCCAGTAACAGATGGGCATATCAGAAAGTGCAAAGAAAAGGGAGGGAAGCACGTCCCCAGAAGGTTTGACTTAGAGTCATAGCTTACTACAATGCATGGCAAGAATGCAATGTCGATCATCGCCTCAATTAAACCTTTGCATAAAGGGATGCTTCTGCATTGCTTTCCCATAAAAACTGCTACCTACATAGCTATATTGCCTGTAGCTTGCCTTTCTCTTGTCCTAATTCATCCCATAAGTAGAAGCTGACAATTCAAAGAACTGATAGGAAGAGCTGAGACTTTGAGGGCCAGATCAGTCCTCTATGATCTTCCCTCTTGATGAAGCCCCATTTATCTGCCCACCCTCTCTAAAGAGTATTTCTCAGATAAACTTTCCATAACTGTGTACCAAAGTTCCTCCACCAAGTTACATTTAAATTACTCTTTCTTCTGAAATATTTTCAAATGTATAGCAGAATTGGATGGATAGTACAAAGAATTCCCCTAGACCCCCACAATCATTTGAGAATAAGTTAGCGACATGATCAACATGATGTGCCCTGTTTTTGTTTTTTGTTTTTTTTTTCTTTTCTGAGACAGAGTCTCATTCTGTCGCCCAGGCTGAAGTGCAGTGGTGTGATCTCGGCTCAGTGCAACCTCTGCCTTCTGGGTTCACAAGATTCTCATGCCTCAGCCTCCTGAGTAGCTGGAATTACAGGCATGTGCCACCGTGCCGGGCTAATTTTTGTATTTTTAGTAGAGACAGGGTTTCACCATGTTGGCCAGGCTGGCCTTGAACTCCTGATCTCAGGTGATCTACCCACCTAGGTCTCCTAAAGTGCTGGGATTACAGGCGTGAGCCACTGTGTGCGATCTTCCCTCATTCTTGAATACTTAGTGTGCTGGTCTTACAAACAAGGACATTCTTTTGCATAATCTCTATACAATTAAAATCAGGAAACCAACATTACTACATTGCCACATTACTACCATCTAATCCACATACCTCATTCGAGTTTCAATTCTTCCCAAAATGTTCTTTATAACAAAAGGATCCAATTCAGAATCAGATATTGTGCTTGTGTCTCTTTAGTCTGATAGGTTCCTCAGTCTTTCCTTAACTTTTATAACCTTGGCACTTTTGTGTGTGTGTGTTTTTGTTTTTGAGACAGGGTCTACCTCTATTGCCCAGGCTGGAGTGCAGTGGCACAATCACAGCTCACTGCAGACTCTATCTCCTGAGCTCAAGTGATCCTCCTGCCTCAGCCTCCCAAGTAGCTGGGACTACAGGAGTGCACCACCACATTAAACTAATCTTTTATTTTTTTGTGTGGAGACAGGGTATCCTTATGTAGCTTAGGCTGGTCTCAAATTCCTGGGCTCAAGCAGTCCTCTTACTTCAACCTCCCAAAGTACTGGGATTACAGGTATGAGCCATTGCACCTGGCCCACCTTGGCACTTTTGAAGATGCCTGCTGTTTTGTTTGTCCCACAGTATGCCACTGTCTCATCTGGTGTTTCCTCCTGAATAGATTCAAGTTATGAATTTTTGGCAAGACTATACCGGAAGAGCTATGGAAGCTAGGTGTGCTTGTTACTATTGGGGTGTCATTCTCCTAGGCTGCTAAGTGGACAGAGCTAGGGAATATATGCATGTATGAACATGTGCAAACACACATTACATTTGTATTTATTTCTTTTCTTTTCTTTTTTTTTTTTTTTTTTTGAGGCGGAGTCTCCCTCTGTCTCCCAGGCTGGAGTGCAGTGGCGCGATCTTGGTTCATGGCAACCTCCACCTCCTGATTCAAACAATTCCCCTGCCTCAGCCTCCCGAGTAGCTGGGATTACAGGCATGTGCCACCACGCCTGACTAATTTTTGTAGTTTCAGTAGAGATGGGGCTCACCATGTTGGTCAGGCTGGTCTCAAACTCCTAACCTCAAGTGATCCACTGGCCTCGGCCTCCCAAAGTGCTGGGATTACAGGCTTGAGCCACCACGCCCAGCTTATTTGCAATTATTTATATATTTAGCAAATGTACTGAAAACCATGGGTTCACACTGATACCTCCAAAACCAAGTCAACACCAAATGGTTATCTTAGTTTTCTCTCTTTCTGTGTATACCACTCCCTTCACCAACAGTAAGAAAGCAATTAGGCTACATTTTATTGGTAGATGAAAATTAGGTGTAGAACTTCATGGATTCTAAACAAAGGGACTGAGTGATTAGGAGAATAGGAATCAAATATATACTTTCCCCCCTTCGGTTGGCTCTGTGAAAATTTATATCAAAATTTGCCTCTATAATCTCATTTTTAATAAAAAAGCAGGCAGATGTTGGAAATGGTATTTGTTTTTTCTTTCTAGAGCATCTGGGGGTGTCTAGAAATGGAAAATAGTGTTATTGTATAGAATTATGCATCATGTTCCTTAGTAATGAAAAATGAATGCGTATTCAATCAAAAAGTGAAAAAAAAACTTTTATTAAATGATGTTGAACTTTGTTTTCATCTTCAATAAGCCTAGAAGCATCCTTTCTAGAAGGTTACTTTCTGAATTGTGAGCAGTGAAAATTTGAGAAGCCCTCCTATTTATCAAAAGTCAATGTTTCTTTTAATTAAAAGGGCTTAGGAAAAACAAAAAGCACTTTTCCATTGCATTGTTTGCAGTTGTTCTTCATTAGACAATACCAGGTTTCCATTAGCCTTGTGTAATTCAAGAGCCCAAGAACCACTGTCAAATGCTGAAGATGTTACTGCATAAGTCTGATTTAGAACAGCTATTTGGATTTCAATTATTAATGAAATTAGTGTCCTGAATGTCAGCAAGAGTACTGCCTTAGGTAAAGGCTGTAAAGGAAATCATATTAGTGTGGAATTTCCTCTCCTTAGGGGCTCCTCTTAGATTACATTATTCACTTAGCTATCTCCTGTCAGGAAAATGGAAATGTTGGCCACGGTCTGATCTTGGGGCAGAACCAAAGGGAGAAGTTAAGGGATTTCATGACGGCATCAATTCCAAAACATTTGCATGGTGCTGGTATTGCCTTTGGTCCCACTGAGTGTTTACAAAATAGCACCAGTAAGGATAGCATCAACTGGCAAACGGAGAAGGAGGAGAACAGAGTGGAGAGGAACCCTGTTAGGAGAAATTGAGCGGCATTCCATCTGGTAGGCAAGTTTGCATTTCTCCTTTTTGGGATCTGCCCAGGAATGTTGTCAAGTGTAATGGCTCCCCTGTGGGCCTGCATCCTGGTGGCTGCAGGTGAGTCCTTTTAATAATTTTACTAGGCATTAAGGATTAACTCTTAGAAGATAGAGACAATATTTGTATACACCGTACTGTAGGACTTCTCAGGCATGTTTGTTTTTATTCATCGTCTGTAAAATGCCAGTCCTGTGAAGCTATATGGAAAACAATGATTTGTTTGTGACTTGGCTCCTATGATTGCAAATACGTATACATATAGCATCAGACTGTGGGGCTTTTTACACATAGCTGAAAATATGCTCTGAAATGTTATAATTGCTTGATAAATCTCTGCTTCTCTAGAAATCAAGCTCTCTGCAGGTTGATTGAGAGTTTGGGGCATTCTTTTTCAAATTTGCTTTTATGTGTGGATAATATGTTTTTATTATCCAAAATAGTCTTGGCTTCATTATCAGCTGTTAGCAGCCCAGAGAAAAAGTCCACTAGATTTGTCATGGCTACAGATATATGTATATCATTTTGGTATTAGAGGCCTTAACATCTCGCCTTACAAAATCTATATAGGTGATGAGTATATCTCTAAAGACAGGTACTATAAACTGGTAAGTTTTGAGTCTACAATTCCTCTTAAAAGTAATTTAGAAGTTAATACTTTTTTTTCTAAATTTCTAGAACTATATTTCCATGGCACCAGTATTAACTCTACTGAATTGAATCATTTTAGTTAGGATACAATTGATTCTTAGTACATGCGCACAAATCAAGAATTTATGATTATGCTGGTGTTCTCAACACCCCACTTTCTTGAGGTTTCTCCTAGAGCTCATATCTGAATTCTCAAGTTTTAGGATGTAACTGGAAGTGGAATGAGTCAATTATAGAGATGAGTTAGAAATTTGGTAGCCAGGAAGCTGGAAATGATTTTTTTATTGGGTAGAGAAGAAAAATAGCCACTTATCATTAAAGTATAAAAATCCTGGATGTTGAACATAAAGGATAAAAGCATATCTTAATTGTAAAAAATAAAAACAGAGGAAGTGTCATTAAATGCCAAATGGGTTTCTTAGTAGAAAATAATCGTGAACATTAAACTAAGATAAAATAGAAAAATGAAGGTAAGAAAACAGACTAAGTTCTTAACAATATCTCTCTAATGTTTTGTATTATGCATGATTTTTGTTCTAAATGTAGCAGAAAGAAGTGTTTTAATAGTGTCTGATAACCAGTGCTTTACCATAAATCATTCCGTGGATACTTGTTGCAGAAAGACCTGCCCTGTGGAATTGTACTGGGTTTTACTATGTTTACTTTACGTATTTTACTATATTTACAAATCAAGATGATTTGTTAAGTGTAAGAGCACGGAACCAATCCCAGGGGGCAGTGTGCTGGTATAGAAGGAGGCCTGAACAAGGAGAGCCAGCTAATTCCTGCTTCACCACTCACCAGCCACGTAACCCTGGGAAGTCAATTAATCTCTTAGAGACTCAGTTTTCCTGTAAGCTAACTTTATTTTGGATATTCATGACAATCAGATAAGACAGCATTGTTAAATTGTAAGGTGAAATGCAAATGTAAGATATTATTAACCTGAAAACACATGCAGAAAATACCACTGGCTATTTCTGTCCAATAATATACTCCATACAACATGTCAGTCTTCTTTTTGAAAGGTTACTTGCTGTTGTTCCTGATATTCTCAGGGAGCCAGGTTACACTTAATCATGTAGCGTCATGATTAAGAGCTTGGACTTCGAATCCAGACCAGCTGTGTGTAAATATCACTCCCTTCACTTGCAAGCTTCATGACCTTGGGCAGTGCTAAGCTCACTATGCCAATAGTCCCTCATCTGCAGGAATAGTGCACTCCTCACAGAGCTGTAGAGTACCTGTCTCATAAGTTTGTTGGGAACTTTGAAGGAGATCATTCATGTGAGGACTTAGCCTGGTGCCTGGCATACAGTCAGCATTCAATTAGTGTTAGGAATTCAATACATAAATCTCATTTCCTTTTAACCTCTCAGATATATGTGTAACTCTCTTATAATCCTACAGATACATAGTGACTAAAGCAAGAATAGTGCTTTCCATCAAAGTGCCCTGAACACTTTAAGATAGGTGCATGGGAGAGTAAGTCATTAAAACAAGGAAAACACAGGAATAATTTTACTGTGTTCTTATCTTCCTCCTTTTCAATCTCTCTTCACCTGCAAGTGCTTCATAGCTCAGTCCCTAACACATTCTACTTTCCAGAAATCTTACAAGTGAATCATTTGAAGCTGATTATTAGCATTCAAGAAGGCAGTTTTGGCGAGGAATCTTTTCTGGGTCTGTTGATAGCTTCCATCAGTGTCTGTTGAAACATCACTGAACTGTGAGTCATTTAGTGCTTGTGTGAATGTCACATTAGCTTTCAAGGGGCATAATTTACTGTTAATTAATGGTCACTTAAATCCTTAATCTCTCTCCTGTAATTGATCTTTCTCCTCAGGCAAATTTGCATTCATAGTAGAAATGTAATTTATTATTTCTTCCCATCTTAAACAAAGAACTCTTTCCCCTTTTGGTTTATTTAAGCATATTTCCATTTGCTTATTATTTTTCTCCTTTCAGTGCTTGATTCTCTTTTGTTCCTAGTCCTAGCTTCCAGAACTTTCTCTTTTTAACCAAGATTTTGACCCATTCTAGAAAACATGAGTTTATCCATAGGGAATCTATGGATTGCTTCCTAGACAAGATCGCAGAGGGGAATTTGAGTCTTTGTGAGCAGACAGTGCGAGGAACACATATTCATTTCTCAGAATTATGTTTTAATGCTGTCTCGGGTAATTTCCTGTATTGAAACATACTCATTTCGGTGTTTCCCCAACTGAGACTTGAATTGGGAGCTTCCAAGCGAGGTAAACGTGAAGCTGCCCACAGCAAAGTTGGCAGGAAAAGCACTGGGACAGCTTTGCCTTGTGCTCCTGACTTCCCTCCCCTGGGGTACACCAGCGAGAAATGTTCTCAGGTAGAGAGATTCACAGCACACTTTTTGACAATAACAGTTCACAAAAACCCTACAAATGATGCCTGATGCAAGCCACACACCTTAGTCCTGCACGCCTGAATAGCTAACGCCATTTTAGGCATCTTCTTGGGTGGATTGTTAGGGAGTTAAAATGCTCATTAGATTCCCAGTTCCGACGGTAATGAAAGTGTATATTGCACTGCCCACAAGGAGTCTGGCATTGTACCTCCAGCATTGTTGTTAGCGTTTTGGTCACACTGACATTGTTAAATCATAGAAATTGCTGCCTGTAGCGGCAAGTGACATGACATCATTCATAAAGAAATGGGTATAAACAGGATTGTCGCACAGGGAGAAGCGATCTCATTTACAGTTTCCTGCTGGATCCCTCATACCTTTGGCAGCTCATCAAAATAACCATCAAAACCACTGACAGCCCAGGCAAATTCACACGCAGGACACTACAGAGAGATTTCACTCACGCACTTTGTCAGGAGGTGTGCAATTTGCTTCGGTCCAATGACTGAGTGAAGCATTGAATCCCCTAAGGGCTGGCAAAGCTTGTGAACAAAATATCTTTTTGCAATTCAGAGAAAGCCCTCACAAATTTGTCACTTCCAATTGCTGGTGCTCATTTCTCTTGCTTCCCTTCCTCTGGCCTCCCTGGCCTCAACACCAGTCACAGCTCCTCTACAAATCAAGATTTTTGGGTCAGAAGAAATGGTTGTTCCCTGGAACCAGAGAGAATTTTCTCAAAACAAAGATCTCATTTTCTGACAAGTGCATTTTATTTAAGGACAGATGAAATGAGAAAAGAGATTTTTGAGGAGAAAAGTACAAATTGGGCTCTCGTTAATCCCTTTATCTAGAAATCTATACAAGTTTTTTGGGTTAATGGGTTTCTTCATGTTTTTTTGCTTGATTTTTCTATTGAATTTTTGAATTACGCATGAAAAATCAAAAGAAAAACCAACGCGGGAGTTAAGTTTTGGCTAAGTGTGTAGGTGGGTTTTTTCTAGATGCTAGGAGAGGATGATACAGGAATAAAGAAATTATTCTGTCTCCAAAATGCAAGATTGTTGTAAAATGGAATTGTAGGTACAGTTTTCCAACCTTGGAGATGGCGTTGATTTACTTGTTTTTACAATGAGGTTTCTCCATTGGGCACTTAGGCCATCAGCTTACTTTAAGCATTTGCCAAAGGCCCCACCAGCTGGCTGTGAATTGATGCAGATTTTGGTGAGCTGAAAGCTATATTCTAGTAAAAGCCACCGAGTCCTGAACAGTCTGAAACCTCCTAAAGAAACCAAGCTCCTCTTACTTTTATCTTCACAATGATAGTTTATTTTCCAGGAATTCTAGCCACAGATACACATCATCCCCAGGATTCTGCTCTGTATCATCTCAGCAAGCAGCTATTACAGAAATATCATAAAGAAGTGAGACCTGTTTACAACTGGACCAAGGCCACCACAGTCTACCTGGACCTGTTCGTCCATGCTATATTGGATGTGGTAAGGACCATCTTGCCCCTTCCTATTCTTGTTAACGTCTTTTGAAACAGTCTGCAGTTCATGCAGGAGCCTATGAGAGGTTATATTCTTGAGATTGTAGTTGAACTGGCAGGGAAGTTGCGCTAGATTCATTTTAGCAGTTAGGTAAAATATTCATTAGGCAAATCATGCTTTCTAGCCCCCAGTGGACACTGTGAAGGGCAAATTGTCTAGATCATGGAATTAAGATGTTTTAAGAATTGTGAAGCTGGGTGTGGTGGCTCATGCCTGTAATCCTAGCACATTGGGAGGCCAAGGTAGGCAGATCACTTGAGCACACGAGTTGGAGGCCAGCCTAGGCAGCATGGTGAAACCCTGTCTGTACCAAAAATACAAAAACTAGCCAGGCCATGGTGATGCATGCCTGTAGTTCCAGCTACTCAAGAGGATGAAGAGGGAGAATAGCTTGAGCTTGGGTGGTTGAGGCTGCAATGAGCCATGATCATGCCACTGCACTCCAGCCTGGGTAGCAGATCCAGACCTTGTCTCCAAAAAAAAAAAAAAAAAAAAAAAAAACTTGTGGTCATGGATCACAGTACATATTGTATGAATATTGCTGAAACCAAAAACAGTAATAGGTATTTTATCCTATGGTTCACATTTATTATGATAATAACAGATTTAAGAAGAGATTCACTACTTATTGCTTGAGATTTAAAAGAGAGAAAAAAATGCCTTATTATCTTGAGTTTATAAGGGGGCTTTTATACCTAAAGCGTTTGCTAAGGATGGTGGGGAGAATTTGTTTATTAAAGCATCCTTTTTCTCCTATGTCTGAAAGATGGGCTGTGGGAATGAAACGAACACTGTGAAGTAGTTGGCAGAGTTCTTAGGAAGCCATCAACAAGTGATGATCCTGATGGTTAGAACCTCTTCCTCTTCCTCCTTTTTTCTAATTACAAAGTCTTTGATTTCAATTGGTCCCAGAGTTATTTTGATTTCTCTCTCTTTTTTTTTTTTTTTTGAGACGGAGTCTCTCTCTGTCACCCAGGCTGGAGTCCAATGGCACGATCTCGGCTCACTGCAACCTTTGCGTCCCCGGTTCAAGCAATTCTCCTGCCTTAGCCTACCTAGTAGCTGGGATTACAGGCATGCGCCACCACGCCCGGCTAATTTTTGTATTTTTAGTAGAGACGGGGTTTCACCTGTTGGACAGGTTGGTCTCAAACTCCTGACCTCAAGTGATCCATCTGCCTCGGCCTCCCAAAGTGCTGGGATTACAGGCGTGAGCCACCACACCCGGCAATTTCTCTTAAAAACAGACTTTACTGAGCTCGTTTTGTTAAAGTAATTTTAATCATTGTTTTCCCATTTACTTCTCAAAAATTGTTTTCTTTTCTTTTTTTTTTTTTTGAGACAGAGTCTCGCTCTGTCGCCCAGGCTGAAGTGCAGTGGCACAATCTCTGCTCACTGCAAGCTCCACCTTCTGGGTTCATGCCATTCTGCCTCAGCCTCCCGAGTAGCTGGGACTACAGGCGCCCGCCACCATGCCCGGCTAATTTTTTGTATTTTTAGTAGAGATGGGGTTTCACCGTGTTAGCCAGGATGGTCTCGATCTCCTGACCTCGTGATCCATCTGCCTCAGCCTCCCAAAGTGCTGGGATTACAGGCGTGAGCCACTGCACCCGGCCAAAAATTGTTTTCTAATTGAGGTAAAATATACATATGTGGAAATACACAGATATTAAGTGTACAAGCTGATGAATGTTGCTAATTACATATACCCATATAACATTTATTTATTTATTTATTTTGAGACAGAGTCTGGCTCTGTCACCCAGGCTGGATTGCAGTGGCACGATCTCAGCTCACTGCAACCTCTGCCTCCCGGGTTCAAGTGATTCTCCTGCCTCAGCCTCCTGAGTAGCTGGGATTACAGGCATGCGCCACCACATCTGACTAATTTTGTATTTTTAGTAGAGATGGGGTTTCACCATGTTGGTCAGGCTAGTCTCAAACTCCTGACCTCAAAAGATCTGCCCACCTCAGCCTCCCAAAGTGTTGGGATTATAGGTGTGAGCCACCACACCCGGCTATTTATTTATTTTTTGAGATGGAGTCTCACTCTGTTGCCCAGGCTGGAGTGCTGTGGCACCATCTTGGCTCACTGCAACCTCCGCCTCCCGGGGACAAGCAATTTTCCTGCCTCAGCCTCCTGAGTAGCTAGGATTACAGGTGTCTGCCACCACACTCGGCTTATTTTTATATTTTTTAGTAGAGATGGGGTTCCACCATGTTGGTCAGGCTGGTGTTGAACTCCCGACCTGAAGTGATTTGGCCGCCTCAGCCTCCCAAAAGTGCTGGGATTACAGGCATGAGCCACGGTGCCCGGCCATATAACCCATATCTCTATCAAGATATCAAAGATCCCCGAAAAGGTCCCTTGTTCCCTTCCTAGTCCATCCCCATCCTCTTCACCCACAGAGACAAATACTCTTCTGATTATTTCTTTGAGCAGTGATTAGTTTTACTGGTTGTAGAACTCCATGTGATGAAGTTTTATTGTGTGTACTCGATTGTGTCTGGCTTTTTCACTCGGCATTTTGAGATTCACTTATGTTGCGGTGTGTATCAGCAGTTTGTTCCTTTTTCTTAATAAGTAGTATTCAGTTATGGCTATATCATGATTTGTTTATCCATTCTCCTGTTGACAGGCATTTGGGTTGTTTCCAATTTTAGGATAGTATGAATAAAGCTGCTAAGAATTTTCCTGTACGAGTCTTTTTGTGTATATGTTTCCATTTCTTTTTTCTTTTCTTTTTTCTTTTTTTTGAGACCTTGCTCTGTTACCCAGGCCGGAGTGCAGTGGCACGATCTCGGCTCACTGCAAGCTCCGCCTCCCGGGTTCACGCCATTCTCCTGCCTCAGCCTCCGGAACAGCTGGGACTACAGGCGTGTGCCACGACGCCCAGCTAATTTTTTGTATTTTTAGTAGAGACAGGGTTTCACTGTGTTAGCCAGGATGGTCTCGATCTCCTGACCTCGTGATCCACCCGCCTCGGCCTCCCAAAGTGCTGGGATTACAGGCGTGAGCCACCGTGCCCGGCGTTTCCATTTCTTTTAAGTAAAACCTAGAAGTTCTGTGACTGGGTCACAGGAGGGTGTATACTTAATGAGAAACTGCCATACTGATTTGCAAAGTGGTTGTGCATTTTACACTCCCACCAGTAAGCTATGAGAGTTCCTATTGCTACACATCCCTGCCAACATTTGGTGTTACCAGTCTTTTTAATTTTAGTCATTCTAGTAAGGGTATAATGGTATTTCATTGAGGTTTTATTAAAATTTCCCTAATGGCTAATGATTTTGAACTCTTTTTCATGTGCTTATTGGCTACTTATAAATTTTTCTTTGTGAAGTGCCCATTTAAGCCTTCTCTTATTTTTAAAATTGGGTCATTGGTTTTTTTTTATTGTTATTATAGATTTATAGGAGCTATTTATACATTCTGGGCACAGTCTTTTTTTAGATATTACCTCCTATATTATATAATATGTATTTAAATCATTATTATAATATAATAACATATAATATAGTAATTACATAATACATACACATATTATATAATAAATGTTTATTCCCAGTCTGTGTCTTCGCTATTCATTTTCTTAATGGGTCTTACAATGAATAGAAATTTTCAAATTTGCTGACATTTGTTAGTTTGTTATGGTTTGAATGTGTCCCCAAAATTTCTTTCTTTCTTTCTTTGTTTTTTTTGAGACAAAGTCTCAAAGGCTGGAGTGCAATGGCACGATCTCGGCTCACTGCAGCCGCCGCCTCCAGGGTTCAAGTGATTCTCTTGCCTCAGCCTCCCCAGTGACTGGGATTACAGGTGCCTGCCACCATGTCTGGCTAATTTTTTTTTTTTTTTTTTTTTTTTTTTTTTTTGTATTTTTAGTAGAGATGGAGTTTCACCATGTTGGCCAGGCTGGTCTCGAACTCCTGACCTCAGGTGATCCGCCTGCCTTGGCCTCCCAAAGTGCTGGGATTACGGGTGTGAGCCACCATGCTTGGCCTTTTTAAAAAAAATTTTATTTTTAGATGAAATCTCTCTCTGTCACCCAGGCTGGAGTGCAATGGCGCAATCTCGGCTCACTGTAACCTCTGCCTCCCAGGTTCAAGCCATACTCCAGCCTCAGTCTCCCGAGTAGCTGGGACTACAGGCACGTGCCATCACACCCGGCTAATTTTTCTATTTTTAGCAGAGACAGGGTTTTGCCATGTTGGCTAGGCTTGTCTCAAACTCCTGACCTCAGGTGATCCACCTGCCTCGGTCTGCCAAAGTGCTGGATTACAGGAGTGAGCCACCACGCCCGGCCTCCAAAATTTCATCTGCAAATTCATATGTTGATGGTATTTGGAGGTGGGGCCCTTGGAAGGTAATTAGGATGGTGGCTATATAAGAAGAGGGAGAGAAAGCTGACCTGACATGCTCTTGACCTCTTGCTGTGAGATGCCCTCCTCCATGCTACGATGCAGTGAGGAAGCCCTGATCGGATGCAGCTCCTTGAGCTTGAACTTTCCAGACCCCAGAGCTGTGAAAAATATATTTTTTTTTTTTTTATAAATTACACAGTCTCAGGTTTTCAGATACAGGAACAAAAAACGGACTAAGACAAAGTCCATTTCAATGAACAGTTTTTTTAATTTTTAAAAAGATTTAAAAAATGTTTTAAAAATTAAATTAAATTGGCTGGGCGCAGTGGCTTACGCCTGTAATCCCAGCACTTCGGGAGGCCGAGGCAGGTGGATCACCTGAGGTCAGGAGTTTGAGACCAGCCTCAACGTGGAGAAACCCCGTCTCTACTAAAAATACAAAATCAGCCAGGTGTGGTGGTACATGCCTGTAATCCCAGCTACTCAGGAGGCTGAGGCAGGAGAATTGCTTGAACCTGGGAGGCGGAGGTTGCAGTGAGCCGAGATCACGCCATTGCACTCCAGCCTAGGCAACAAGAGCGATACTCCAACTCAAAAAAAAAAAATTAAATTAAATTAATTTTGTTTTTTTGAGACAGTCTTGCTCTGTTGCCCAGGCTGGAGTCCAGGGACACAATCTCACCTCACTGCAACCTCCGCCTCCTAGCTTCAAGCAATTCTCGTGCCTCAGCCTCCCAAGTAGCTGAGATTACAGGTGTGTACCACCACACCTAGCTAATTTTTGTATTGAATTTTATTTTCTAATTAATATATATTACACGTTTGTTGATGACAGGCATTAGACTCTAGTCTTCTCATCTGGTTTTGGTATCAGGATTGTGTTGGCCTTATAAAACAGAATTGTTGAGAATTGTTTCCTTCTCAGTTTTCTGAAGGCGTTGTATAATGTGAATATTTTTTCTTCCTTACTGTCTGATAGAATTTACCAGTAAAACTATAGGGGTCTGGAGCTTTCTTTGTGGGAAGGTAATCAAAGGCAAATTCAACTTTATTTACACATATTCAGTTTTTTCTTGTGTCAGTTTTGCTAATTTGTATTTTTAAGAAATTTGTCTCTTTCATGCAGTTTGTCAAATTTATTGACTTAGTTGTTCATATATTTTTTTCTATTATTTTCATGCCCATAAGATCTCTAGTGATATGGCTTTTGTGTCTCATATTGGTAATTTGTGTTTTCTCATATTTTCCCCTGACCAATCTTGTCATAGTTTTACCAATTTTATTTTTTTCAAAGAGCCAACTTTGGGCTTTGTAATTTTTTTGTTTGTTTGTTTTGTTTTGTTTTGCTTTGAGACAGGGTCTCACTCTGTTACTTAGGCTGGAGTGCAGTGGCGTGATCACGGCTTACTGCAGCCTCAACCTCCCATGCTCTTTAGATATCTTTACATATTTCTTTTCTTCTACTTACTTTGTTTGTGTTTTTGAGATAGAGGCAAGAGACAGACAGAGTCTCTGGGACCCATAATCTGATTTTTTTTCCCTCTAGTTTTGGCTTATACACAATATTATACAAATGGAATTATATGTTATTTTACCTTTTGTGCATGGCTTCTTTCACTTAGCATAATGCCTTTGAGATTTATCCATATTGTTGCATAACTCAGTAGTAGTATTTTATTGTACAGATGCACTACAATTTATCTGTTTACCAGTTGTGGGACACATGGATTGTTTCCATTTGGGGGCAATTATGAATAAAGCCACTATAAACATTTGCATATGTTTTTCTTTCTCTTGGATAAATGCTTAGGTATAGTATTGGTGAGTTGTATGATGGGTCTATGTTTAATTTTATAAGAAACTGTCCAGCTTTTTTCCAAAGTGGCTGTTATCATTTTGCATGTCACTCATAATGTGTGAGAGCTTCAGTTTCTCCACATAATCACTACTCCTTGAAGCTGTCAATCTTTAAATGTTTTTTTTTTAGACGGAGTCTTGATCTTGTCGCCTGGGCTGGAGTGCAGTGGCATGATCTCAGCTCACTGCAACCTCTGCCTCCTGGGTTCAAGTGGTTCCCCTGCCTCAGCCTCCTGAGTGGCTGGGATTACAGGCACCCACGACCGTGCCTGGCTAATTTTTGTACTTTTAGTAGAGATGGTTTCGCCGTGTTGGCCAGGCTGGTCTCTAACTCCTGATCTCAGGTAATCTACCTGCCTCGGGCTTCCGAAGTAGTGGGATTATAGGCATGAGCCACCGTGCCCGGCCCAATCTTTAAAATTTTAACCATTGTAGTAGGTTTGCTGTAGTATCTCAATGTAGTTTTTAATTTTTATTTCCCTAACATTTGAACATGTTGAACATTTTTTCATGTGCTTATTTGCCAATTGCCAACTGTATATCTTCTTTGGTAATATGTCTGCTCAAATCTTTTATTTAATTTTAAAGTTGGGCTGTTTATTATTTTATTATCAGGTTACAAGAGTTATTTATATACTCTGAGCTTATTTCTTGACTCTGTTCTATTCAACTAATCTGTATGTTTGTCTTTCTAACAATACCACACTGTTTTCATTACTGTAGCATTATGGAAGTCTTGAAATAAGATAATGTGAATCTTCTAATCTCGTTCTTCTTTTTAAAAATTGTTTTAACTTTTCTAGGTTGTTTGCATTTCCATATAAACTTTAGAATTGACTCATCAATGTCTATTTTTAAAAACTTCTGGAATTTTGATTGGTACTGCACTGAATCTATAGATAAATTTGAGGAGTACTGACATCTTAACAATACTGAGTTATCCAGTCCATACATACAGTGTATCTCTCTGTTTAGTTCTTTAATTTCTTTTATTAATGTTTCATCATTTTTAGCGTTTTGCATACATTTGGTTAAATTTATTCCTAAGTATTTCACATTTTTTGTTATTATAAATGGTATTTTAAATTTGAATCTAGTTGTCTGTTGCTAGCATACAAAAACACAGTTGATTTCTAGATATTGGTCTGGGATTCTGTGACCCTTACATTTCTTTTTCGCTTAAGAGGCTTTTTTTGGTAGATTCTTTCAGATTTTCTGTGTAGAAAATCATGTTGTCTGTGAGGAAAATCAGTTTTACTTCTTTCTTTCTGATCTTTATACATTTGTTTCCTTCTAGTGTCTTGTTACCCTGACTAGGGCCTCCAGTACAATGTTGAACAGAATGGTATACTGCTCTATAAATATTAATTCAATAAATGTGGTTGATAGTGGTGTTGAAATCTTCTATTTTTTTTTTTTTTGAGATGAAGTCTCACTCTTGTCCCCCAGGCTGGAGTGCAGTGGCGCAATCTCAGCTCGCTGTAAACTCCGCTTCCCGGGTTCAAGTGATTCTCCTGCGTCAGCCTGCTGAGTAGCTGGGATTACAGGTGCCTGCCACCACGCCCAGCTAATTTTTCTACTTTTATTAGAGACGGGGTTTCACCATGTTGGCCAGGCTGGTCTTGAACTCCTGACCTCAGGTGATCCACCCACCTTGGCCTCCCAAAGTGGTGAGATTACAGCCGTGAGCCACTGCACCCGGCCGAAATCTTCTATTTTTTTTCTTCCAGTTGTTTTATTAACTTGATGGAGTGGAATGTTAAAATCTCCAGTTATGATTGTTGTTTGTCTATTTCTCTCTTTGGTTCTGCCAACTTTTGCTTCATGTATTTTGAAGCTATGTTATTAGGTGCATACACATTTAGACTTATATTTTTCTTTGTCTTTGGGGGTTTTTTTTGAGACAGTATTTTACTCTGTCTCCCAGGCTGGAGTGCAGCGGCATGTCTCACTGCAGCCTCAACCTCCTGGGCTCAGACAATTCTCCTGCCTCACCCTCCTGAGTAGCTGGGACTACAGGCACATGCCACCACACCCAGCTGGTTTTTGTATTTTTGGTAGAGACGGGGTTTTGCCATATTGCCCACCATGGTCACTAACTCCTGAGCTTAAGCAATCTGCCCACCTTGGCCACCCAAAGTGCTGGTATTACAGGTGAGCCACTGTGCCCAGCCTATATGTCTTCGTAATGAACAGATCCTTTTACTGTTATGAAACGCTCCACTTCATCTCTGATAATATTCCCTTTTATGAAGTTTTTCTTATGCTTGCTTCCCACATGGCATATTCTTGGCCATCCTTTTATTTCCAACCTATTTGTATCATTTGATGTCCTTTGTATTTGAAGTCATTTCTTATAACAATATATAGTTAGGTACATGCTGAAAAGAAATATATAGGCAGGCCCTGTGTACACTTCACTCAATCTCTCATACTGTTAACATCTTGCAAATATATATATATTACAGTGTCAATACTAGAAAATGAACACTGGTACAATCTATAGAGCTTATTCAGATTTCTCCTGCTTGTGTGTACTCGTGTGTGTGTGTGTGTGTGTGTGTGTGTAGTTCTATGTAATTTTATTACATGTGTAGCTTTTTGTAATCAGCACCACAATCAAAGTACATAATTGTATCAACACCACAGGGCCCCCAGGTGCTATCCCTTTATAGCCACATTCCTTTCTCTCTGCTGACTCCTAACCCCTGGCAACCACTAATCTTTTCTCCATCTTTAGGCTATTTCAAGAATATTATATAAATGGAATCATACAATATACTACCTTTGAGATTGGCTTTTTTCCTTTAGCATAATTCCCTTATGGTCCATCTGTGTTGTTGTGAACGCCAATAGTTCATTTCTTTTTGTTGCTGAATACTATTCCAGGTTAGGGCTTTTTTTTTTTTTTAAACCAGTATGACAATCTATGCATTTTTTTTTTTCAGTATGGAGTCTCACTCTGTCCCCCAGGCTGGAGTGCAGTGGCCCAGTCTTGGCTCGCTGCAACCTCCACGTTCTGGGTTTAAGCAATTCTCCTGCCTCAGCCTCCTGAATAGCTGGGATTACAGGCATGCGCCACCACACCTGGCTAATTTTTGTATTTTTAGTAGAGACGGGGTTTCACCATGTTGACCAGTCTGGTCTTAAACTCTTGACCTCAAGTGATCTGCCTGTCTTGGCCTCCGAAAGTGTTGGAATTACAGGTATGAGCCACAGTGACCAGCCAATCTATGCATTTTAGTGGAAATGTTTAGCTCATTTGCCAGTACCATCTTGCTATTTGTTTTCTAGTTTTCTCATCTGTTTTTTGTTCTATTCCTCATATCCTACTTTATTTTCCGGAATTTTTAAATTTTTAATAAATGTTAAAAATATTTTAAATATTGGATTATAGTTCCTCTATTAGCTTTTTAGCGATCCATCTTTGTATTTTTTTTAGACTTTGCCTTAGGAATTTCCATATTCATCATTAACTTATTACAGTGTACTTAGAATTAATATTTTGACACTTCACATAAAATGTACGAAACTTACAACAGTAAAATTCCATTTACCTGCTCCCGCCTCTTTTGTGCTACTTTTATCTTCAATTTTACATTTACATACAAAATATACCCACAAAATGATGTTATTATTTTAAGGTAACCTGTTAAAATAATTTAATGATTCAGTTTCAATTTATTTTAATAGGGATGTTTTTCTATGTTACTATTTTAGTACTACCAGTGAATCAGAGTCTTTGATTTTTTGGGACTGAGAATTAGGCATTTAAATCAATGAAAAAATTAATTTGAAACTTAAGAGTACAAGGTTTAGGCAGGGCGCTGTGGCTCACGCCTGTAATCCCAGCACTTTGGGAGGCCGAGGCAGGTGGATCACCTGAGGTCAGGAGTTCGAGACCAGCCTCAACATGGAGAAACCCCTGTCTCTACTAAAAAAATACAAAATTAGCCGGGCATGGTGGCACATGCTCGTAATCCCAGCTACTTGGGAGACCGAGGCAGGAGAATTGCTTGAACCTGGGAGGCGGAGGTTGCGGTGAGCCGAGATTGCACCATTGCACTCCAGCCTGGGCAACAAGAGCAAAACTCCATCTCAAAACAACAACAACAACAACAACAACAACAACAACAACAAAAAGAGTACAAGGTTTAAATTTTTTTTCCTTTTTACTGATTCAGGTTACTTTGGTGTCATTTTCCCCCAACTTAGATAAACCCCTAATCAATTGTTTCATTGTAAAGAGGAATATTTAAATGGTACCCCTAAAAATTCCTTTATTATTTTATTTTTGTTTTTATTTTTACTTTTTTTGAGATGGAGTTTCACTCTTGTTGCCCAGGCTGGGGTGCAATGGCGTGATCTTGGCTCACCACAACCTCCGCCTCCCGGGTTCAAGCGATTCTCCTGCCTCAGCCTCCCGAGTAGCTGGGATTACAAGCATGTGCCACCACGCCAGGCTAATTTTGTATTTTTAGTAGAGACTGGGTTTCATCATGTTGGCCATGCTGGTCTCAGACTCCGGACCTCAGGTGATCTGCCCGCCTCAGCCTCCCAAAGTGCTGGGATTACAGGCGTGAGCCACCGCGCCTGGCCCAGAATTCCCTCTTTTAAACAACAAATTGTACTTTTCCCAGTTTTTTGTTTGTTTGTTTGTTTTTTGAGATGGAGACTCACTCTGTCACCCAGGATGTAGTGCAGTGGCATGATCTCGGCTCACAGTAACCTCCGCCTCCCGGGTTCAAACGATTCTCCTGCCTCAGCCTCCTAAGTAGCTAGGATTACAGGCACCTACCACCATGTCCAGCTAACTTGTATTTTTAGTAGAGACGGGGTTACACTATGTTGGCCAGACTGGTCTCAAACTCCTGACATTGAGTGATCCACCCACCTTGGCCTCCCAAAGTGCTGGGATTACAGGCATGAGCTACTGTGCATGGCCATATTTCCCCAATTATCCTATTAAGTAAGAGTCCTAGCCCTAAGATCTTAGAAAATATTGTTTAATTAAATACCAGGAAATACCTCTTACTAAAAAGCCTAGTCTTAAACAGCTTGAATAGAAAATTCCTTCAAGTTTTTTATTTTTATTTTTTTTTGAGACAGAGTCTCACTCTGTCGCCCAGTCTGGAGTGCACTGGTGCAATCTCGGCTCACTGCAACCTCTGCCTCCTGGGTTCAAGCGATTTTCCTGCCTCAGCCTCCCAAGTAGCTGGGATTACAGGTGCCCACCACCACACCTGGCTAATTTTTGTATTTTTAGTAGAGATGGGGTTTCACCACATTGGCCAGGCTGGTCTTGAACTCCAGACCGCAAGTGATCCACCCACCTCAGCCTCCCAGAGTGGTGGGATTACAGGCATAAGCCATCCCGTCCAGCCCATCTTTTTCCTTTCTGACTTCCTATTTATTTTTATTTTTTATTTTTTTTTTGAGTCAGAGTCTCACTCTGTCACCAGGGTGGAGTGCAGTGGCACGATCTCGGCTCACTGCAACCTCCGCCTCCCAGGTTCAAGTGATTCTCCTGCCTCAGCCTCCCAAGTAGCTGGGATTATAGGCACCCACCACCACGCCTGGCTAATTTTTGTACTTTTAGTAGAGACGGGGTTTCACCATGTTGGCCAGGCTGGTCTTGAACTCCTGACCTTGTGATCTGCCCGCCTCAGCCTCCCAAAGTGCTAGGATTACAAGTGTGAGCCACTGCACCCGGCCCCTTCGTATTTATTAAGATAAAGAAAATTGCTGGCCGGGCGTGGTGGTGGGCACCTGTAGTCCCAGATGGGAGGCTGAGGCAGGAGAATCGCTTGGACCCAGGAGGCAGAGATTGCAGTGAGCTGAGATCGCTCCACTGCACTCCAACTTGGCGACAGAATGAGACTCCGTCTCAAAAAAAAAAAAAAAATTGCTCAGGCTTTCCTTTAGAGGTTTATTTGGAGATAAATGGAAAAGGTGTAAAGTATTTATATTAATATTTTCCCTTGGAACAAGTGTATCGAATTGAAAATATTTTTCTAACTCTTTCTTCCTACCCTGACAAAAGAAAGTAAAATCAGATTCTTTATGGTAGGTAAGGAGAACACCATTATCTTTTTAAAGATGTGGGATTTCCCTACCAGAATTGTAGAATATACTTGTTTGTTATTAGACTATGTTAGACATGTCATCATATTGAATTTGGCAAATTTTCTTACAGAAATCTGAAAAAATTTTATATTCTGTCCCTCTAGTTTTATCCCTGTCTACCATCTTACATTATCTTCTCCCGGTTCTCAGTACAACAATGAGCCTGGACCCATGGTTGTTTCCTGCCTGTAAGTCATTCATTCTGCTATTTCCCCTACCAAATGTCTTTCTCTTCATTCTCCATCTGCAAAATATTGTAGTCCTTCAAATCTCAGCTCTTAAAATAAATTTTCCTCATTTCTCCAAGGTAAGAGCACTTCCTTTAAATCCACTTAAGTCTGTGTGGATTTTCTTTTCCTTTCTTTTCTTTCTTTTTTGTTTTTATTTATTTATTTATTTATTTGAGATAGGGTCTCACTCTATCATCCAGGCTGGAGTACAGTGGCGTGACCTCAGTTCACTGCAACCTCCCAGGCTCAGGTGATCCTCCCACCTCAGCCTCCCAAGTAGCTGGTACTATAGGTGTATACCACCATATCGGGCTAATTTTTGTATTTTTTGTAGAGACTTAATTTCGCCATGTTGCCCAGGCTGGTCTCGAACTCCTGGCCTCAAGTGATCCACTCACCTCAGCCTCCCAAAGTGCTGGGATTACAGGCATGAGCCGCCGGGCTGAGCCAAGTCTGTGTTTTTATTTTATTTATTTATTTTTTCTGAGCGAGACGCAGTCTCGCTCTGTCGCCCAGGCTGGAGTGCAGTGGCAAGATCTCGGCTCACTACAAGCTCCGCCTCCTCGGTTCACGCCATTCTCCTGCCTCAGCCTCCTGAGTAGCTGGGACTACAGGCGCCCGCCACTACGCCCGGCTAATTTTTTGTATTTTTAGTAGAGACGGGGTTTCACCATGTTAGCCGGGATGGTCTCAATCTCCTCACCTCGTGATCCGCCTGCCTTGGCCTCCCAAAGTGCTGGGATTATAGGCGTGAGCTACCGCGCCCGGCAAGTCTGTGTATTTCTTAATGCACAGTTATTTGTTAAAATGTTAAATTATGCCCTAATGTAGTGTATGCTACTTGAGGGAAGGACTTTCTTACTCATATTCATATTTTCCATAACATGCAGCACTATGTATTTGATTTCCAAGATATTGGATTGATACTTGTCCAATGAATGAATGAATTAAAAAATATAAGGGTCAATTCTAGGATTATCTTTACAAATGGCTACTCTAAAAATGCTCTGTAAATGTCTCTATTGCATGTAGGTGGGATAAGCCTAAAGTTAGTTCCAGAGGCAGGGACAGTTCTGAAGGACTTGATAAAAATCACTCACAGATTCTGCACAGACAAGGACACTCCCAACGTGAATAGATAACTTGTTGGATGCATCTGCCAGCATCTGAACTGCTGGCAACTTTTGTTTAGAATGAAGAGCTTTCAGCCCAGCACCTCGCCTCCATTATAATGTTTTGCCTCCTGTTTTGTTTATATAAAAGACTACAGTCTTGTCTTAGAATTTCTGGGTATTATGAGTACCTTAGGGAAATCTGATTATAGAGATAATCTACTCAACAGTGAAGAGTTTCAATTTGTTTCTATTGAGTTTTGTCAATTCCGAATCCCAGATACCTTTGTATTCCAGTCCATTGACTAGAGCCTCCCAGCCAGACGTTGAGGCATCTGTTTCTATAGTCTCCGGAACTGGAAAAGATAAATAAGAATGTAGGGGAATTATCTGTATATTTGCTAACCACCAATTTAGATCTAAATAGACTCCCTCTGTTAGGAAGACTAATGAATTCCAATTCTCTGAAATATCCTTTGCTTTTAACAAGCAAGATGGAAGGTATCTAAAGAAAAAAAACAGGGCGAGATACACAGAGGGAAAAGCTGTGAATAATGCCACCAGAGAACCAATTATGTTCACCAGCTGGCATTGAGAAACTTGTTTCCTTTGACAAAAAAAGATTTTAGTTTTAGCCTCAAAATACTTTTTGACATTGTGTTCTTCAGGGCTGAATGACGAATCCTCTCAACCACCCCCATAAAGTGTTAGAAAAAAATTCTTAACATCATTGTTATATGTAATGTGGCAAAGCAATGGGCAAGAAGAGAAAAACAAGCTAAGGCATCAATATGGCAGTTAAGAAGAATCAACTGAATAAAATGATAGTGAAATGAAACATGAAAACAGAGACCTTCCTCCCAGCCATATGACTGAATCAATGAGGCACATTCACGGGGTATGACAGTGATAAACAAACTGGTAAGAACATCGAATAGATGTAAAAATGTATTTCTTGTGAAAGCATAGTCAACTACTATATATCTCAGTGATATAAACTGCATTTTGAACTTTTTTTCTTTCTATTTGTGGGGAACCTCATTGATTGCAACCAAGCCTAGAATGGAACCTTTTGTGCTTTAGTGGGTGAGACATAATCTATTTCATGATCTCTCAGTTGGTAAAATTTGCAAAGAAGGCTGGGCACGGTGGCTCACACCTGTAATCCTAGCACTTTGGGAGGCCAAGGTGGGAGGACTGCTTGAGTCCGGGAACTTGAGACCAACCTGGGCAACATAGCACCACCCTGTTTCTACAAAAATTAATAATAATAAATTAATTAGCTAGGCACGGTGTTGCACATCTCTGGTCCCAGCTACTTGGGAGGCTGAAATGGGAGGATCACTTGGGCCTGGGAGGTTGAGGCTGCAGTGAGCCATGATTGTGCCACTGCACCCCAGCTTGGGCAACAAAGCAAGACCTTGTCTCAAAAAAAAAAAAAAAAAAAAAAAGCCAAGAAGTGGTGACACCTAATCTCGAGCTCTCATTAGAGCTTTTTTTTCAGCTACCAGGACTCCCGTTGAGCCAGTCTTGTCTGGGAGTCCCCTGTGGTCCATCTGCTCCAAGTTGTTCCTTGGGGAAATACTTGTGAATTCAAGGTTTTCACTTTTTATACTACTTTAAAACTTGCCTTTCCCAAGTATCTATTTAAATTCCATTAATATCTGTAGAACAAGTTCACTCAGACCAGGCTTTGTTGAACCACTAAAGCAGGGCGACTATGTTTCTATGTGCTCCGAATGCCTTCTCTTTCTCAAAGAGAAAAAATAATGCTTATTGTTAGTAATTTGCTTTCTTGATTATAAAAAGGGGAAATTTAAAAAAGTTTCTTGTTTCTCTTTCAAATGATGCCACCTGGCGCAGAGCCACTGTGTAGTCTCTGTTCTGCACAATTCCACGAGCACCATCAACATGGACTATAATACCAGTGGTGCCTTCTGACCCCCTATCCAACCTGAATTCTCCAGAGTAGTACATAGTCTTGACCCTGTGCACAAAGAATATGGATTTTTATGTCGCTGGATAATTGGACAATTAATTTCGTATACCCAGTTCTGGGGAGGAAACGAGAGCTGTTATTTGATTTCATGCCATCAACTTCCTAAACACTTTCATTTACTGAAATTTGGTATTGTACTAAATATTACAGAAATACGAATGTTACCTAAGTGACTCTTGAGCTTTGAACCTAAATCAGCAAAGGAAATGTTTTACGAATTTGTTTTTTTTTTTTTTTTTTTTTTTTGAAACAGAGGCTCTCTCTATCACCCAGACTGGAGTGCAGTGGCGCCATCTCTGCTCACTGCAACCTCCGCCTCCTGGGTTCAAACGATTCTTCTGCCTCAGCCTCCCAAGTAGCTGGGATTACAGGCTCCCACCACCATGCCCAGCTAATTTTTGTATTTTTAGTAGAGACGGGGTTTCACCATGTTGGCCAGGCTGGTCTTACACATTTTATTTCCTATTTCTTCATCTTGTGTTTTTTATCCTTTTATTCTCTTTTAAGGATGCAGTTTTTAGTGATGGATTATACATGGAAAGAAATGAAAAAAAATGAGTTCAAGGAGAGTTCTTTAATAGTATGCATCAGACTTCTTATAAATTTACTGGAAATGTCTTAAAAAACAATTGCCCTTTTCTTTATTAATACATTTTTTTAAATAGCAGGTTTTTTTGAGATTTAATTCAACCACAAAATTCACCAATTTAAAGTATACAATTCAGTGTTTTTTAGTATATTCAGTTATGCAACCATCACCACTATCTAATTTCAGAACATTTTTATCACCTCAAAAAGAAGCCCTATATCCATTAGCAGTCACACCTCACATTCCACCCCCAGCAGCCCTAGGCAAACACTCATCTACTTTTTGTTTCTATAGATTTGCCTGTTCTAGACATATTATATAAGTGGAATCATACCATAAATGGCTTCTTATGACTGATTTCTTTCACTTAGCATGCTTTCAAAGTTCATATATGTTGTCACATGCATCAGTATTTTATTACTTTTTATTGCTGTATAATCGATTGTATGGATATATCACATTTTGTTTATTCACTCATCAGTCGATAGATGTTTATATTGGTTTCACTTTTTAACTATCACAAATAATGCTGCTATGAATATTTTTATACAGGTTTTTTGTGTGGACTTATTTCTTCAGTTCTCGTGGTTATATACTTCTGAGTAGAATTGTTGCATTATATGATAAATATATGTTTAATCTTTTAAGTAAATATCAGACTGCTTTTCCTTTCCTTTCCTTTCTTTTCCTTTCCTTTCCTTTCCTTTCCTTTCCTTTCCTTTCCTTTCCTTTCCTTTCCTTTCCTTTCCTTTTTTTCTTTTTCAGACAGAGTCTCACTCTGTCACCCAGGCTGGAATGCAGTGGCACGATCTTGGCTCATTGCAACCTTCAGCTCCCGGGTTCAAGTGATCTCGTGCCTCAGCCTCGCAAGTAGCTGGGATCACAGGTGTGCGCCGCCACACCCAACTAATTTTTGTATTTTTAGTAGAGACAAGGGTTTCACCATGTTGGCCAGCCTGGTCTCAAACTGCTGACCTCAGGTGATCTGCCTGCCTCAGCCTTCCAAAGTGCTGGGATTACAGGCGTGAGCAACCGAGCCCAGCCCAGACTGGTTTTCAAACTGACTGAATCACTTAATAATCCTGCCAGCAATGTTTGAGGGCTCCAACTTCTCTACATCCTTGCCAATATTTGTTATTGTCTATCTTTTTAATTTTAGCTGTCTTAGTGAGGATACAGTGGTATCTCGTCGTGGTTTTGATTTGCAGTTCCCTGGTGACTAATGATGGTGAGCGTCTTTTCATGTGCTTATTGGCCATTTGTATATCTCCTTAGGAGAAATATATAGCCAAATCCTTTATCCACTTTGTATTATCATTTTTACTTGTCATAAAATACACAACATAAAATTTATCATCTTGACCTTTTTTAAGCATACAGTTCAGTGGCATTAAGTACATTCACATTCTTGTGTTACCATCACCGTGATTCAGTCTCCAGAACTCCTTTCATCTTGCAAAACTGAAACTCCTTTTTTGTTTTGACCATTCTTTCCATCTTTTATTACTACTGAGGTTAAACATTTTCATGTGATTACTGGCCATTCATATTTCTTTGTGGGACAGCTTGGTAACTTAAAAAAATACTAATGTTTTTCCTGATTATAATATACTTATAGATATGTAGAAAATACAGAAGAATATAATACTATAGAGGAAAAAATTCACGTAATTCAAATTATAAAAGCAACCATCGCTGCTAATTTTTACTTTTCTCTGCACATGTTTTCTTATAGAATTGATATTCTGGACAAATGTGTTTTAGAGTATATGTTTTTTCTTTCCTTTTTTTTTTTTGAGACAGAGTCTCGCTTTGTTGCCCAGGCTGGAGAGCAGTGGCTCAATCTTAGCTCACTACAACCTCTGCCTCCTGGGTTCAAGCGATTCTCCTACCTCAGCCTCCCGAGTAGCTGGAATGACAGGCACGTGCCACTAAGCCCGGCTAATTTTTGTATTTTTAGTGGAGACGGGGTTTCATGGGCCAGGCTGGTCTTGAACTCCTGACATCAGTTGATCCTCCCACCTCGGCCTCCCAAAGTGCTGGGATTACAAGGTGTGAGCCACCGCACCCGGCCCTGTTTTCTCTTTTTTGTAAAATTTAATTTAATTTTAAGTTCCAGGATACATGTGCAGGATGTGCAGGTTTGTTACATAGGTAAACGTGTGCCATGGTTTGCTGCACCTATCAACCCATCACCTAGGTATTAAGCTCAGCATGCATTAGCTATTTTTCCTGACGCTCTCCCTCCCCAAAACCCCACCCTGACAGGCCCCAGTGTGTGTGGTTCCCCTCTCCGTGTCCATGTGTTCTCATTGTTCAGCTCCCACTTATGAGTGAGAACATGTGGTGTTTGGTTTTCTCTTCCTATGTTAGTTTGCTGAGGATAATGGCTTCCAGCTCCATCCATGCCCCTGCAAAGGACATGATCTCATTCTTTTTTTTATGGCTGCATGGTATTCCACGGTATATATGTACCACATTTTCTTTATCCAGTGTATCATTGTTGGGCATTTGGGTTGATTCCATGTTTTTGCTATTGCGAACAGTGAAAACTGAAACTGTTTACCCATTCAACGATAACTTTCCCTTCCTTCACCCCAGCAACTCATTCTGTTTTCAGTCTCTATGAATTTCAGTACTCTAGGTACCTCATTTAAGTGGAATCAGGCAGTATTTGTCCTTCTGTGACTGGCTTATTTCACTTCCCATCATGTTCTCAAGGTTCATCCATGTTGTAACATGTGTCAGAATTTGCTTCCTTCCTTTTTTTTGAGACGGAGTATCATTCTGTTGCCCAGGCTGGAGTGCAGTGGCACAATCTTGGCTCACTGCAACCTCCACCCCTGGGATCAAGCAATTCTCCTGCCTCAGCCTCCCTCGTAGCTGGGATTACAGGTGTGCGCTACCACTCCTGGCTAATTTTTGTATTTTAAGTAGAGACGGGGTTTCACCATGATGGCTAAGCTGGTCTCAAACTCCTGACCTCAAGTGATCCACCCACCTCGGCCTCCCAAAGTGCTGGGATTACAGGCGTGAGCCACCGCGCCCAGCTGTAGAATTTCCTTCCTTTCTAAGGTTGAATAATATTCTAATTTATGTATAGTCCACATTTTGCTTATCTATTCATCTGTCGATGGACACTTGGGTTGATTCTACCCCTTGGCTATTGTGAATAATGCTGCTATGAACATGTGTGTATAAATACCTGTCCAAGCCCCTGCTTTCAGTTCTCTTGGGTGTGTACTCAGAAGTGGAATTGCTGGATTATATGGTAATTTCATCTTTAACTTTTTAAGAAAGTGCCATACTGTTTTCCACAGCAGCTGCACCATTTTACATTTCCACCAACAGTGCACAAGGGTTCCAATTTCTCCCCATCCTCACCAACACTTGTTATTTTCTGCTTTTTAAAAAACAGTCGCCATTCTAATGAGTGTGAGTTTGTATCTCATTGTGGTTTTGATGATTTGCATTTCCCTAATGATTAGTGATTGTATTAGGAAGTTTGGGCTGCCGTAACAAATACCACAGACTAGGTGGCATAAACAACAGAAATTTATTTCTCACAATTCTGGAGGCTGGGAGTCCAACATCAGGTTCTGGCTGATTTGGTTCTTGGTGAGAGCCCACTTTCTGACTTTCAGATGGTCACCTTTTCACTGTATACTCACATGGTAGAGAGAGATCTTTCTCTCTTCCTTGTCTTATAAGGCCACCAATCCTATGAGATTAGGGTCCTATCCCTATGACATCATTTAACCTTAATTACTCCCTATAAGTCCTGTCTCCAAATATGAACACCTTGGAAGTTAGGGTTTCAACATATGGGTTTTGGGGGGACACCGTTTGGCCCATAGCAGTGACCTCGAGCATCTTTTAATGTGCTTATTGGTCATTTGTGTATCTACTTTAGAGAGATGTCTATTCAAGTCTCTCACCCATTTTTATTTTTATTTTTATTTTTTAGAGACGGAGTCTCACTCTGTCACCCAGGCTGGAGTGCAGTAGCAGGATCTGGGCTCACTGCAAGCTCTGCCTCCTGGGTTCACTCCATTCTCCTGCCTCAGCCGCCCGAGTAGCTGGGACTACAGGCGCCCACGACCACGCCCGGCTAATTTTTGTATTTTTTAGTAGAGACGGGGTTTTGCCGTGTTAGCCAGGATGGTCTCCATCTCCTGATCTCGTGATCCACCCACGAGCCTCAGCCTCCCAAACTGCTGGGATTACAGGTGCGAGCCACCGCACCCGGCCTCGCCCATTTTAAAACAGGGCTGCTTGTCTTTTGTTGTCGTTGAGTTGTGGGAGTTCTTTATGTCCTGGATACAAGCCTCTTAATAGATATGTGATTTGCAAATATTTTCTCCCATTCTGTGGGTTGTCTTTTTCATTTCTTGATGGTGTTCTTTAAAGCACAAAAGTTTTTAATTTTGGTGAAGTCTCATTTATTTTTCTTTTGTTGTCATGTCTAAGAAACCATTGCCTAATTCAAAGTCATGAAGATTTACTTACTCCTATGGTTTCTTTTAAGAGTTTTATAGTTTAAGCTCTTACATTTGGGTGTATGATTCATTTTGAGTTAATGTTTATATACGGTGTGAGATATCCCTTTTTAAAAAATTCCTAAGAACATCTGAGTTTCAGAATGTTCTTTACTAGATTAGATATGAAAAAAATTGGTGAGGAGGGTTTTTTTTTCTTTTCTCTTTTTTTTTTTTTTTTTTTGAGACAGAGTCTCTCTCTGTCACCTAGGCTGGAGTGCAGTGGCACAAACATGGCCCACTGCAATCTTGACCTCCTGGACTCAAGCAATCCTTCCACCTCAGCCTTCCAAGTAGCTGGGACCACTAGGTGTGTGCCACCACACCTGGCTAATTTT
The DNA here is from genome assembly GCF_000001405.40 of Homo sapiens. Lineage (NCBI taxonomy): Eukaryota > Metazoa > Chordata > Mammalia > Primates > Hominidae > Homo > Homo sapiens. The sequence continues at coordinate 113,930,661 of NC_000011.10, forward strand.
TAACTTTTTTGTAGAGACAGAATCTCACTGTGTTGCCCAGGCTGGTCTCAAACTCCGGGGCTCAGGCAATCCTCCTGTCTTGGCCTCCAAAAATGTGGAATCACAGGGACGAACCACTGTGCCCAGCCAGGAGGGTTTTTTAAATTGCTGTTTTGGGGGGTCTTTTAAAAATTTTATGGACTCATTGCAGACATGGGAAATCACGTCTATTATATCATTTAAAATATGTTTCATTTATAATAAGCTCATTCAGTCTGTTTTATAAGCAGAGAAATCCAAACATACGGTAACTTAACAGGAATGGCTGCCAATAACAGTTGAGCTAACACTCATTGAAAGATTATGAATAATATCTTGATTACAAATCAAAGCTTGGTCTCATCTTTTTAGCCCAAAATTACTAAGACAACGTAACATTTTTTAGTCTGATTAATGGTAGAGTAACTAATTAGAGTGGGAAAGAGATTAGCAAATCATTCAAGATGTCAAGGGCAGGCAAAGTGCCGTTTTGTCATAGATAATATAGTAAAGCTCATAGCGACAGGTGTGCATAATAAGTAAGAACTGAGAATGCCTAGGTATTGAAGAGTCTAGGTAATGTTTTTAATATCAGCATTATTTGGTTAGATTTGATTTTCTTCTTCTGAATTTCCTTACTGCTGAATTGGCCTTTGATTTATTGACATTCTAAGATTTGGAGTGGATTTTCTTTTTGCCTTGCAGGATGCAGAGAATCAAATATTAAAGACAAGTGTATGGTACCAAGAGGTAAATAATTATGTTTTCTTCTAAATATATTGCACTCCTGATCTGGATCTGCTGCAAAATATAGTTATTTAAGAAATAGGTATTATCTTTGTATTTATAGTTTCTTAGATCTGCAGCAGACCTAATGTATTATAATTCATTTAAGATGTATGGCCCTGGTTTCTGGTTGGGACTACCATCTTTAGGATTCAGATGGGAAGTCCTTTCTCCTAACAGGTAGAACCAAGAGGCTGATAAATTGGATTATTAATCCAAATGCCTCTTTAGTTCTTTAGCGAAGTAGATATTGCCCCATTTTGATAAGTTTTCTTTTTGGCTACTACTAACAGGTCTGGAATGATGAATTTTTATCCTGGAACTCCAGCATGTTTGATGAGATTAGAGAGATCTCCCTACCTCTAAGTGCCATCTGGGCCCCCGATATCATCATCAATGAGTTGTAAGTGTGCCAGTGTGTATTTCTGTGGGGTTTAGACTGCTTGGTATAGTCGGGCCAGTTGCTGCTTACTTTCAGTCAGTGTTGCTCATTTTTGCTTCTCAAGTTGAAGGGGAGCATATTGTTGGGAGTATTCAGGTTAGAAGTGCCATGTGTTGACATTATTTAAGATACAGATCTGGTTACTAATGTTGAGGTTACTCATTATGTCTGTGTTGTTATAGCAGCAAATGAGTTAACTTACGAGGCTGTCACTGAAAAGCTCATCTTTGCCAGGGTGAATCATCTCATGGAAAATGCGATTCTGTTTTGCAGGGCTAGGCTGGTCCTGGACCTCATGGTCACTACCATCTCCTAATCAGCCTATGTTTTGAAATGACCAACATCCTCTCTGTGACAACAAGTTCTCTTGTGTTTCATATAGTGTGGACATTGAAAGATACCCTGACCTTCCCTATGTTTATGTGAACTCATCTGGGACCATTGAGAACTATAAGCCCATCCAGGTGGTCTCTGCGTGCAGTTTAGAGACATATGCTTTTCCATTTGATGTCCAGAATTGCAGCCTGACCTTCAAGAGCATTCTGCATACAGGTAAACCATGAGAGATACCCATTAATGCTAGGTTGGTGCACATAGGTGAAATGATATTATACTATCCTTCAGGTCTATTTTATTCTTGCAGATAATTGGCTATTTAAAAATTGGAATCTCTTCTTGCGGTTTTTTGGCTCCTGCTGTAATCCAGACCAAGTATGATGCTGTAGGCCCCCATAGTTGTTTTGGAAACAGTGTTAGGCCTCTACTGCCATGGATAATATTATAGAAATCGCAGGCAAGCTCCATCATTCTACAGAGAGTGTATTCCAAGCCATAAATTCACAGTTGTTGTTTTTTTATGACTAGAAAGATTTTATTCCACATCCCTACCCCCTAATTCAAATAAGGCCAAGGAGACTGTGCCTATGGGGGCAGGAGAACGAGGAAGGATTCGAATTGGGAGCTGGAAAAGTGGGTGGATGTTGGCATCTCTTTCTCTCTGGGAAAGTCAATTGTTTGTGTTGTTTGCAGTGGAAGACGTAGACCTGGCCTTTCTGAGGAGCCCAGAAGACATTCAGCATGACAAAAAGGCGTTTTTGAATGACAGTGAGTGGGAACTTCTATCTGTGTCCTCCACATACAGCATCCTGCAGAGCAGCGCTGGAGGATTTGCACAGATTCAGTTTAATGTAGGTTCTTTACTACCTGTCCCCGTTGCCCGCTTCTCCCCAGCCTTTGGCCTTCTCTCTTGGGCCAAGGAATTTCTGCTCTATTGCATGTTCTCATTCATTATCACCCAAGAACAGGGACTTCAGCGGGCTCTGAGCATCCACCTGCATTCCAGCATTTCACAGAGCAGAGGTTCAGTGGGAGATGCTGGGCCCCTCCAGAAGATAACAGACACCAGAGGCCTGGTATTCAGACACCAGAGGCCTGAAGCATGCCCTGCAGCAGGAATCCTCCAATCTTTCCACACACACTTACATTATGGCTTCTAATTGCTACTCAGAAAAAACACAGACAAACCCACACACAACAACAACAAATTGGGAAGACTTTCTCATCAACATTATTGTCCTATTTTTTTTTTATTGAGTAAATTATCAACTAATTCCAGATGCAGATGCATAATACGATAATATTATTAACTTGAATATCTTAAGGGATTAGCCAATAAGACCCACAGAGACCACTGGTAGCTTCTGGATCAGAGGGAACAATTAACCCCCTCAAAATTATGATGGGAACCCACACTCCTCCGATGCAGCCCTTGGCTGCATTGTTCATAGGGAAATTTGTCCGGCATGAAACTAGGGGATGGTGGGGTACAGGACAGTGAAGCCCGCTGATTTGTACTCCAGAGGCAGCCATTGTCCCATCTTTGGCCCCCTGGGAAACTGTTTTGACACATGGTCTGCAACAATTTCACACAACTGGTAAACTACATCATTAGTATTCAGCAGTGCATTCTTCTTTTCTGCAAAAAGTCAGCTAGTGGTGGTGGTAGTGAGGGAATGGTGGTCCTTCATGCCAAGTAATGGATTCAGTTGAAAAATAGAAACCACAGGCAGGTCAGGACTGCACACAAGATGAATTATCCTAAAAATATACCTTTGGAATAAGAAGGAAAACTTAGACTAGACTAAGGTGCTCTGGTACAATGGATATGCTAAGGGGAGGTGAAGAAATAAACTATCATTCGCTGAGTGCGGTGGCTCATGCCTGTAATCCCAGAACTCTGGGAGGCCAAGGCAGGCAGATCATTTGAGGTCAGGAGTTCGAGACTAGTCTGGCCAACATGGCAAAACCCCATCTTTACTAAAAATACAAAAACTTGCTGGGTGTAGTGGTGTGTGCATGAGAATCGCTTGAAGCCGGGAGGTGGAGGTTGCAGTGAGCCAAGATCATACCACTGCGCTCCAGCCTGGGTGACACAGGGAGACTCTGTCAAAAGAAAAGAAAGGAAGGAAGGAAGGATGGAAGAAGAAAGAAGGAAAGAAAGAAAAAAAGAAAGAAAGAAAGAAGGAAAGAAAGAAAGAAAAAAGAAAGAAGGAAAGAAAGAAAGAAAAAAGAAAGAAAGAAAGAAACTATTATTGAGGTTACAGGTATCCCTTAATTGGTTAAAGGTGTATACAGCTTTCCAGCAAAGCTCTTGTTAAATCTGGGCCTCTTAGACACAGTTGTGGTTTGAACCTGACTAATGTATAATGCTGGCTAGTATAATCGCAACTCATACCCTCCTGATGGTGGGCTTTGGGCTCTTGCCTAGAATCCTGCTTGGTTTTAAGCAAAGCTTGCATTGTGGCCTGTTTGTCCACTTTTCTTGTAAGGAAAAGGGAAGGAAAGCAAGCAAGCTTTTTTTTTTTTTAAATTTCAATGAGTTTCTTGGCTAGGAGTAAACACCTCATTAATTTTAAAGATATCAGCCCACAAACATTATTAATGCAGCCCGAATAATGGAGAGCATTAAAGGGAAATGTGAAGGAGTAGCACATGCAAGGTGGAACATAGTCACCTACCAAGTGCTCCTGAGAACACTGCACACACCATTACCTACACTGCACGGAGGAGACAAACACAGGAAAGAGATGGGGCAGGTAAACAAGGGCGTGTGCTTGCATACACAGGCACACATGTGCACACACACACACACACACACTCTCTCTCTCTCCATAGAGCAGCTATTATTTGTAGTTACATGTCACTTTCCTTCACCCTAAATGTTAATTCGTCAACAGCAGCTGAAGGTTTTCTATATACCATCTCCATTTTAATTATGATGAACAGAGACAGAAGATTGTCTAATGGAGGGGAGGCTTCCCTGGATCTCAGAGCCATGGTCCAGTTCCTCTGCTCTCCTCACTGCCATGCTTCCCCCCGGGTACGTTTTGAAGTGGAAGTGTGCTGGAGGCAGGTGCAATTTGATTTCATGCTCTTGGAACTTTTCCATGGGTCCTTTTGCCCCGGGGGTGGACGTGGGTTATCTAGCAGGGCTGGCCTCTGCCCTGGTCCTCAGGAGCAGAGTAGGGAGAGAATCCTGAGTAGAGTCACAGATCATATTTGGTGGGACAGGAGGCCAGACTCAGGAGCAATTCTGCAGCTTTAGAAAGACTAAAAGTGGATTCAGTGACGATCACAGTTTTCTGCCTCCCAACCTCGCTCAGCCTCCATGCATTTCTGCTCTGTGCACAGAGCCTAGGCTCATTCTCTTACTCCATACCAGACATCCCACTCTGAATTTAGCAACCAAGGCACCTGGCTTTCCTTCAACAGCCCTTGGCCAGTGATGTGAAATTCAGAGCCTGATTCTATTATGCCAACACTGGGCCTGCCAGGGTCCTGACAGCAAAGGACCATCTCCTCTTAATCTACTCGCCGGCTGTGTCTCAGTCCAGGCTGCCCAGCGGGAGGTTGGGGACGGGTAGGGAAGTCAGGAGAAGCAATAATCTATTCTAAATTCATCCTTGCCCTTGGCCTGAGGTACACTGCTGCCATTTATACTAAATCAAGTGCTCCGGATGCCCCATGAGTTTCAGCTAATGTGCAATCATAGCTGCCGACTCTGGGACACAAATTGTTTATCAGAGGACACCACGGATACTTTGGAGTCAGGCTACATTCCACAGGGGGCCCAGAGCATAGGCACTTCTCCCTACAAAGATGTCTGTGTACAGCCTGGGACCCGGCCCAGCAGCCATGGGAGGGGAGGTTTCCTCCAATATATTATTGGAGGTGCTGGTTCCCAGAAACAGCAGGGTGAGAGCATTTGATTTTGCATGGCAGTGGTTTTTTTCTTTTTTTTCTTTAAAGAATGAGGGTAGAAGTGGGAGGAGGTAGGAATACAATTTAGGAACTCGTGTTGGATGGAAAAGGGTGGACAGCTGTGGAAACTAAACCGAGCCCAACCACAGATATCCTCACACCAAGTAAAGTGTTTATTCGGGCAGGAATTGGGGTGCGCACAGGGTGTCCTAGAAAATGCAAAGCGGGCATTTGGGAAAGAAAGGTGCTTCATTTATCCTCTTTTTCTGTTATAATTTTTTTTCTAGATTAGGTAGAGTAACTTTGTTGAGATACTTATTGAATGCAGCTTATAAACTTGATAGAAAATCAAGATCCCTCTAAGTGCTAGCAGATCATATGAGAGAGAGAGAGAGAAAGAGAGAGAGAATTTAGAGCCCTGGATATCCTTTCTGGGTCACTCAAGTGATGTGGGAATCACAGACTGACTTTCTGCTAATCCAGAGCGACCCATAGTCTAGATCCAAGTAACTCTGACTCCGGTGCTTAAATGGCAGCAACTTTCCTGTTCTTTCTGAGTTGGGAATGCTGGGAGGGGCTTTGGAGAGGAGGCAAATGGGTTCTTCTGTATGAAGCGGAGTCTAGGCGTCAAAATTCCAACTGTGTCATAAAGACGGTCATGCAAAACTGAGTACTGGTGGGGTCTACCATCAAGGAGGCAATTACAGGCTAACCTTGGGGCCTATTCCATCTCCAAGGAGCTCTCCACACACACATTCGGAATTAGATTGATCTCTTTCATTAACATCAATAGGCTCCAAATACCTTTGTGTACTTATTATTACCTGGCTTTAATGGATAATGAAATTGTGGCATAATATTGCTAACACCTGAAGGGTGTCTAATGGGGAACATGGACTGAAACTAAAGTGCTTTTTCTTCCCTTTCTGTGGAATTTAAAGGCACCAGCTCCTTTAGTCCATTAGAAATGATGAGCTGTAGGTAGGGGCAGTTTTGCAGAGAGCAGTGTCTCACTGAGCAGGTGACATGCCTTCTACTCAGCAGAAGCAGGAGTCACTGCTTCTTGCATGATCTGCAGAGAGGTCGCCCTCAGAAAGACTGACCTCAAGAGGATAGCCTCCATTCAGGCTAACTCCACACTTCCATTATATTGGAACTAAAAGTAGTGCTACTACCAGACTCCAGTACAATTCAATAAACATCTTTTGAGTTCTTACCATGTGCCAGGCTCCATGGTGAACACTTAGGACATAAAGATGAATAAATGAAGGCTCCTGACATCTATCACAGATCCCCAAAATCTGCCCAGGGAGACATAATAGCAATAACCACAAAGCTGAGCACTTAGCCTATGCCAAGCACCATTTTAAAGTTTGTACCTATAATCCTCACATCCCTAGGAGATGAGTGATCCAAGTATCTGCATTTTTACAAATAAATGAATTGAGGTGCAGAGAAGTTAAGTAACTTACAGGAGGCTGCAAGGTGACTGGTGGAGCCTGGACTTGAACCCAGGCAACTTGACTCCAGAAACTATGTGCCTAATTCCATATCATGCTGACACACAACTAAAGGCAGTGCAGTATATTCTGGTCCATTCTTTGCCATTTGCCCACTGGGCATTACTTGGCAGGTCGCGTGTATTAGTGTCACAAGGCTGCCATAACAAAGTAGCCCAAACTGGGTGGCTCAAAACAACAGAAATTCATTTTCTTGCAGTTATGTAGGCTGTAAATCTGAAATCAAGACTTGGGCAGGGTTGGTTCCTTCTGGGCATTCTGAGGGAGAATCTGCTCCTTGCCTCTCCTCTGCCTCTGGTTGCTGCCAGGAACCTGTGGTGTTCCTTGGCTGGTAGATGCGTTGCTCCCGTCTCTGCCTCCATCTTCACATGGCCTTCTCCTTGTGTGTCTCTTCTCTTCTTATCAGAACTCCAGTCACATTGGATTAAGGGCCCACTCTACTCCAGTATGACCTCATCCTACTCTAGTACATCTTCAATGATATCATTTCCAAATAAGGTCACATTCTGAGGTTCCAGGAAATACATGAATTCTTGGGGGCCCTCTTCAACCTAGTAGAGTCTGCAACCCAAAATTCACTTCTGCTCCATGTGCAAATTCATTCAGCCGCATCCCAACATCCCCCAAAGTTTAACCCAGCATCATTCCAGTGTCAACTCTTAAGTCCAAAATATCATCTAAATATAAACTCGAAAAGTCCCAAATCTCATTGTTTAAATGATCTAAAGCAGGTAATGACCTTGATTATGGTCCATTCTGGGGCAAAATTTCTCTCCTGCAACTGACTCATGAAACACTCAATCACCAGAATCTGCTGCCTGATCCTACAAGATGGGATAAGGGCAGGGAACTGTCTTATTAATAGTACTAACTTCAGTATTTAGGATAGTACCAGACAACCTGTTCATGCTCAATTAATGTTTATTGAACAAAGGAATAAAGGGCTCTGATTATCCAATGAGATAATAAAAACAAAAAATTTCTGAAAACTATATGATGAAATTAGAGTTTATTTAGGCTGCACTGGGTTTGCAGGGAAAATTAGTCTAGGCCTGGCACTGTGGCTAACGACTTTGGGAGGCTGAGGCAGGTGGATCACCTGAAGTCAGGAGTTCGAGACCAACCTGGCCAACATGGCAAAACCCTAAAAATGCAAAAATTAGCTGGGCGTGGTGGCAGGTGCCTGTAATCCCAGCTACGCAGGAGGCTGAGGCAGGAGAATCGCTTGAACCTGTGAGGCGGAGGTTGCAGTGAGTCGAGATTGCGTCATTGTACTCCAGTCTGGGCAATAAGAGCGAAATTGTGTCTAAAAAAAAAAAACTAGTCCATAGGCAACATTGCCCTTAAATAACCACAAGAAAAAGGTGGATTCTTTCTTCTGGAAGAAAACCAAAACCCAAAACTATAGGTACTATTTTGTGTGTCTTAGAAATGCGAACATCCTTCCTAAAGGTAAGAGAATGGATGAGGTGGTTTTGGAAGGCCTATCTAGTTTTGCGATTCTATAAGCCAAACAAAGACAAGAGACGGCTTTGCTTTATGTTACAGCAGAAGCTAATTGTCCACCCTTGTCCCTATGTCTTTTCCCTCTGCCTTCATTTACTGTTGACATCCAGTGAGGACTATCCTTCTGACAGGGTCAGCTAATAATATGCAGGGTTAGTGAAAAATGAAAATGCAGGACCCCTTATTCAAACATTTTTAAGAATTTCAAAATAGCACCAGTGGAGCACTAAACCAAGTGCAGGGCCCTTTCAAGAGCAGGCTCTGTGTGACTACATAGGTTCATATCCACAAAGCCTGCCTACCTCCTAACCTCTTAGCTCTTGCCACAGCTCTCCCTCAGATGATTTCTCGGGGAACACGTGGTCTGATAAACCTGTACTTTCTTGGAAATCAGGGACCTTGAGGGGCCACACCATCCATCTCTGGCTCTGTCCCAGACATAGATTTGCTGTCGTGTCAGCCTCTGGGTGGAGAGGTGTCATCTCAGCTTGTTTTCTTTACATAGGGACGTGCTGTAGAGAGCACAGCTGCTCATCTCAGTTGTACCCAAGATGTTTGGCAAGGCAAAAGTAAACTGCTTTTTGAAAAAGGAGGAAATCAAGGCATGGAGGAGTTGACTCCATCATCCAGGAGGACTTAAACTAGCCCATGCAGACACTTGGAATCAAAGGGCTCTGGAACTCTGTCCCCTTGGTGTTTTTTTTTTTTTTTTGAGACAGAGTCTCACTCTGTTGCCCAGGCTGGAGTGCAATGGTGGGATCTCGGCTCACTGCAACCTCTGCCTCTTGAGTTCAAGCGATTCTCCTGCCTCAGCCTCCCGAGTAGCTGGGACTACAGGCACATGCCACCACACCTGGCTGATTTTTGTATTTTTAGCAGAGATGGGGTTTGACTACTTTGGTCAGGTTGGTCTCAAACTCCTGACCTCAAGTGATCCACCCGCGTTGGCCTCCCAAAGTGCTAGGATTACAGGCCTGAGCCATCACACCTGGCCTGTCCCCTTGATTTTGAGTCTGGGCTCTTTCTGCTTAACCAACATGGCTTCTTGTACTTTGCTTATGTTTTTCTTCCCCTTTGTATAGTATCTGCCAAGTCTCTAGGGAGTGTTCCCATTTCTACCCTCCAGAGTCAGCAGGGGTGGTCACCCCGTCACCCCGACCCCACAGGGCTAGATCACCAATAGCCCAGAATGGGCCACAACATAATACCCCCATGGACTCTGGCCACTTGATTCCCTTTTTCCTGCCCCCACCTAACCACAGCCATCTCAGTCACTGCATGATGACAGGAGCTAGAGGGGTGCAGGCTGATGACAGTTAATTTTGTTGTTGCTTTCCTTGTTGACTGCACTTTGGTAGAAATGTGTTTTAACCAGATTATTGCAAAGCAGTGAGTGTCGCTCTGGTTTAGGTATTTGCAGCCAATTATGGTTTAATGTGAATGACAACAGGCAGACAACAATCTGCCAAACAACTCTGGCTTGCCAAGCTCCACAGAGTCGGGATGTGCTCCCAGACCCAATGGCTGGAGAGCCCCCACTCTTATCAGCAAGGTGATGTTTCATCTCCCCCAGCCAAGCTCTTCTCCCGGCACCTCCTGCTCCATCACTGGCCTTTGCACTTCATCTCTGCCCTGGCTCATTTCTTTGTGACACTCTTCTCCAGTGGGAGATGGGGATGAAGGAGAAGAACCCTGCACTCAACTCAGAGGTCTGGTCAGGTCAAGAGTTGTAGCTATCTTGTCCCGGGAAAAAGCACTGGGCTTGGAATCGGAAGATGTGGGGGCACATCCCAGCTCTGTCTCTTACTCAACTTACTCACTTAAGGGAGCTCAGCTTTCCTTTTGAAAATCTATAAAGTAGAGGCTATTACCTACCAAGTTTGCAGCGAGGATTAAATAAATCACACCATATGTGTGAAAGTGTCCGGCACACTATCTGACACATATTGAGCCGTTCATTGTTTGGTGAATCAGAGAAACGGGAGATTTCAAATGTCATTTTTGTCCAAATCCAACAGCAAAGGGTCCAGAATACTCATTTGTTTAATAAACATTTATTGAATACCCACTGTAAGATAGGTCTTATTTTTGGCCCCTTGGGGGATTATCTAACTACCCCAGAGATGGGATGAGATGACAGTCCAGGCCGTAGTGGGGAAGCAGCCCTGCCATTCACCTGTTTCTCTTTAGGAAGGATGAGAATGGAGTGTGTGCTTATTAAAGACACTTGCCATCATCATTTCAAAGAAGTGAGGTATAAAAAAATGGCAACAATAGTAGTAATTTTATGAGACCCAAATTCCAAGCTACAAGAGCAGCTCTGTGTGGCCAGCACAGTGCAGGCCAGCAGGACAGCTTCAGGCGGCCTCCACTGAGACGCACTCCTCCACCCCCTGCATCTGTGCTCCTGGAGACTGAGCTGTGGCTTGCAAAGATGGGACCACTGGTCATGCTTGACCAGTAGGGAGAGGAAGCAGGCAGGGGAAGCAGTGGCAGGAGATGGGAGGAGGGAGGAGGGCCGAGACGGGGTACTTAGCTCTCCATTTCTGCCCCAGTGGAGTCAACACCAGGCAGGCTAAGAGAAAACCACAGGTCCTATCTGGCAGCCTCTGCACAGCTTTCTCTTCAGGTCTGGTCACCACTCCAGCCCTTGACTCCTTCAGGCCTAAGGGTGGTAACAGATCACCCAGTCCCCGAAAAGCCCAGGGGTCTGCCCGCCATCTTGTGGTTTCCCTAAAGCCTGCTCACACCTTGCAGATAGTCTCATTTTTGAGCCGTCTTCAAACTTCCAAATTTAATTGTGCAAGTTTTCCTGCCCGGAATGATAGACACACAGGTGCTAAGGAGTTCAGAATCCAAGGAAGGAGATAGATTAGACCAAAAAGTAATACAATAAGCCAGGCACGGTGGCTCACACCTGTAATCCCAGCACTTTGGGAGGCTGAGGCAGGGGGATCACCTGAGGTCAGGAGTTGGAGACCAGCCTGGCCAACATGGTGAAACCCCATCTCTAGCAGAGCTTGCAGTGAGCCGAGGTCGCACCACTGCACTCCAGCCTGGGTGACAGAGCGAGACTCCGTCTCAAAAAAAAGAAACCCCGTCTCTACTAAAAATACAAAAAATAAGCCGGGCATGGTGGCACTCACCTGTAGTCCCAGCTACCTGAGAGGGTGAGGCAGGAGAATTGCTTGAGCCTGGGAGGTGGAGGTTGAGCTGAGATCGCGCCATTGCACTCTAGCCTGGGCAACAAGAGCGAAACTCCGTCACACACACACACAAAAGTAATACAATATATTGCATAATAAGTGGTTTCAGAAGGAAGATTTTAGTTTCAAAACAGTTTCTCACTTACCAGCTGGGTGAGTTTAAACAAGGAATTCAACCTCTTTGAAACTCAGTTTCCTGGTTTGTAAAATGAAGTTAATGATACCTGTTTGTAAAATGAAGTTGATACCCAGCCCTTAAAGTTGTGAAGACTGAGTAAGTTAAGTTTATGAGCCACTGAGTCTGGTGCCTGGCACACAGCAAGTGGTAAGTAAATGCTAGCTGCTGCTTCTTATTATCACTATTAATAATATTAATATTAGCTCTGTGTAAAACTTAAAGGATTTTTTTCTCTTTTCTAAACCAAAAAGTAACCTGAAACATATTTCTAAGATAAATTAGACAGATTTTTCACATTATGCAAAAACGTTGGGTCTTCGGGGAGAATTCCTGGCTATGAATTTGGCCAAATCTGAGTCTGTTGGCCTAGATCCTCTTTTCATCAGACCACTTGTTCCCGGCCAGGTGGTGATGCGCAGGCACCCCCTGGTCTATGTCGTGAGTCTGCTGATTCCTAGCATCTTTCTCATGCTGGTGGACCTGGGGAGCTTCTACCTGCCACCCAACTGCCGAGCCAGGATTGTGTTCAAGACCAGTGTGCTGGTGGGCTACACCGTCTTCAGGGTCAACATGTCCAACCAGGTGCCACGGAGTGTAGGGAGCACCCCTCTGATTGGTAAGCAGCCTCGGGGTCACTGGACACTCATCTTACATGACCCCTGTGAAAGATCTAATGCTGGCCAGGCATGGTGGCTCATGCCCGTAATATCAGCACTTTGGGAGGCCAAGGTGGGAGGACCACTTCAGCTCAGGAGTTCAAGACCAGCCTAGGCAACATAGTGAGACTTTACTAAAAATTTTAAAAATCAACAGGGCATTCAGTGCATACTCACTACAACCTCTGCCTCCTGGGCTCAAGCAATTCTCCTGCCTCAGCCTCCTGAGTAGCTGGGATTATAGGCACACACCACTACACCTGGCTAATTTGTTGTATTTTTAGTAGAGACGGGGTTTCACGATGTTGATCAGGCTGGTCTTGAACTCCTGACCTCAGGTGGTCCGCCCACCTCAGCTTCCCAGAGTGCTGGGATTACAGGCATGAGCCCACTGTGCCTGGCCGCTTTGTTTGTTTTTATCCCCAATTTCAACCAATTACCCAAAGTGACTGAGCCATTGATTTCAGCTATTCAGGAAGCTGAGGCAGGAGGATTGCTTGAGTCTAAAAGTTTGAGTCTGCAGTGAGCTATGATCCCACCACTGCACTCCAGCCTGGGTGACAGAGCAAGAACGGAAGGGAAGGGGAGGGGAGGGGAAGGGAGAGAAAGAGAGAAAAAGAAAGAGAGAAAGAGAGAAAAGAAGGAAGGAAGGAAGGAAGGGAAAAAAACAGAAGAGCAAGCCAGATGCAGTGGCTCACACCTATAATCACAACATTTTGGGAGGCTGAGGTGGGAGGATTGCTTGAGCCCAAGAGTTCAAGACAACATAGTGAGGACTTGTCTCTCTCTCTTTTTTTTTTTTTTTTGAGATGGAGTCTTGCTGTGTCTCCAGGCTGGAGTGCAGTGGTGTGATCTCCGCTCCCTGCAACCTCCGCCTCCTGGGTTCAAGCAATTCCCCTGCCTCAGCCTCCAGAGTAGCTGGGACTACAGGCGCCCGCCACCATGCCTGGCTAATTTTTTGTATTTTAGTATAGACGGGGTTTCACTATGTTGGCCAGGATGGTCTCGATCTCCTGACCTTGTGATCCACCCGCCTCAGCCTCCCAAAGTGTTGGGATTACAGGCGTGAGCCACCAAGTCCGGCCGTGAGGCCTTGTCTCTACCAAAAATAAAAAAAAATTAGCCTGGTGTGGTGGTGTGTGCCTGTAGTCCCAGCTATTCAGGAGGGTGAGGAGGGAGAATCACTTCAGCCCAATACGTTAAGGCTACAGTGAGCCATGATTGCACCACTGCACTCCAGCTTGGGCAATAGAGCAAGACCCTGTCCCTAAAGAAAACAAAAAAATCTGATGCTGCATTTCAGACTGGAGGCTAACTGCACCTCTTCTGGCTTCTCTCAGGGCACTTCTTCACCATCTGCATGGCCTTCTTGGTTCTCAGCTTAGCTAAGTCCATCGTGTTGGTCAAATTCCTCCATGATGAGCAGCGTGGTGGACAGGAGCAGCCCTTCTTGTGCCTTCGAGGGGACACCGATGCTGACAGGCCTAGAGTGGAACCCAGGGCCCAACGTGCTGTGGTAACAGGTGTGTGAGAAGCCTTGTGTTTCTCCCCCGTCTGGATTGATCACCTTAAAAATTCATTCCCGTTGATGATGTACTAGGTATTGCGTTGGCCTATGTGAAAAACCTACAACAACTGCTTCTTAGCCTGGGTGTGGCATTTTATATTATCTCTCTGGAGACTGAAGGCTGCCTGCTTCTGGCTTTCTAGAAAGTCTCATTTTGTTGTTTTTCTGTTTGTTTTGGTTTGGTTTTTTGAGACAGGGTTTTGCCATGTTGCGCAGGCTGGTCTCGAACTCCTAGGCTCAGGCGATCTTCCCTCCTTTGCCTCCCAAAGTGCTGAGATTGCAGGTGTGAGCCACTGCGCTCAGCTGAAAGTCTAATTTTGGCTTGAATTTCAGGCCCTCAGTTACTCTTTGTTTTGACAGAATCTCGCTCTGTCGCCCAGGCTTGACTGCAGTGGCACAATCTCTGCTCACTGCAGCCTCTGCCTCCCAGGCTCAAGCTATTCTCCTGCCTCAGCCTCCCGAGTAGCTAGGACTATAGGCGTGTGCCACCATGCCTTGCTAATTTTTGTATTTTTAGTAGAGACAGGGTTTCACCATGTTGGCCAGGCTGGTCTCGAACTCCTGACCTCAGGTGATCCACCCACCTCGGCCTCCCAGAGTGCTGGGATTACAGGTGTGAGCCTACCGCACCCAGCCTATTTGTTTGTTTTTATCCCCAATTTTAACCAGTTACCCAAAGTGACTGAGCCATTGATTTCAGAATAGCACAGTGCTGGCATGCACGTGCACACATGCATACAAGGAGCTTGTGTACATTTAGGTTCTAGTTGCTTAATGTGAACAAGTATAAGAATCATCCCAGCCCCTAAAGCTCCTACTGAGTCCATTTGGGCTGACCTCTAACTCAGAAACTCTCCTGGACGGATCTAGCACACATACACCCTGCTTACATAATAACAGCTCTGACGTGTTCTCTGAGGCTTCCTGCAGTACAACTTTGCCTCGCCTAATCGGGTGGGGAGAGTACCCAACCCAAACACAACCCACTGCTCAGTTTCACCTGCAACTTTCCTTGAAGGATGAGGCCATCAGCTTCAAGAGAAAGTCCAGGTGGGTCTTGGTAGTCCCTGGCTCACCCAGGGTGTTTTCCTCCATCACACAGAGTCCTCGCTGTATGGAGAGCACCTGGCCCAGCCAGGAACCCTGAAGGAAGTCTGGTCGCAGCTTCAATCTATCAGCAACTACCTCCAAACTCAGGACCAGACAGACCAACAGGAGGCAGAGTGGCTGGTCCTCCTGTCCCGCTTTGACCGACTGCTCTTCCAAAGCTACCTTTTCATGCTGGGGATCTACACCATCACTCTGTGCTCCCTCTGGGCACTGTGGGGCGGCGTGTGAAGACTGAAGTGTTCTTCAGTAATTGTGCTGGCACTTAGGAGAGAGAGGAGGGGGAATAATAGTGGGTTAAAAAGCTTTCTGGGTCGGGTGTGGTGGTTCTTGCCTATAGTCCCAGTGCTTTGGGAGGCCATAGCAGGAGGATTGCTTGAGCCCAGGAGTTCGAGACCAGCCAGAGCAACATAGTGAGACCACATCTCTACCAGTAAATAAATAAATAAATAAATAAATAAATAAATAAATAAATAGCTGGGCATAGTGGCTCATGCCTGTACTCTCAGCTACTTGGGAGGTTGAGGTGGGAGGATTGCTTGAGCCCAGGATTTCAAGGCTGCAGTGAGCCATGATTGCACCACTGCACCCCAGCCTGGGTGACAGAGCAAGACCCTGTCTCAAAAAAAATAAAATAAAAGGCTTTCTGCCTTCATTGCCTCTCCATTGAGTCCAGCTTCATACACCTAATAGTCTGCTGTGTGACCCAAGGATCATATGTTCATGAAAATGTATAAACAGTATGAGTATACAGTAAAAAAGTAAACTTTCCTTCTTATCCCAGTCCACTCACCCAAAGCAACCACTGTTAGTAATTTCTTCCAGAAGATTTCTAGGCACACACATGCATCTATGTATGGTTAAGCAGTTTTTTAAAAAGTGTAAGATAGCTCCATCTTCCAGCCCTGCCTTGGCCATTTATTCAGTCACCCATTCAACAAAACCTTTATTGAGTATTAAGTCCTAGGCATTATGTTAGGCACACCAGAGAATACAAAATAAGTCAGCACAGGTTATTATTCACTTGTTGTGATTCCCATGGTCAACCTGGTACCAACCAACCAGAGCATAAAATTCCTGCCATATCCCTCACCTTCTGAGGCTCTTGTTACCACTTCCCAGCTAAGTCCACTGCCTCCACCCTCTTCCTGTGCCCCTTCAGCAGTGCATCCCCACTGGAGAGAACCCAGGTGCCAAGGCTTCTTTTTTTTTTTTTGAGGCAGAGTCTTGCTCTGTCACCAGATTGGAGTGCAGTGGTGCAATCTTGGCTCACTGTAACCTCCACCTCCCGGGTTCAAGCAATTCCCCTGCCTCAGCCTCCCGAGTAGCTGGAACTACAGGTGCATGCCACCACACCCAGCTAATTTTCTGTATTTTAGTAGCAGGTGCCAAGGCTTCTAAGCCCAGTCTAGCACATCATTTAGTCCACACACAAGGGGCAATGCATGGAGTGGGAGGACAGGCATAGTTCACGGTCCTTTGCTTCAAGGAAGTTATAATCCACTGTCCCTGAACTAGTCAGCTAGGAAATACTACACACTAAGTTGCTTTAAGAGAGATTTATTTTCTCACCAGTCTGGAAGCTAGAAGCCTAAGATCAAGGTGCAAACAGGGTGGGTGGCTTTCTTCTGAGCCCTGTCCTTGGCTTGCAGGTTGCTGACTTCTTGCTTTGTTTTCACATGACCTTTCCTCTGTGCATGCTCATGTCTGTGTCCAGATTTTCTCTTCTAACAAGGGCACCAGTGTTGTTGGTTTAGGGTCCATCCTAGTGACCTCTTTTAACCTTAATCACTTTTTTCAAGGCCCTATGTTCAAACAGTCATATTCTGAGTACTAGGGGTTAGGATGTCAACATATGAATTTTGGGGAGTGGGCAGCAGACAAAGGGGACATATTTCAGCCCATAACACTAGTGATTCCGGAGGTTTAGCAAGTCCAGATTCTGCAGAGTAGGCTGGCAGGCTGGAGACCTGCTGACAGTCTTAACGCTGTCAGTAGAAGACACAAAAGTCCAAAAGCTGTTTGCTAGAAACTTTTTCCAGCACTAAAATTGCCTTTAGAAAAATCTGCCCCCCTCCATCCCCCCAAAGAAAAAGAATTTAAATTCAAACAGCCTTTACCTGCATCTTCCCTCTCTCATTACCTCCCAGTTAGTGCTCAGCGCCAATTGTCCATGAAATTCCACTGCTGCTGTTAATGAAATGAGGAACATAAGAAGTTTGTGAACAGGAAGTGTCCATGCAAACCTCCACCTGTTTCCTTCCTCACTTCCTACTTTCTACTGCTGGCCTCCTCTGCTTTGACGTGCTCAGTTAGGCATCACGGTCCTGATGTCACCTTAGCTTGCCATCCATGTCGATTCTGGCTTTCTCCACTTCCTCCTCCAGTTAACAGAGGAGGAAAGGAGGAAAAGGCCTGAGGTGAACTCCTCACTGTGGGGTCTCTCTCCTTCCCAACTATGTCTTAGAGAAAGCACCAGTGTCAGAGTCAGGAGTCCTGATGATTACGGTCCTGGCTCTGCCATTACCTAGCCAGGGGACCTCTGTGAGCTTAACTTCTCAGACTTCAACTTACCTTATTTGAAATTGGGGCTGTTTATATTTGCTCTACCCCTATCAAAGAGTTATGAGGATCAAAATGAAAAAATGTATTGAACAATGCTTTGAAAAGTAAATAATGGGGCGTGGTGGCTCACGCCTATAATCCCAACACTTTGGGAGGCTGAGGTGGGTGGATTACCTGAGGTCAGGAGTTTGAGACCAGCCTGACCAACATGGAGAAACCCTGTCTCTACTAAAAATACAAAATTAGCCAGGCGTGGTGGCACATGCCTGTAATCCCACCTACTCGGGGGGCTGAGGCAGGAGAATCGCTTGAACCCAGGAGGTGGAGGTTGCGGTGAGCCGAGATCGTGCCATTGCACTCCAGCCCGGGCAACAAGAGCTAAACTCTATCTCAAAAAAAAAAAAAAGTTTAAAGTGCTTTGGGAAGGGGGAGGGATAGCATTAGAAGATATACCTAATGTTAATGGGTGCAGCACAGCAACGTGGCACGTGTATACATATGTAACAAACCTGCACGTTGTGCACATGTACCCTAAAACTTAAAGTATAATTTAAAAAAAAGTAAATAATGCATCACAAAATAAAGATAAGACCTGCTTGCTATCAACAGATGGACTCCAGTCTTGAGTTTTTGGTGTGGGATCTGATTTCCAGCTCCCTCTATCAGAATCCAGTCATGGGGTCTGGTACTCTCCTCCAGTTGTTCCACTATTATAGGATCCAAAGGCCAAGGGCTGAAGTCATCACATGCCTCCTTACAGAGAAACTTGTGTGGCAGGGGTTGCCAAAGGGACTTCCCAGTCCATCTCACATGAAGCTCACCTTTGTTCCATTCGCAGATGACATTGCCCAGGTTCTTTACATCAGCCTCTAACAAGCAGCCCTTTAAGAGTGAAGCCTGGCCGCCAAACTGGTCCCCGGTACACTTCCTTCGTCTAGTGGCAAGTGGCCTTAATCACAACTGCAGCCCAGAACTCATTCAAAGCCCCAGAGTCAGGCCTGCATCCTGAAGCAATGACATTGTAAACCAAAAATAAAATTCTAAGGGCCCCCCAACCATCTGAATGGACTCCATCCTTTCAGTGAGGACATCCCAAAGACTGGGGTTCAGGCCATGATGGGCAGCGGGGGTCGGAAATGCCTCATGATGCCCTCCTCTCTTTCGGAATTCAGGAAAAGTTGACCAGCACCAGCATTAACATCAATACAGATCTTAAGTCTGATAAGAAACATTTACAATCTGGCTGGGCGCAGTGGCTCATGTCTGTAATCCCAGCACTTTGGGAGGCCGAGGCGGGTGGATCACTTGAGGTCAGGAATTCAAGACCAGCCTGGCCAACATAATGAAACCCCATCTCTACTAAAAATACAAAAATTAGCTGGGCATGGCGGCACATGCCTGTAATCCCAGCTACTTGGAAGGCTGAGGCAGAAGAATTGCTTGAACCTGGGAGGTAGAGGTTGCGGTGACCTGAGATCGCACCACTGCACTCCAGCCTGGGCAACAGAGTGAGACTCTGTCTCAAAAAAAAAAAAAAAGAAAAGAAACATTTACAATCTACTCTCTCTGAAGCCTGCTGCCTGGAAGCTTCATCTGCATGATAAAACTTTGGTCTCCACAACCACTTACCATAATCCAGACATTCCTTTCTATTGACAATAACTCTTTTAAACAATAGCCAATCACAAAAATTTTAAATCTACTTAGGATCTGAAACCCCTTGCCCCACTGGCTTTAAGTTGTCCCCCCTTTCTGGACGGAATCAATATGTATCTTAAATGTATTTGATTGATGTCTCATGTCTCCCTAAAACGTACAAAACCAAGCTGTGCCCTGACCACCTTGGGCACATGTTCTCAGGGTCTCCTGGGGGCTGTGTCACTGGCCGTGGTCACACATATTTGGCTCAGAATAAATCTCTTCCAATATTTTACAGAGTTTGACTCTTTTCTTCGACAACATCATGAACAAATGGCACTACAGATCTCCTCCTGGAATAGTGTCCCTCTGTGGTGGGAGGAATATGGGGTGCCAGCAGCCCTTATTTGCAGAGCAGCTTTAGCTCAGCCCCTCCAAATGTTCATACATTTCATGATTCCTGTTTCATAGAGAAAGGAAACTGAGGAACAGAGCAAAAATGGGATTCTCCCAGCTGTGAGCACTCCTACCATCTGCTCTTTCGCAGAATCCAAGGTGGTTTCAGCACTCACCAAGAAATCACAGCTCCAGTTCTGGGGACTTCACTGATGTCTAGAACAAAGACTTAGTTAACTCCCAGGCCAGCCAGGCAGCCCCAGTTCATCATGTTGTAGAACTTTCTCCTTAGTACAGCTAAAAACAGAGTCCTTGTCATACAGCCATGAAAAATTAGGCTTGCAGACACTTTGAAAATGGAATTTACTGGGCAAAAAAAAAAAAAAAAAAAAAAAAAAAATGGAAATAGGGACTCTCAGCAAAGCGAGAGTCTGCTAGCCAGTTTTCCCACCTCACAAATTGAATTCCTAGTTACCACATCCCAGAACAGGAGAGAGAGGCCAGGCTTCTCCTCCCCGCAGAGGGCACGAACTTTCCATGGCTCTACCCTGCTCTTCCAGCATGCGGGCTGGTCAGGGGTTCTCCAGGGATCTTCCCCCTTTGTACTTGGCTCTCTTAATTATATTTCTTTTTTTTTTTTCTTTTTTTTGAGACAGAGTCTCACTCTGTCGCCCAGGCTGGAGTGCGGTGGTGCGATCTTGGCTCACTGCAGTCTCCACCTCCTGGGTTCAAGCGATTCTTGTGTCTCAGCCTCCTGAGTAGTTGGGACTACAGGCATGCGCCACCACACTTGGCTAATTTTTGTATTTTTAGTAGAGACAGGGTTTCACCATGTTGGCCAGGCTGGTCTCGAACTTCTGACCTCAGGTGATCCTCCCACCTCAGCCTCCCAAAGTGCTGGGATTACAGGTGTGAGCCACCACGCCTGGCCTCAATTATATTACAAGACGACTTCTGAGTGCTGCTCTGATGACCTCCCCGAGCCTCTGCAGCCTTGAGTATTGCCAATAATCAGGTGGCAGAGGGTCTCCTTTTCCTCCCAAGATACCCGCCACACCTTTTGCAGTTGTCCTAGAGGAGCAGTAGCTGCCATGATAAAGGAAGCTGAGTTTTTCACCTTTTAAACCACTGTGACACAGCACGTCTCCTGGGGTCTGACGTCCCAGCCTGGATGAGCCAGAACCGGGAAGCAAATGAGAGTGGCCATGAGGGGAGCCAGAGTGAAAGTGCCGTTGCTAGAATGCATCCTCCTCTCAGCTCAGCCTCAAGGCTTCCCCAGATGCTCTCCCTTCTCAGAGATCTAATGACACATGTTAAGGCAAGGTTAGTAGAAGTGGGTGGAGTCTGAATTTTATCCTGCCCTGTGGCTCTGAGGCTTCTAGGAAACTTCAGAGCTTGGGTTTTAAGGTAAAATCCACCAATCAATTCTTGCATGGTGGATTGTCTCCTCAGGGCAGAGAGCCCTTCGGGAAGGCCGGGCTTCCTTCCTTGCAACCCCCTCTGTGACCCTGGGCTCCACCTCAGCCATCACCCTGTCGAGCTTAGCCTACCTTGTCCTGTTCCCTCGATCAGACTCCATCTCAGCAGCCGGAACTGCTCAGTCCTGACTTATTTACCTGCGGAGACAGTAAGAGCTTCATAATTAGCTGAGCAACAGCATGGAGGCTTTTATGAGCAGCCACGCTCCCCCCACACTCTGGTGTCCGTAATTGAAATGACCCACGCCAGTGATTAGATTAGGGGGCTGAAGAAGCCCAGCACGCTGCTCCCCGTCCTGTCGGGGAGGTGATGTAATTAAGTTTGTGCTTCATTTGGCAGAGGCTATAAAGCAGGAATTGCATCAAGGTTTTCTGCAGGGGTGGAAGGAACTGCTGGGCTGTGGGCGGCCTCTGTGTCAGGCAAGACTACAGATCTGAGTGAGAGGGAGCCCCTTGCTCCCCCTTTACCTTACCCTCTGTACCTCTCCCACAGCCTGTGTTGGCCTTTGAAGGCCTGGGGTGTGTGTAAGTCTAGCGGGAAGGTCATCCCTCCTCAGTGTCACTGGTAACCCGGGCTGCATGTGGACAGCCAGCTCCTGGTCACCCTGCTCATCCTCTTTGAAGAGCGCCAGGCTGAGAGCAAGGGAATCGGGTGCTGTTGGCAGTTCTTTTTCTCCCCATATCCCTGCCCAGTCTCGGCTTGCAGCTCTTCCTTCCACAAGCCTCCTTCTCTACCCCAGCCCCATTCTCCTGCGGTCTCTTCCCACCACCTGCCCTTTTGCACGCGGGGCTGGCTTTGGCCAAGTTGTGCAATAGCTGAAGTTTCTTCTCATTCCTTCCTCTTTCCCACGCGTATCTACCCAGGGACCTATGTCGGCACACTGCCCAAAGGACATCTCACTGTTGTGTTCTTCCCAAATCTACCTTCCCGGACACTGTGCACAAATGAGACCAAAAATCCTTCCACTGTGCCAATGCCTTTTAAATACAGTCATTTAAAATTAATCTGTTCTGAAATACAAACTGGTGAAATGAGTTCATGCCACATTTTCAACCTGGGGTATATTATCCCTAGCATGGCTCAGCAGTGTGCTAGCTATACTCAAAACCCCAGAATGAACATGATTTCCCTTCTAAAGCATTGGTTTTACTCAACAGTATATTGTTACGAGAATTATTTACTTTCCTATGAAAATACATACTGATATATTTTGGTGAAGAAACAAAAATTTAGAATAAAACCTTAAAGATACAACTTTATTTTTAAAAATATTTTATTTTTAATTATTAGGGGTACATATTTATAGGGTACATGTGATATTTTGATACAAGTATACAATGTGTAATGCTCAAATCAGGGTAACTGAAATATCCATCATCTCAAGAATTTATCATTTTTTTGTGTTAGGAACATTCCAACTCCACTGTCCAGTTATTTTGGGTTTTATTTATTTGTTTGCTTTGAGACAGAGTCTCGCTCTGTCACCCAGGCTGGAGTGCAGTGGCACGATCTCAGCTCACTGCAACCTCCGCCTCCTGGGTTCCAGCGATTATCCTGCCTCAGCCTCCTGAGTAGCTGGGATTACGGGTACACACCAGCAGGTCTAGCTAATTTTTGTATTTTTTAGTAGAGACAGGGTTTCGCCACGTTGGCCAAGCTGGTCCCGAGCTCCTGACATCCAGTGATCCACCCACCTCAGCCTCCCAAACCGTTGGGATTACAGGCATGAGCCACTGCGCCCGGCCTCACTCTTTGGTTATTTTGAAATGTACAATAAATTATTGTTGACTATAGTTGTCCTATTGTGCTACTGGTCACTAGATCTCATTCCTTCTATCTAACTGGATTTTGTACCCATTAACTATTTCCTCTTTACCCCCCCTCCCTCCCCACTACCTTTCCCAGCCTCTGGTAACCATCGTTCTGCTATCTCCATGAGTTCAACTGTTTTGTTTTGTTTTGTTTTGTTTTTAGCTCCCACATATAAATGGGAACATGCAATGCTTGTCTTTCTGTGCCTGGCTTATTTCACTTAACATAATGACCTCCAGTTCCATTCATGCTGCAAATGACAATTTAATTCTTTTTTATAGCTGAATAATATTTCATTGTGTGTATGTACCACATTTTCTTTATGCATTCATCTATTGATGGACACTTAGGTTGATTCCATATTAAAGATAAAACTTCAGGCTTCATGGAAGGGGATCCTTTTTGGCTCTGCCCTTGCTTTAAAATATATCATACTAATACAAAATTTGAGGTATTGGCAAGGCCAACAGATCAGGAGACAATTGCTGGAAAAGATAGTTTATTATTCCTAGTTCCCAACAGGGGAGCATGAGCCACACTTCACCGTGGGAAGTGGGGCATGCAAGCAGAAAACACCCAGGTTGATTACAGGGTTAGGGGGTGGGGAGGCGCTGTGAGGAAGAGCCTTAATTGTTTCTGCGGGAAAGAGCAGGTAAGGCAGGGTAAGCAGGCTTAGGACGGGCTAGCGTGAATCATTTCAGGGGACTCTGGGGCATGGCAGCTCTCCCTAGTTGTCTGATATCCGGCTCTGAGATGATTAGGGCATGTGGATAGTGGCCTGGAGTATGAGAACCTGATAAAAAAGGTTACTGGGGATGTGGGCACTGGATTGGTTTGTATTTGAAAAGTTTGCTTGTAGGCGAGTTGTTTGCTATCTCTAGGAATTGGCTATCCCTGGAAGGGGCAGTCTCGCCAGGGTCAGCAAGGCCCCAGATGTCAAAGCATCAGAATATAAAAAATAAAAGACAAGGTTAATACAGCCCCTCTGAGATTCCAGTCAGGACGTATCCTTTTCTTCTGGTTTTCTGGGTAGGTTAGCAGAAATGGGCAGCAGAACTCAAAGGACTGGCTTAAGAGGTGAAAATGTTGGATATTGTGGCAAGCATGCAGGAAAAGTTATTTGAGGAAAGCAATACCTGGGCAAGACATATTCATTCATGCATTAATCCACTCACCCACTCATTTGGTAGTAGTAGTTTGAGCATCAGCTCTGTGTCAGGGGCCTTGCCAGGTGCCAGAATAGCACCTTGAATAGGACACTCAGAGTTTCTGGCCTTGAAGGAGCTTTTAATCCAACAGAAGTGGTGCAGTAAAAAGAATACAGGTTTGGAGGTCAGAAACATGCATTTAAGTTCCATTACAGCACAGTTACTTAAAGCTGACATGGATTTCCTCTGAATGCAAACCTGATGGTTTGGCAGAAGCTGCCTGGAGTATTGTCTGGAGATAGATTTTTGGGCCACCAGTGGGGTCTGTGGGAAAGCATGCTGTAATGAATTAGTGCTGTCAGCCACAGGTGACATCAGGTGAGGGATAATCAGAGCTTGCCATGTGCCAAGCACTGTGCTGATGCTTTGGGTGGCAGTATTCTAGACCATTAGAATTTCTCTCGGTAGGTTGGTAGATAGGGAGGTAGGTAGGTAGATAGGTAGGTAGATAGATAGATATATAGATAGATAGATAGATAGAGTTATGGATAATACTAGGGATGTTATGAAAATTATATATATGAAGATATATATAATGACATCTCATAATATGTATAATCCTCATAATAACCTTAGTATTATCATTCCCATTTCACAGTTGAAAAAAGACTGAGGCACAGACAGATTAGGTAAATTGCCCAAGATTACTGAGCTAGAAAGTGACCAAACTAGGATTCAAATCTAAGCATCCTGGGTTCAGACTCCATGCTCTTGGACAGGTGCACTCTGACTCTAGACATGCTCCCTTCACCTCTTTCTTTTAAATAGAGACAGGGTCTCACTCTGTCACCCAGGCTAGAGTGCGGTGGCACAATCTCACCTCACTGCAACCTCAACCTTCTGGGCTCAAGCGATCCTCCCACCTCAGTCTTCCAGGTAACTGGGACTACAGGCATGCACCACCATGCCCAGCTAATTTTTGTATTTTTTGTAGAGATGGGGGTCTCACTATGTTGCCCAGGTTAGTCTTGAACTCCTGGACTCAAGGGATCCACCTGCCTCAGCCTCCCAAAGTGCTGAAATTACAGGCGTGAGCCATTGCGTCTTGCCGAGCTTTACTTCTTAAAAGCCACTCATATTTGCCAACTTTATATGTAAGAGGGAGGGGCTCATGTTATAATAAATTAATTTCATTTCCAACCCCACCACTCATTTGGTTTGTGACTCTGGGCAAGTTACTTCACTATCTTAGAATCTCGGTTCTTTTCCATCTGGAAATTCTAGAAAGAGGTGGGTTTTGTTTGTTTGTTTGTTTGTTTGTTTGAGACAGTCTCACTCTGTCACCCAGGCTGGAGTGCAGTGGCACGATCTCGGCTCACTGCAACCTCTGCTTGTCCTGGGTCCAAGCGATTCTCCTGCCTCAGCCTGCTGAGTAGGTGGGATTACAGGCACCCACCATCACGCCCGGCTAATTTTTGTATTTTTAGTAGTGACAGGATTTCACCTTGTTGGTCAGGCTGGTCTCAAACTCCTGACCTGAAGTAATCTGCCCACCTCGGCCTCCCAAAATGCTGGGATTACAGGAGTGAGCCACTGCACCCAGCCTAGAAAGAGGTGTTTTGCTGAGGTATTGAGAGAATGGAATAAGATAGATTTATTGTTCAGTTCTCAGGGAGTGGGGAGGGATAGCTTTAGGAGACATACCTAATGTTAAATGACGAGTGCAGCACACCAACATGGCACATGTAAACATATGTAACTAACCTGCACGTTGTGCACATGTACCCTAAAACTTAAAGTATAATTAAAAAAAAAAGAAAAGATAAGATTTATTAAGTGCTGAGCACAGTGCCTTGCACTCAGGCATTGAAAGGATAGGAATTCTTCTTCATCACCACCTTACCACAGGGCTGTTATGAGAGCCCAGGGAGATCACATATGAAAGCGCTTTGTAAACTCGCCGGGTTTGCTCCTCAGAGTGTGGGTCCAGGACCAGCAGCATTAGCATCGCCTGGAGACTTGTTAGAAACGCAGAATTTCAGGTCCTCCCAGACCTCCTGAATCTGAGTCTGATTTCGAAGTGTTCTCTCAGGGGAGTGATGTGCACATTGTCTTTGGAGAAGCAGGGATGGAAGAACGATGGAGGTAAAAGGTGAGAGCGCAGACTCAGGGAGGCCTGAGGAGCTGGGTGTTCAGGGGCAGCCCAGCGTTACATGCAGCCCACCCCTGCTGCCAGGACAGCTGGGCCCACGGGGCACCTGCCAATCACTGTGCTGCACACGGTAATCTCCCCGCCTCACAATCAGAGCAGTCAAGCACTCAGCACAGCTGGGCAGCTGAATTATAGGCTGCAGGCAGATGGCAGAGATGGCTCTGCGTGTGCCGTCCAAGGAGAGAGTGAGTGAAGGGCAAAGAGGGCCTCTTCCACAGCCCCCTTCCCCTGCAGTGAACACCCTCTTTTCTGGAGAACAAGACTGGGCTGCCAGCACCAGCGATCAGGTGGCCCCCCGTTTCCCAGAGCTCACTTGCTGCCCTGGGCCAGCCTCCGGGCCCTCCTGCTTGCTGACTTATGGTCATGGTACCTTAAGGGACCATCTGCCCGGTGCCCTTAGTTGTGTGAGTCCCTCTTCCTGAGGGAGAAGCTTTCTTTAGCTGACTCTCCTCCTACAGATGCAACCTTTTTGTTCATCCAAATGCTTCCCTTTCCCCGGAGCGTGAAACATAAGACATCAGGTGGAGGTAGGCCTGAGACCAGAGGTACCATGCGGTTGTCATCCTTCTGTTTCTCCAGTTTCTACCACAAAGGCTGGCACAGGGCAGAGGACTGGAGAGTTCTGGCTGAAGGAACATCCATGCCATTTTGCCCGGAAGGTAGCCAGCTGGGCTGCAGCGAGGGAAGTGCCTGGCCACCATCTCCTACCAGAGCCCTGGTGGTGGAGAGTGATGGGGAAAGAATCCCAGGTGACAGGGGAGGCTGTGCTGCTGCCACTGCTCCTTCCCTTTCCTCCCAGAGGTGCCAGTGCTTGGCGGAGGCATCACTCTTGTAGACTGGATGCTCTGTCTTCTCATTCTGGTCCCAGGCTGCCGAGTGGCCTGTTCTCCCTGCCGCCACCGTGTCTCAGCCCTGGTCCCTGGGAGGGATGAAAGCTCTCTCCGTCTTCCTGATCTTCCCTTTCTGGTGATATTTCAAACACCCATTAGGTTTTACAGGGTATTGCTTCCAAGGCTACAGGAGATGGCTCTGGGGCTGCACTCCAGGCACTTAGGTCCCCCTGAGCCTGTTGACAATTCTGCCACGCAGCCTGTCCTCCCATCACACCCTACCCCCTTGCGCTTCAGCCACCACATCCCTCTCCCTGCCATCCTGAGCTTGACACAGAGGGCACTAGGCAGAGCCCAAGCTTGTCACTGTGCCTTTATAGGCCTGGGGTCCCCTACTCTGCTTCTTTGGGCAGCAGAGAGAGAGTGTGTGTACATGTGTCTGAGGCAGTAACTTGAAGTTGGAGGAGAATCTAGACCAACTCATGCAAAGCTCTCATTCTGCAGATGAGGCTGAGAGAAAATAAAAATATACCCAAGATAACACTAAAGACAATGATAATGATTACTGATAGCTACTGAAATGGGAAGCGTGTATGTGTCATGCATTGTATGAGGACTTTCCATGGTGAAGCTAATTTAGCCCACATGACCATCTTCCATGGTATGTTACATTTACAAATACAGAAACTAAGGCTCAGCCAGTTTAAGAAACCTGCCTACCATCACACAATGAGTGAGTGAAAGAGCAGAATTTGGTATTAGGATTATTTGCTTGAACATCAAGCAGCTTTAGTAGCTTCCTCTGAAAAGCAAAGTGGTGAGAGTAAGAGCCCACGCCCCTCCCACCCCAGGGAGCTGTGGAGGCTCCTGGGGTGAAAGCTGCAAAGGTGAGGGGTTATCATCCCCATGCAGTGTTATACCCAGCTGGGGAAGAGGCCCCCGCTCCAGAAGAGAAGATGCACACATTGCCTTGGGCTAGAATCCTGAGGCCTCCACAGGGGCCTCCCTGCCCAGGCTAAAGAAATGTAAATGGGAAGGGAAGTGGGGAAGGGAGAGGTGTCAGAAATGGGGCTGGGCTAGGTCAGCATGGTGGCTCACGCCTGTAATCCCAGCACTTTGGGAGACTGAGGCCAGGTGGATTACTTGAGGTCAGGAGTTCGAGACAAGCCTGGCCAACATGATGAAACCCCATCTTTACTAAAAATACGAAAATTAGCCAGGCATGTGGTGAACACCTGTAATTCCAGCTACTCAGGAGGCTGAGGCAGGAGAATCACTTGAACCTGGGAGGCGGAGATTGCAGTGAGCTGAGATCATGCCACTGCACTCCAGCCTGGGCGACAGAGCAAGACTTCATATCAAAAAAAAAAAAAGAATCTTATTCAGATCACCTCATTAAGTCCTCCCCAAAACTCTGGGGTAGGTGACAGTATCCATCCTCCCTTCAGAGAGGCTGACTAACCTGTCCAAGGCATGTAGCTAGGAAGTGGCAGAGCTGGCATTTGAATGGTGTTAGGACAGGCTAGGTTATTGCTGTGGTAACACATGATCCCCAAATCTCTGTGGCTTACGACAGCAAGCTCTGTGCCCACAGAGGTCAGCCCCAGCTCTGATCTTATGTCCTCGCCCTGAGACCCAGGCCGCTGCAGCCTCCATTGCGAACATCACCAGTCACCACAGCACAGAAAGATACACATGTGGCTGGGTGTGGTGACTCACGCCTGTAATCTCAGTACTTTGGGAAGCTGAGGTAGGTGTGGATCATTTAAGGTCAGGAGTTCAAGACCAGCCTGTCCAACATGGTGGAACCCCATCTCTACTAAAAATACAAGAATTAGGCAGGTGTGGTGGCAGGCGCCTGTAGTTCTAGCTACTCGGGAGGCTGAGGTAGGAGAATCACTTGAACCCAGGAGGTGGGGGTTGCAGTGAGCCTAGATCATACCACTGCACTCTAGCTTGGGTGACAGAGCAAGTGACTCTGTCTCAAAAAAAAAAAAAAAAAAAAAAAAAGGAATGCCATGCACGGTGACTCATGCCTGTAATCCCAGCACTTTGGGAGGCTGAGGTGGGCAGATCACGAGGTCAGGAGTTTGAGACCAGCCTGGCCAATATGGTGAAACCCGTCTCTACTAAAAATACAGAAATTAGCAGGGCATGGTGGTGTGCACCTGTAATTCCAGCTACTAGGGAGGCTGAGGCAGAAGTATCGCTTGAACCCGGGAGGTGGAGGTTGCAGTGAGCCCAGATTGCACCACTGCACTCTAGCCTGGGAGACAAAGGGAGCCTCCATCTCAGGAGAAAAAAAAAAAAGAAGATACACACGTCCTTTCTGCTCACAACTCAGTGTCCTACTGTCCTTGTCGTGCAACCCACCGAACCACCACAAGGCCAGGAAGTACAATCCTTACAAGTGCCCAGAAAGGGGGAGAACTGGAATATTCGAGGCACAGTGCTCACAGTTACCACATAGTTTCTAATCACCAAGCTCGACTCAGTCCCTCAGTGCACTGAGCTGCCATTTCCTCATCGGAAAGGTGGGAATAGTAATTCTACCTTGCAGGGTCATTGTGGTGAATAAATGAGACAATATACAAAAATCTCAAGCCTAGGAACACTGAGTCGTAGCCATTAGTATGTTCATGTGTGAAGTTCAGGAATACTCTGGGGCTGTTCAGTTCGACCCTTTTTCAGTGCAATGACAAATCAAGATACGGGATTTAGAAGAGTCCTCTGAAACAAGAGGACAAGTTTGGGAAATGCTGCTGCTCTCTGAGTGCATGAAACCACCTTCAGGGAACCCAGAGAGAAAGGAAAATTTCCAGGAGGACAATCAGTGGCAACAGCCAATGTGCAAATGTGATTATGTCAGCATACACGCAGACTGCTGAGCGCTTCTCCAGGACTCTTCATTTAAGACTAATTAAATGCTTGGAACCAGGAAGATTGAGAGGGTCCTCTCCAGGAAGCTATTCCAGGCCAGCAAGACACTTCAGGGTCTATTTACAGAGGTGGAACGCTCCAGAGGAGGAGGAAGAAGAGGGTAGCTCAACTGAGAGCACTCCAGAGGAGGAACAGGAGGCCAGAAGGGCTGAAAATCACTCAGGATATTGCAGGGTCCTCCCGCCCCAACCTTGGCCTCCGAGGGTCTGAGGTTTTGTGTGATGTAAGAAAACAAAACTAGGGTTTGTGCTGGTGATTGCAAAATGAGAACTGCCTGTGGAATGGCATGGGTTCGTTTTCCTTTGCCACGGTGAAGAATTACCATAAATTTAGCTGCTTGAAACAACACAAGTTTATTGTCTTACAGATCGGGAGGTCAACAGTCCGAAGTCAGTTTCACTGGGTTAAACCAATTCTGCCAGCCGAGTTGGTTCCTTCTGGAGGTTCTCAGGGGAGAATCTGTGCCCTTGCCTTTTTCAGTTTCTAGGGGTCACTGGCATTCTTCAGTTCATGTCCCCTTCCTCCGTCTTCAAGGCTCAAATCCAGTTTCTGCTTCTGTCATGCACAGCCTTCTCTTCCATCATCAAATCTCCTTCTGCCTTCCTCTAATAAGGACACTAAATCAGTACATTTAGGACGGACCCTGGCAACCCAGTACAACTTCTCATCTTAAGATCCCTAATTTAATCACATCTGTAATTTTCCCTTTTGCCGTCTAAGGTAAGAGCTATAGGTCCCAGAGATTAGGACCTGGGTATCTTTGGGGCCATTATTCAGGATACCACACAAAGCTTTTGAGATGGTTTGAATAGCAAAAGGGCAACAATTGTCTTAGGCCATCTTGCATTGCTCTAAAGGAATACTCAAGGCTGGATAATTTATAAATAAAAGTTTGTTTGCCTCATGGTTCTGCAGACTATACCAGAAGCATAGTGCCAGCATCTGCTTCTGGTAAGGGCTTCAGGAAACTTCCACTGATGGTGGAGGGTGAAGGGGAGCAGGCTTCACATGGTGAGAGAAGAGGAAAGAGAAAGAGGGCAAGGCAGCTAGGCTCTGCAACAACCTGCTCTTGTATGAACAATTCGAGCAAGAACTCACTCATCACCATGGGGAGGGCACCAAGCCATTCAAGAGGGATCCACCCCCATGACACAAACTCCTCCCACTAGGCCTTACCTCCAACCTTGGGGATCACATTTCAAAACATGAGATTTGGAGGGGACAAACATCCAAACTATATCAACCGTGAACCCAACTGCATCCATAGATCTTCCACTTGGCCCTGGGGTAGGAAGCACCCTGCAGGCCTAGCTGTGTATGGAACCTGTGTGATGACCCCCAGCAAGCCTGTCTACACATCTCCCTTCAGCCATGTCGCCAGTGCCCAATAGACAGTGATACAGAGCAGTAATCATGTCATGATTACTGTCATGTAATCAACCAATGATTACATGAGTTGACTCCAAGAGACATGTCGTGGAATCAACCAATCTATTAGCAGTCATGATTTCGGCGTCCGTGTCCTGTGGCTGGCAGTTCAGACCTGGGGCCCTGCAGATTCTCTGAGGAGGAGATTCAGTCAACAAATATTTATTGAGGTCCTACTATGTGTCGGGCACTATTCCAGGCACTTGGGATAGATACATCAGTGAACAAAGCACACAGAGGTCCCTGCCTTCATGGCGCTAAAGTTCCATCATTAGAGACAGACAGTAAAGAATCAATTGAAGTCAAAAGAAGTTAACTGTGTAGAATGTTAGGTACTAATGGGGCTATGGAAAAATAGAAAAAGTAGGGCAGGGGAAGAGGGATCAGGCATGAGAAGGTGGGATGGGGCAGATGAGGGTATTATATGGAGTAGCCACGGGAGGCCTCACTGAGCAGGGGAGATTTATGTAGACTTGAAGGAGAGGGTATTTGCCAAGTGGACATGCAGAGCGGGGAGCTCCAGGCAGAGGGGAGAGCTGGGGCAGAGGCTGTAAGGCAGAGCACACCTGGTCTGTGCAAGCAACAGAAGGAAGGCCATGAGGTTGGAGTGGGCAGACTGATGGAGAAAGTCACAGCAGGCCGGGTGTGGTGGCTCATGCCTGTAATTCCAGCACTTTGGAAGGCTAAGGCAGGTGGATCACTTGAGGTCAGGAGTTCGAGACCATCCTGGCCAACATGGTGAAACCCTGTCTCTATTACACATACAAAAATTAGCCAGGCATGGTGGCAGGCACCTGTAATCCCAGCTACCAGGGAGGCTGAGGTGGGAGAATTGCTTGAACCCAGGAGGTGGAGGCTGTGGTGAGTCAAGATCACACCACTGCACTCCAGCCTGGGCGATACTCCTGGACGACTTGTCTAGTCGGAGGGGGGGGGGGAAAGAAAGTCACATCAGGAGAAGACAAAGAGGTAACAGGGGCCAGATGAGCTATGAGGGCCTCTGTGCAACTAACCAGGCCAAACCTGAAAAGAAAAAAGAAGACAAAGCAAATGAGGGCTGCAAG
Source organism: Homo sapiens (assembly GCF_000001405.40). NCBI lineage: Eukaryota > Metazoa > Chordata > Mammalia > Primates > Hominidae > Homo > Homo sapiens. The sequence goes on from NC_000011.10 coordinate 113,963,419, forward strand.
CACTCTGGTACGAGACTCACGAAAATCCTCCGAACTGGGAGCTAGTTCCTGTGTTGGGTGTTGTGTGACCTTGCTCGAGTCACCTATCACTGCAGAGATTCACTTTCCTCACTTATAAATTGTGCAGCTTGCACCAGATTCATTCACTCATCCACCCATTCCACAGGCTCTGACTAGCACCTCTGAGGCCCCAAGCACATGGACCAGCACTGCAGACACTAAGATGAGTCTCTGCCCTCCCTGTCCAGAGTCCTTCCAGCTCCAACACTTGGGGCTGAAAGAATTGAGGGGTTTGTGCCCAGAGAAGAGAAGGTGTTATGGTGTAAGGACTTTCACATAAAAAAGAAGTTAGTCCCAAAGGATAGGACCGGATGGGTGGAAGTTTTAGGGAAACAGTTTTGGGGATCAGTGTAGAAAAGAGTTCTCCAAAAATGAAATGGGCTATCCTGAGAGGTCTCATCACTGGAGGTCTGCAGAGGCTGAAAGATCATTTGCTGGGATGTCATCAAGGTTTGTGTGCTGGGAAGAGGCTGGACTAGATGATTTTTAAGGCCCGAGGGAGTTTTCTCTGCTATCTCTATCTCTGGAGGACTTGGACACCAAGACAGGCTTGTGTCCTTTGGGATGTGCTGAGGGTCTTGCTTTCGGCTGGGGATGGGCTGCCCTCCCACAAATGCTGAGGTGAATGACACAGTGAGAGACAAGACTAGCTGGATTTCCTAGGCTGACTAAGAATCCCTAAGCCTAGCTGGGAAGGTGACCGCATCCACCTTTAAACACGGAGCTTGCAACTTAGCTCACACCTGACCAATCAGGTAGTAAAGAGAGCTCACTAAAATGCTAATTAGGCACAAACAGGAGGTAAAGAAATAGCCAATCATCTATTGCCTGAGAGCACAGCGGGAAGGACAACCATGGGGTATAAACCCAGGCATTCGAGCCAGCAACAGCTACCCTCTTTGGGTCCCCTCCCTTTGTATGGGAGCTCTGTTTTCACTCTATTAAATCTTGCAACTACACTCTCTTCTGGTCCGTGTTGGTTACCGCTCGAGCTGATCTTTCGCTTTCCATCCCCCACTGCTGTTTGCCGCCGTTGCAGACCTGCCGCTGACTTCCATCCTTCTGGATCCAGCAGGTTGTCTGCTGTGCTCCTGATCCAGTGAGGCCCCCATTGCCACTCCTGATTGGGCTAAAGGCTTGCCTTTGTTCCCGCATGGCTAAGTGCCCAGGTTCGTCCTAATGGAGCTGAACACTAGTCACTGGGTTCCACGGTTCTCTTCTGTGACCCACGGCTCCTAATAGAGCTATAACACTCACTGCAGGGCCCAAGGTTCCATTCCTTGGAATCCGTGAGGCCAAGAACCCCAGGTCAGAGAACACGAGGCTTGCCACCATCTTGGAAGCAGCCCGCCGCCACTTTGGAAGCGCCCGCCACCATCTTGGGAGCTCTGGGAGCAAGGACCCCCGGTAACAACAGTGGCCCCGGGGCAGGAGGGCGACGTGACCTCCTCAGTGGGTCTTGCCTCTCCACAGGGTAGTGTGGGCAGAATTCTCATAAGGTGAGGTGTCCCCTCAGAGGAACAGGGATGTGGCACCTCACTGCCTCCACCCTTTCTCCCACGCCTGCCCTCTCCTCATTGTCTCATCTCTCTGTCTACTCATTCCGGACTACAGGCTCCGTGTCCCAGAGCATTTCCTTTCTCTAGCTAATGGCAGCTTGGGGGCCCAAATGTTCCCCATGGCCAGTGAGTTCCATTGTGTTTCACTGCTCGAGACAGCAGCAGACCAGAGTCCAGGCAGCAGTGGGACAAGGACTGTCTGCTGAGCGCATTCCCAGAAATAGAGGAGGCAGCCAAGGATTCCAGCTCCAGGGCTGGTGGCATCCTTCCCCCTCAGTTGACTGGCCTCTGAGGGAGCAGGGAGAGCCCCAGAGCACAGGTGTATTTTGCCAGATCCCCCTACTTATCTGCTAATGCCACTCATTCATTCAACAAATATTTGTTGAGCATCTACTATGTAACAGACACTCTTCCAGGTTCTGAGATTGGAACCAACAAATTATATAAAAATATCTGCCTTGTAGAGCTTACATTCTAGTGGAGGCAGGGGCAGAGAGAGATCATAAGCCAGAAAAATACCCAATACATACATGTGGTATGTTAGATGTTGACAAGTGCTATGGAGAAGGACTCTAGAGAGTATTAGGGGGTATAATTTCATCTATAAAATACGGTGGTGGATGGAGAAGGTCTCACTGAGAAGTTGATCTTTGAGGAAGTTGATGGTCACTTGGGTCACACTTGAGCTATTGCTTTCCAATCCTCTCTCCAGGATCTGCCCTCAGGCCTTGGAGACAAGCTGCTCAGAATAATCCCTCTTATGTTATACTGCTGTATTTAACTCTTTTAGACTGTTCATGACCTATTCATTTATTTATTAATCCTCTCAATCTCTTCTATTTGTAAATAAAAGGGACATATGGTTTGTTACGGGTTATATAATTTCATAGTTTGCTGAGTATATGCTACATATGCTGAGTACTTTATCTACAACAACTCATTTAATCTTCACAGCAACGTATGAGGATAAATATGGCCATGCCCCATTTATTTATTTACTTATTTATTCATTCATTCATTCACTCATTCATTCATTTATTTGAGGCAGGGTCTTGCTCTGTCATGCAGGCTAGAGTGCAGTGGTGCTACCATAGCTCACTACAGCTTCGAACTCTTGGGCTCAAGTGATTCTCCTGCTTCAGCCTCTTGTGTAGCTGGAATTACAGGTGCATGCCACCATGCCTGGCTAATTTTTTTCTTCATAGAGGTGAGGTCTTGCCATGTTGACCAGGCTGGTCTTGAACTCCTGGGCTCAAGCAATCCTCCTGCCTCTGTCTCCCAAAGTGCTGGGATTGCAGGCGTGAGCTACTGTGCCCGGCCTATGCCCAATTTAGACATGAGAAAACTGAGGTTGGAGCTGGGCGCAGGGGTTCATGACTGTAATCCCAGCACTTTGGGAAACTGAGGCGGGCAGATCACTTGAGGCCAGGAGTTCGAGACCATGCGTGGTCAACATGGTGAAACCCCTTCTCTACTAAAAATACAAAATTAGCCTGGCGTGGTGGCATGTGCCTGTTATCCCAGCTACTCAAGAGGCTGAGACAGGAGAATCGCTTGAACCCAAGAGGTCGAGGTTGCAGTGAGCCGAGACGACTTCACAGCACTCCAGCCTGAGCTACAGAGTGAGACTCCATCAAAAAAAAAAAAAAAAGAAAGTAAGAAAGAAAGAAAACTGATGTTGAGTTTGGACGCTTCAGTTACTGCTATAGACTGAATGATTGTGCACCCCCAGCATTCACATGTTAAAACCTAACCCCCAATGTAATGGTATTAGGAGGTGAGGCCTTTGGGAGGTGATTAGTGCCCTTATAAAGAGATTCCAGAGAGCTGGTAGCACCGTGAATTATGGTTTTTATGATTTCTGTGTAGGGGGAAGAGAGAGTGGATATCAGAATATCTGGGAGAAGGGGCATGCATAATTTGAACCAGGTGATGTTGATATTGCCTTACCCATTCCAGATTAATAATTGCTGAACTATAATATTCCCAAAAAGTCTGGTGAATTCGATAGGTGAATTTAGTAGGCAGGGCAATTGTTTCTTTATTCCCATTAGATAGTTGATGAAATTGAGTATGCAATTAAGACAGTTTAGTTGGTTTGCCCAAGATCACATAGTTCACAATGGAACCAGGACTGGGGCCAGGCTCTATTCCATTTTCCCGTTGCTTCTTGTTAAAAACTCACTTCATTTTTTTTGAAATAAAACACTCATTTTTAAAAATAAAATTTAAAGCATAAGACGGTGGAGAGTGAAAAATGACTTTCTCCCTACCCTGTCTGCCAGACATACATTCTACCCTGAAAGGCAACAACCATTACAATTGTTGTATTTTCTTCCTGTTTACATTTTTCCTCAGTAGAAAAGGCAGAAGACAGAATCAGATCTTTAGGAGTGCTGTCTTAGCTTGGCTGAGGGTTCTATACCAGGTTTGGTCATACATAGCTGAGTGACCTTGGGCAAGTTAGTAAATATCTCAGAGTTTTAGTTCCTCATGTATAAAATAAGGGTAATGTCACTGATATGGTTTGCATATTTGTCCTCCACAAAGCTCATGTTGAAATGTGATCCACAGTGTTAGAGGTGGGGCCTAGTGGGAGGTGTTTGGCTCACGGGGGCAGATCTCTCATGAATGGCTTGGGCCATGCTCATAGTAATGAGTGAGTTCTTGCTCTATTAGTTCACAAAATACCTGATTTATTTATTTATTTATTTTCAGACTGAGTCTTGCTCTGTCGCCCAGGCTGGAGTGCAGTGGTGCGATCTCGGCTCACTGCAAGTTCCGCCTCTTGGGCTCACGCCATTCTCCTGCCTCAGCCTCCCCAGTAGCTGGGACTACAGGCGCCCGCCACCACCCCTGGCTAATTTTTTGTATTTTTAGTAGAGATGGGGTTTCACTGTGTTAGCCAGGATGGTCTCAATCTCCTGACCTCGTGATCCACCCACCTTGGCCTCCCAAAGTGCTGGGATTACAGGCGTGAGCCACCGCGCCCTGCCAAGACCTGATTATTCTTAAATGCCTGGCATCTCGTCCTCTCTCTCTTGCTCCCTCTCTAGCCATGTGACATGCCTGCTCCCCGCTCTGCTTCCACCATGAGTAGAAGCTTCCTGAAGTTCCTTACGAAAAGCAGATGCTGGCACCATGCTTCTTATACAGCTTGCAGTACCACGAGCCAAATAAACCTCTTTTCTTTATAAATTTACCAGCCTCAGGTATTTCTTTATAGCAATACAAATGGACTAACACAGTCACCTGCCTCAGAGTGTTAGAATGAGTTCATGTAAGAGAGAACATGCCTGAAAGCATGTTGTAAACCATGCATGGCCATACAAAGATTGGTCAATGTGATTATTCTCTGCTTCTGTTTTTTTTTCATTTCCTCTGGAAGAGCTCATGGATGACCATTATGTTTCCACTCCTTCTCAGACTCTGAAAAGGATGGATCGGAGATGGGACTCATTTCCACAGGATGAAAGGATATGATTCAAAATTGTACCAAGTGCAATTAAAGTTAGATATTAGAAGAAACTTTGTTTTAGAATCCCCAAGGGATTTTTGAGGTCTCTTTGAAAATTTCTGAGAAAATACTAATAATACATTAAGCATCTGTTTTTCCCAGAAACAAGAAGATGGATAAGATAGCCTCTCGATCCCTTCTTTTCTAGAAGTTCTTTAGAATTCAAGTAAGAGGGAAATTTAAACCCAACCACCTTCTGCCCCAGGTCCAGTTCCAGGGTGGCCGAATGGGCAAATGGCTACTCGTCATGAATAGGATGACCTCTCTGGTCCTTTCCTCCTTTAAGTTTATTAACTCTCTTGGGTTAGAGAGAAATCTAAGCCAAATGACCTTCTGCCCCCAGGTCTAGCTCTGGGGTGACCAATAGGCTGATGATCAATCACTATCCCCATTAAAGCCTAGCTTTTGCTACCAGCTTGCTAATTTTAGATACAATTTCCAGGGTGACCTACCCTGAAGAGCACTCTAGAGTTGACTGAGTTGTTTGGGGAACAGAAAAAAGCTTCCACCCACAAGTAGTTGAAAAAGCTAGAATTTAAAGGAAATTTGGGGAAAGTTTCATTTTCTAGGAAGGAGAGATACTCAAGATGCTAGAACATTTCCATCTTGAACACCTGTAAGAACTGGAGTGAGACCATCCTTCTGTGCCAGAAAGGAGGTGAAAGGGAAGAAAGAAGGAAGGATCCTGCCTGCTTTGCCATTTCTCATACCCATCATTCCCTGATGGCTTGTATGAAGGATTACCTCCTCCCTTATGAGCGTAAGTCCCCGAATCTGCAGAGTTTAGCACCAGGAAGATCTCCAGGCAGACAGAGCAAGAACCAAGGAGCACCATGAAGTTCTTTGGGTCTCAGCTTACTCTGGTGCTTCTCTCTCTCATACAGGTGTTGCTGCCACCACGCTGGCCTAACCAGGAACAAAGACCCCTTCCTTCTCTTCCACTCAATGTGGAGCATGAAGATTGGAAATTCCAGTATGAATACATTAACGGAAGAGACAGGGGCAGTAAGCAAAAGGGGTATGTGAAGATTGAACTATGAACTTGTAACACCCAGGGGTTTCAGTTCTTTTAGACCTGTGCAATTTTCCTGAAATAGCTTTATAGAGTCCCAAAAGTACAGTGCCACTTCAGAGGCCCATTTGGGTTTTTTAATTCCTTCTTCTTTTTTTTTTTTTGAGACAGGGTTTCACTCTTTCACCCAGGCTGGAGTGCAGTGGCGTGATCTCAGCTCACTACAACCTTGGCCTCCAGGGTTCAAGCAGTTCTTATGCCTCAGCCTACTGAGTACCTGGGATTATAGGTGAGCACCACCACACCTCACTAATTTTTGTATTTTTAGTAAAGACAGCGTTTCACCATGTTGCCCAGGCTTGTCTCAAACTCCTGACCTCAAATGATCCACCGCCTTGGCCTTTGAAAGTGCTGGGATTACAGATGTGAGCCACCGCACCCAGCCAGGTTTCATAATTTCTATTCCTTGCCTGTAACCATGTAGAAGATGGCAATACACACACCCAACCAATAGGAGCAACCTCCCATTCATCTGACCTTTTGAGGTCACAATCGAGAATAAAAAGTTTCACTGCGTCACTACTTTAAAATTTCCAACCTGTCCGGTTGGAGATCTAGAAGAGACCTCTTCCCCTCTTCTAGATGATGGGGACAGGAGACAAAAAATAACCACACCTTTCAGATGAAGCCAAACCCCATGCCCTCAGACCCAACATAATAATAATACACTCCCAAAACTCTAGCATCTCTTCCCTACCATGAGGAGGGCTGCAGACAGCTCACTGCAGCCTCAAACTCCCTAGGCTCAGGTGCTCCTCCCACCTCATCCTCCTGTGTAGCTGGGACTGTAGGCATGCGCCACCATGCTGGGCTAATTTTTCTAGTTTTTGTAGAGGTCTCACCATGTTGCCCAGGTTGGTCTCAATTCCTGGGCTCAAGTGATCCACCTGCCTTGGCCTCCCAAAGTGCTGGGATTACAGGTGTGAGCCACTGTGCCTGGCCACTTTATCTCAGTTTTTTCATCTGCAATATGGGAGTAATAACAATATCTTCTTCATAGGAAATAAAGATTAAATAAGATAAAGAGCTGAGCACAGTGCTGGGCACATAGTATATGCTCGATGAATGAGGGCTACTGTTGGTGGAGTGGTGCAGAACAGGGCCATTCCAAGGACCCAGGGCCTTGGTGGAGGAAAGCTCTGAGTCATACATGATAGGACAGCAGGGCAAAGAAGACCAGGAAGGAAGGTGCTCTTCTATGTCTGTTGAAGACACTGCTGTGCCTCTCTCCTTCCTATCATGCCCACTGCTGCCTCTTCAGGCAGGTGAACTGGGAAACTTGAATCAGGCATTTTGCCATCCTGCTGGCTTCCACCCCCTCCATGAGTAGACAGCCGCTGAATCTTCCAGCCTCCATACCAGGATGGGTCAAGTCTCTGGAACTGGTTAGTAGGAAAGGTGCTCCTTATCTGACCCCTAGCACAGAGAGAGGTAGGCTCTGCAGGGGCACTGTATGAGCAAGTGCCAACCATGGGTGCCCAACCAAAGGGGCGATAAGGGAAGAGGAAGGCAAATCTTCCCTTTAGCACTGTGATAACAAACCTTAAGCCTCCCCCAGCCCTTTTCTAGCAGGTGGGTCCCTAGTGTGGCCAGATGTTACTAAGGGTCGAAGAGTTTTGGTACATTTATAGGTTTTAAAAGGTCAGGCTCTTTGGTGGTAAAAGTTTTACAGACTAGTAAAATTTTACTGCAGAAGATGGGAAACACAGCTGTAATAGAAAAGGCTGGAGCCAAGAGTCTGGAAGATCTCAGTTCCGTCTGAAATTAGCTGTGGGAATTAACGCATGTCATGGAGGTTCTCTGGGCTCTGTGTTTTAACCTGGAAAATGGGAGCAAGAAAAGCAATCAGGGGTAGGACAAGGGGCAACGGCATCCAGCGATAGATGGGAAGTTGAGGCCCACATGTGATCACATCCTTCTCTCTGCAGTGCTAGAGCCGCTGGACACAAGGGGAAGGAAGGCTCAGGCCTGTGGGTCCTGCAGTCTCGGAGCTTTTCATTACCCAGACTGGATCGCCGCCATCTGTGTGTCTGCCTCTATTCCTTGGGAGGAGCCTGGCCGTCTGCAGGCAGAGCTCACGAATCAAATTAGCCCAGGCTCTGCTTTTCCCTCATCCCCACCAGCCAAGGCGAGTTCATCAAGGCCTCGCACTAATTCTTATCTTATTTAAAAGGGGCAAAAGTGACTCCACAGTTTCATCTGAGGCAATTTACACCCCGCCACTGGCCACACGGCTCCAGCTTCCCCCTGTCTGTTGTGCCATCAAATCCATTAATAGGACATTTCTTCAGGGGAAACTTGATTGCCGCTCCATCAGAAAGGCACACAGGCAATACATCTCCATCCGAGGCCATGGCCTGCCCGGCTCCCTCTAATCCTGTTACCTAAGGAGCTAATTCTCTAATGCACGCACTGTGCAGAGGACATCCTCTTTCCTTCCTAACACAATTGGACAGTCCCAGAGGATTCCAGGAGCTCAATGCAGAAATGAAGGCTTGGGGCCGATGGGACAGGATCTCCTAGATTTCTCAGGACCTCTGGAGGGGTTGTAACACATGCTCATGGCTGGCACCCCACTCCGCCTTGCCGAGAGCCTGCTTTCTAGAGTACTACACTGGGAAGGGGTGAGCCACACCCAGACCACCCTGGCTTCATAGTTCAGCCACCTCCTGCTTCTGCTTCATCCTTCCTCCGCCTCCTCCTTCTCTTTCTTTTCTCCTTCCATTTTCCTCTCTTTTTTCTCCCTTTCTTCTTTGCCTTTTCCGCCGATCTTCCTTTTCCTCCTCAGTTTCTTTCCTAACTTTCTTCCTGTCTGGTCTTCTTTTTCTTCTTGTTCCTCTTATTTTTTACTTCTCCCCTCTTCTCCTTCTCCAGATCCCCACAACTGTGAAAATATTGTTTTACCTTTCACTTTTTTTGTGCTCCATTCCCTCCCGCTTTGGTGCTGTCCTTTCAGAACAAGTTCAATTTCTAATGCTTCTTCCCAGCTGTCTCCAAATGGTTCAGCTCTGTGGGAGGAATGGGCCCCAGGCCATACCAGCCTAGGTGTGGAGCAAGAGGTAGGGAGGCCCTCGTGGATATACACAAACACCCCAAATACAAAATGGAGCATTGTGGTAGTGGTTAGGTTGTGTCAGGGGAGCAATTAAGTTCTATTCGCTCTTCAATGAGGAAATGATTATAATGGCAACCCCAAATGGGTTTGTTACTGCTAAAGGCCAAACCCTAGCTTATGGCTGTATGAAGGGACCCCATCAACAAATGGCATAATGCTCTATGCAGATTTCATAATGCACATAAACAGGAGGAGAAAGTCGTCTAGAAATTTTCAGATTTCTAAGTGCTAATGGCCACTTAGACGTCAGTGGGAGCTTAAATACTTTGTTGGCCAGGCACAGTGGCTCATGCCTGTAATCCCAGCACTCTGGGAGGCCGAGGCGGGCAGATTGCTTGAGCCCAGGAATTTGAGACCAGCCTGGGCAACATGGCAAAACCCTGTCTCTACTAAAAATACAAAAATTAGCCAGGCATGATAGCATGCCCCTGTAGTCTCAGCTACTTGGGAGGCTGAGGTGGAGGGATCACCTAAGCCAGGGAGATTGAGGTTGCAGTGAGCTGTGATCATGCTACTGCACTCTAGCCTGGGTGATGGAGTGAGATCCTGTTTCAAAAAAAAAAAAAAAAGAAAAAAGAATCTTTGTTGGGCTTGAAGATGCATTTAGGAATCTATAGTGTTCTGCTTGGGCCCCATTCAAGACCTCAGCCTGGTGGCCTAGGAGGCAGCCTGGTTCTTCTTGCCTTGCTTTATCCTGCTGTCAAACCTCAGGTCTGAGGACATTCATTCTGGAATTCTGGGGAGGTCTGGCTCTATAAATTCTCTAAAAGTTTGGGGCCCTCTTTCTATTCACTGCCCTCATATCCATTCCCCTGAGGGAAATGCTTGGAGCTAATTGTCCATGTTTTTCTGGATTGTGCAGTGATGAAGCACATGACTTAAGAGAAGAGTAGCCCAGGCTCCCTGAACTTGACTGCACGTTGCAGAACCACACCCCGCTAACGGCCACAGGAAAGGACCCCAATGGTGAATGGTATAATGCTTTATGCAGATTTCATAATGCACAGGAATAAGAACTGAAAGGATGCAGCCCTGACCAAGGTAGTTTCTTTCTTTTTTTCTTTCTTTTTAACTTACCTACAATTCAGAAAATTCCTCCTTACTGCAGGGTTCCTAGCCTATTCCACACTTAGAGTCAAGTGGAAAATAAATTAAAAAGGAAGAAAATGTTTTGTTGTTGATACTTAACTTGATTGGTACGGGGACATCTACCCAAATGGTGAGCTAGGGTAGGACTCCTTCAAATAAAAATGCACAGTAATTCTTCTTGCAGGCAACTTTAGGGGTACACAGCTGAGGCCTGAGGGATAGATACTTGTCTATTTAACTTGCAATGAAGAAAGAAACACTTCTTTCAAGAAAGACGCTTCCATTTAAGAGGAAGGTATTGAAAATGCTTCCGAGGCCAGGTGTGATTGCTCATGCCTCTAGTCCCTTTGGGGGACTACCAAAAATACAAAAATTAGCCAGGCATGGCTCGCATTTGTAGTCCCAGCTCTTCAAGAGGCTGAGATGGGAGGATCAGCTGAGATGGGGGAGGTTGGGGCTGCAGTGAGCAGTGATTGCGCCACTGCACTCTAGCCTGGGTGACAGAGCGAGACTCTGTCTCAAAAAAAAAAAAAAAAAGAAAGAAAGAAAAGAAAAGAAATGCTTACGAAATGATATCAAGCAAAAAAAGAGGGCACAAAATTATATGTATGTGATATTTACTTCATTGTATACACATTACTGAAGAAAATTATGGAAGAATATATACCAAAACGTTAAGAGTGGCTGTCTCTGAGTCATAAGTTTACAGATGATTTTAATTTTTCTTCATATTTTTCTACAAAGTGCATGTATTATTATTATTTTTACTATATGTATTTATTATGTATGGCAAGAATGCATGAAATAAATATGTATAGTAAAAGTTTATTTTTATTATATATTTTATTATTTTTAATATATATTTTACTATTTAAGTATAACTAATTAGATGAGGACAAAAGGGCAGACCTGTGGTGACTCCAGTTACCCTTCCCGTAACTACAGAGGTGCCCAGTCACCTGCTTGGTTATGTCACCCTGGGGAGTAAAAGAATGGTCTTCCTGCTCCTGCCTGACTCACCCTATCCTGCCCCAGCCCAGTGCCACAGAAACATACTTGCCAAGGGACATCAATGAAAGCAGCAGCGTGGTGCACCTCCCAGGGGTCAGGCTGCACCCTTGTCTCATGGGCTTCTGCAGCCCCTGTCCCCACCTAAGTTACTCCTTGGGGAAACATGGCCAAGCCCCCTGGCTGAATGGGTGGACTGAGCTCCCACAGCATGACATCAGCTAGGGCGGGCTCCCCTCTCAGCTGTCCCCTCCCCTTTCCTCCCGCCTGAAACATGATCCAGCTGAAGGACTGATTGCAGGAAAACTTGGCAGCTCCCCAACCTTGGTGGCCCAGGGAGTGTGAGGCTGCAGCCTCAGAAGGTGTGAGCAGTGGCCACGAGAGGCAGGCTGGCTGGGACATGAGGTTGGCAGAGGGCAGGCAAGCTGGCCCTTGGTGGGCCTCGTCCTGAGCACTCGGAGGCACTCCTATGCTTGGAAAGCTCGCTATGCTGCTGTGGGTCCAGCAGGCGCTGCTCGCCTTGCTCCTCCCCACACTCCTGGCACAGGGAGAAGGTAAGCAGACTTCGGGAAGCAGCAGGACTTGGCTGACCATCTGCTGAGGTGGGGCAGGGGATGCTTCAGTCCTCCGAGGGCTGTGGAGAGGAGGGTGGGGAACAGTGCAGCTGCAGGAAGGTCAGCTATCTTACCACCTATGAGCATGACAGCATTTGAGGCATCATGGTTAAGCTAGAGAGAGTTAGGAATGTTGAGTCCTGGGGTGGGGCAAGAGCGGAGCTTGCAAAGAAGGGAGCAGAGAAGTAGCCTGGCGTATCAGAAATAAAAAGACAGGCACCAGGAGGGGGCTCCTCTCCTTTTTGTCCTTTCCCTAAACTATTTGAATGAAAGCTGCAAGGGACCTTAGAACTCATTGGGTCCACCCTTGCCTGTTATAAATGGGAATGCTGTGGCCCAGAGAGTGGGGAGCGGATAATTCATTCAAGGTCACACAGCTTGTTAGCAGCAGAGTGGGGACCAGAACTAGTCTAGTCCTCTTTCCTCAGCTTCACTGGTTTTGTTGCATGAGTTCGTTCTCTGGGCCTGCGGTTCCCCAAGTTCCTTTCCAGGACTAAACTCCAGTAACGCCCAATTTCTCTCCACATTCGCTACACCCATCTTCTCCTGACTCCCTTGAATGTAGGGTGTTTTAGCCACAAAGGGACCGGCTTCCTTTTGCTGCAGACCATGTTCATTCCCCTCTAGGAGGTTTCTCTCCCTACAGAGCTGGGGTGGAGCATACTGGGGCACAATTAGAGGAAGCCATCCAGGGGTTGGACAGACGTGAAGAGCTCTGGGTAAGATGTCCTTCCTCCCGGGAGCGGTCGTTTGGGAGTGCTCCGTGGGTTAAGCAAACGCAAGCTGTAAGTGATGACTGTGGTCGAGGGCTTCCTTGACTGAGAAGAAACTCTGTCCCTCCTAGCAATGGTCCTTTGCCCCGGGCCTGCTGGGATGAGTTCAGTGCTCTCCAAGCTGGTCAGGATCCCAGTCAATAGGACCCAGGCTCTTGCTGGTGTAGTAAAGACGCACACGGGTCTGCGTTTGAATCTCAGTTCCTCCACTTGCAGAGCAAGGTGCTCACCTTTCTGGTGCTTGGGGATCCTTGTGTGCAAATAGCCACTCTGGTGGACTGTTCTAAAGTTAAATGAAGAATATGTTTATTGATGTTATTCCAAAGGAGACACTTAAAAAATAGTTTGTGTGTGTGTGTGTGTGTGTGTGTGTGTGTGTGTGTGTGTGTTCTCTCTGCTCTTCTCTGTCCTTCTGAGGGAAGCCAGTAGCTTATCAGGGAAAAGGGGGTGAAAGGAGGGGGAATCTGCAGGAGTGATTTGTTGTACAGGTTGCACACTAGATGAGAGAAGACACAGTCTTGTTTAGCAAAAGCCAGGCCTTGCCAGCACCTGGTTAGTGAAAGACCCTGGCTACCTGCCAGCTCCATCTCCCCTTTGCTGCCCGTATGCTGGCCCTCTAGGTTGTACTCCCTTCACCGTCCCATGAATTTTCACTTTTGCATGTCAGGCCACCCTTCTGGAAGTGCTCCTGCTGCTTCCAGTGTGAAAACTGAGCTGTGCATGAAATCTTCATAGAACAGCACCAGGGTCCAGGAGCTGGGCTGTCTCATTACTGGTTTGTCCCCATAGGCCACCTACCCCGGAAGTCGTTTGATTTCTTCTCACTCCCTCCACACCTCGCCCCAACCACCTATCTAAGCCCATCATGTTTGCCCATACAGCAACCCTAGGAGGTGGACTGGGCCAGCCCTCCACCCATAGCTTGTGTGTGCCTGGGGCAGGGTGCGAGGATCCTCTTGGGGTGGCTTTTGCAGGATGTAGAGGAAATGTCAGTTTTCACCAGATGCCCACACTTCCTTCTTTCTTTACCTGTTTCATACTCAAAAAGGAGATGTTGTGTGCAGATGCTGAGGTTTGACCTTGGCTGAGGAAAACCCTGATGCAGACCCTTGGGCTTAGAAATTGTGCACTTGGGGTCATGCTTTCTTGCAACCCTCTTGCTTTTAGTATCATACCCTGAGAGCCAGCTTCCTTGTTGCTCCCCAGAGGCCCTCGCTTAGGCCCCGTGGGCCACCTGCTCCGACCTTCTTAGCCCTCAACCTGATTTGAATCTCAGCTGTCTTGTGCCACTTGCTCTTCCAAGCCAGATCTCTGCTTTCCTGTCAATGAATGCATAGGTCCTTTCTACAAGGTAATACATTTGAATTATGGTAGAAATCTCTGCAGACAAAATGCTCTAGTGGTGAGAATGTCAGTCTGTGTTTAGAATTTTGTGAGGTGGGGATGGTGGGGATACGTCTCTTTTAACAGCTTACAAACCAGGACAAGAGAACCGGGGGAAGTCTTGGGGGGCTGGTGTCTACTTTGAACTGTTCTCCTTCCCAGCCAGGAGGAGCCGAAACACCACCAGGCCCGCTCTGCTGAGGCTGTCGGATTACCTTTTGACCAACTACAGGAAGGGTGTGCGCCCCGTGAGGGACTGGAGGAAGCCAACCACCGTATCCATTGACGTCATTGTCTATGCCATCCTCAACGTGGTGAGGCTCAGCCCCGAGCTGCACACAGGCAGACCTTTTGGGGGTGGGAGAAGGCCATGTGAGACAAGTCACCCCCTATGCAGCTTGTTAGGCATTTGAGAACCCATAGGACCTACGGTCTGGCACCACAGCTCAGGATGGATTGTAGCATCATCTGCACAGCTGCCCAAACCAGAAACCTGGGGTCACCTTGTGGCTGCTGCTCCCACACCCATACAGTGAGGGGGTCACTTCCCACATGTGGTTCTTCATACACTGCATAATGATAACCATCTCTCTATGTCAGCTGTATGAGGATTAAGACGGTCCCATGCATCTCTATGCTCCCAGTGCCTTACACACATCCCTGGTACCTGGCAGGTGTCACTAAATGATTGTTGAAGAATCAGCCAACAGATCAATTATTCCTCAATTCCTTCATCAACTACCACAGTAGGGTGGGGTGCACTACTCAGAAGAGGTGGTCAGACATTGTGCAGAGATAAACAAGGAGGCAATTGCAGAGATGCAGTGGCTCTGTGTTGGGGTCAGGTAAGCAGGACCCAACTTCACAGTGGCTACTAATTTTAGTCTAGTAAAATTACTCTACCAAAATTAGTCAGCCCTCCTGACTAATTTTTGTATTTTTAGTAGAGACAGGGTTTTTCCATATTGGCCAGGCAGGTCTCGAACACCTGGCCTCAAGCCATCCACCTGCCTAAGCTTCCCAAATTGCTGGGGTTACAGACGTAAGACACTGCTCCCGGCATTATATGTATATTAGAAGTTGAAACATAAATCACTGTTGGCAGAGCACAGTGGCTCACACCTGTAATCCCAGCACTTTGGGAAGCCGAGGTGGGCAGACCACTTGAGGCCAGGAGTTCAAGACCAGCCTGGACAACATAGCGACTGCATTTCTACTAAAAATGCAAAAATTAGTCGGGCATGGTGGCACACACCTGTAGTCCCAGCAACTCAGGAGGCTGAGGTATGAGAATCGCTGGAACCTGGGAGGTGGAGGTTGCAATGAGCTGAGATTGTGCCACTGCACTGCAGCCTGGGCAACAGAGCAAGCAAGACTGTCTCAAAATAAATTAAAAAATGAATCATTTTTACTTCTTTCTGCGTATGCTCTAGTGAACAACTAACTTTTCCTGTCTGGCCAGGGAGCTCCAGTCTATCTACTTTCCCGACCCCGGCCCCTGCTCTTCACTTTCACTTCCCAAAGCAATAGGGACACAAGGAAGCCCCTCCTTTAGGGGCTGGCATGTGCAGGGTGGCCCTCCAGTCCACAGGGTTACTTGTTCAAGCTCCCTTTCCTTTCCCAGGATGAGAAGAATCAGGTGCTGACCACCTACATCTGGTACCGGCAGGTGAGCAGACCCGCCCCTCCCTGCCCCCGTTACCCATCCTCCTGGGAAGGAGTCGGGAATTCGGGAGTTTCAGTGGCCTTGGCGAGGGAAGGTGAGCGGAGAGGCTGAGGGGCACCCTCAGCCTGAGATCCAGGAGTGTGGAATCTCCTCATCTCAGGTCTGAGAGTGGAAGTAGGCTTAAAGATAGTGGAGGAGAAACCCTCCAAACCCCCTCTGGCTTCTGAAGTTCTTCAAAGCACCCCAAACTATGGCTTGTCCCAGCCTCTGTTGAAAGGAACTCATGAGCCAGCCCCTTCACTCTCAGCCAGCTCTGTTTGCTAGACCATTCTTCCTTCTATTCAGCCAAATTGGACAGCAACCAAATTGGGTGATTGAAACAGGATGGTTCGTTCCATCCACTTAGTCCTCACATCCTCAGCCATTTCCCCACTCTTTTAGCTTCTGATGGGCCTGGGTCAGCCCCTGGTGTGTGGATACATCTGAGGCTTGGCAGGAATTATGGCTTTGAGCTGGGGTGGGGTAGGAAAAGAGTGGAGGTCACTATCCAAGGGTCCTGCTCTGGAAGCCCCTGGGGTTGTTGGGAAGTCAGAGCAGAGGAGAAACTAAAGTGGCTGAACACACGGAGGCAGAAGCATGAGGACAGCTCACAGAGGTCATGCCCAAGAGGCTCTGGGGACATGCTTGGCATAAGTGGGTCTCTGTTATCCCTCCCCATGGCTCATGGCACATCCATCACCACCACCAGACATGGGACAGGGCGTGGGGTAGAGGAAGAAGCTAGAATGCTGATCCCTGAGATGCTGCTCTGTCCCTGCCTCGCAGAGGGATCCCTTACTACAGTGTCCAAAGGGAAGGGACCCAAACAAGTACAGGCAGCCTGGAGCTCCTTTCCCAGGACATCCGTCTGAGCTCTCACCTCTGGAGCTCTAGGGCCACTTGTCTGTCCCAGTTACTTGCATCAGCAGTGAGGGAATGACAGTCTACATGCACCAGCAACTGTGCTAAGAGACTGGAATTAGAGACACGAACTAGATCGAGGCCCTGCCCACCATGAGCTCACAGACCAGATACAGGTACTGACAACTGAAATGCAACAAGACAGCCACTCCAACGTGGCAAGGACAAGGTGCTAACTATGGGAGCACAGAGGAGACGCATGTCACCCAGCCTGGGGTGTGGGGGTCATGGACAATGTCCTGGAGAAGGGAACAGACAGATGCCTTGGCCAAGCCCAGAAGGCTGAGGAAAATGTACCTTGGTAAAGAAGATAGGGGAGAGGGAGCAGGATACGCAGAGACATGGAGGTTCCAGCAGTGTTTCATTGCATACGGCTGCAGTGTAGAAGTCACAAAGAGGCATGGCCAAAATATGAGGCTAGAGGGATAGCGGAGGTCAGATTATATCAGCCTGTGTCGGCTGTGAAGTTTAACTTTATCCTAAAGGCAATGGGGCACCCCTGAAGGATTTTAAGCAAGGGAGTGACATGATCGAATTTACATTTTAGACTGGCCATCCTGGCCTGAAAATGGAGAATATATTAATGAAAACTTAACAAGAGCGGTCTCCACCCTGTGAAGGAGATGTTATGATCTCCATATAAATATGTTGAGACCAAGATCCAAGAAGTTATTTGTCTGAGATTCTCAGCTGGCGGAGGGGGAACTCACAGCATTCGAAATGACTGACTTCCTTCCTGGGGCAAGGCTACATCTAGCCGAGTTGTTATGTGTGGAGGCAGAGTGTGAATGAAGAGGTGGGGGGACTCTCAGTTACTGCTGAGGGAATTGGGCGCCACTGACACCAGCTTCTCCCAGGAAGATGCCCACCTGTTGCCTGGGCACTGAGGGTGAAGTCTGCCTGAGTTGCAGGCGACCCTCACTGGAGATGGAGGGGGCTGCCTGTGACCATCCCTGCTCCTCCCCTAGTACTGGACTGATGAGTTTCTCCAGTGGAACCCTGAGGACTTTGACAACATCACCAAGTTGTCCATCCCCACGGACAGCATCTGGGTCCCGGACATTCTCATCAATGAGTTGTGAGTACCGTTATCCATTGTGAGGTGGCTGGGTGGCTTAGGAGCTGGAGAAGCCCGGGGACAGAGAGACAAGATTGTCACTGTTGCATTTGAGATGTCCCACCAGGAATTGCAGACTGTAGATAAAGCTGGTGTGAGTCCAAATTCCCTTTGTCTTCCCCCCCGACCTTTTTCTGTTCTTTTCTTTTTGAAAACTCCTTCTTTTCGGTGCTTGATGTTGAAATTCCATACTTCGTAGTCCAGGGGCCCCTGCCACAGGGAAAGAAACCAGTGAATGAATTAACACTGAGTTATAATAACCTAATGGGACAGCTGCACTTATAAAGGAGACAGTAAATGTTTATTTAAAAAAAATGGAGCACTTGGCCAGACTCAGTGGCTCACACCTGTAATCCCAGCACTTTGGAGGCCGAGGCGGGTAGATCACCAGAGGTCAGGAGTTCAAGACTAGCCTGGCCAACATGGTGAAACCCCATCTCTACTAAAAATACAAAAATTAGCCAGGCGTGGTGGCGAGCACCTGTAATCCCAGCTACTCGGGCAGCTGAGGCAGGAGAATTGCTTGAACCTGGGAGATGGAGGTTGTGGTGAGCCGAGATCACACCATTACACTCCAGCCTGCTGGGCGACACAGCAAGACTCTGTCTCCAAAAAAAAAAAAACAAAAAACTGGAACACTGATAGTGGCTGCCACTTCTGGCCCGCAAAGGAGATTTGGAGCTGGGGGACATGTTCAGACCTCCCAAGTTACCCATCTACCTGACAGGCCACAGATTGTTTCTCCAATACGAAGTGGGTTCCACCAGGCTTTACTCCTGGCAGCCAAACACGGTCCCATTTGGCCCCAGACAACATTCCTTCTCCCCATCCTGCAGGTTCATTCAGGGCCCACCAACTGGGTTTCAGAATTCAAGGGCAGGGAAGATGGCTGGGGAGACGGAGGAAAAGGGAAGGTGACAGGTGGGATCAGCCATCCTCTACCCCATACCCACAGCATTGTCCAACTCCAGGGGGTGCCACTGACATTTTTCCAAGGGGGTAGTTGACCTGGACCACACACCATCCTCTACATAGCTCAGGCTGGAGGGCTCTGGGAAATCCCAGTTTCTGCTGGCTCTCCAGTTTCAACAGTGAAGTGGCCTTAGTCTTGACTTCTCATCTCTCAGCATGAACTCACAGAAGGCTGAGGGCTCAGCCTACTCCATGCCACAGTGGTCACTCAAGAGGGCCTACCACTTTGACATCAGCTGAGAGAGTGGAATGAGGTCTTGTGGGGCTTTTCTGGCTTTCCCCAATTCTTATCCATTTCTCTAGCTCCTTTTCATCCAGAGATGATTATTTTCATTTCAAAGGACTTCCAGGGGTGGGAAGCAAAGAGAAGCCAGAGTCAGGATGGAACACAAGATCCTGCTCTTTCACCAAGCCTGCCTGGTCCCGCAGGACTGGCGATCCTGGGAGCCAAGCTTTGCCCAGCCCAGGGCAGTGACGGGTTGGGGCCACTGGGCACGCTTCCTACTGTCCATGGCTTTTGGGCCCATGGGTTTTCCTCCCTGCCTTGTGTGGCCAGGAGCCAGGGGAATAAAGGAGAAATGCCCATGACTGCTTGAAAACTAGCCTTGACAACGGCAGGTCAGGAAGCCTAAGATAGGAAGGTTGGAAAAACCGAGGCCAGGCAAAACATCCAGGTTATCCGGCTGCCTATACCCTCCCCGAACTTCACTCCCTACCCAGTTGTTCCAAGATCTTCAGGCACCCAGAGCTTGCCCTGTCTCTTGAGCTCCCAAACTAACCCCTTTTCCCCCGCCAGCGTGGATGTGGGGAAGTCTCCAAATATCCCGTACGTGTATATTCGGCATCAAGGCGAAGTTCAGAACTACAAGCCCCTTCAGGTGGTGACTGCCTGTAGCCTCGACATCTACAACTTCCCCTTCGATGTCCAGAACTGCTCGCTGACCTTCACCAGTTGGCTGCACACCAGTGAGTATGTGGGCTTCGCCGGGACAGGGGTGGAGGTTGGGGGACCCCAGGGACACCTGAGCGAGGAGTGCTCCCCAGGGCGCCTTCTCACGTATCCAGCCTACTAATGCCCTGGGCCTCTGCTTCCTCATCCTCTGCATGAGGTAGATCTGCTGCTCTTGCTGCCCCAACAGTAAGAGTTAAACACTTTTATCAGTAGAAACTTCATATAGCACAGTATATTTTTCCAGATCCTTCTCTACACATTTACATTCACACATTCATGTGTGCGTATATATACACACATACACATCTATGGAAAGTACATGGAAATTGCTTTATGAGTTCTTATTTTACATTAATATATCAGTATTCAATGAGGGTGTGAACTGACGGCAAGACGCTCAGTAAGGGACAATTTTTTTCCAATATCTCCAACAGGATCTGGCACTAAGCATCTCTCAGATCCATTTATTTCACTTCACCCCCATGCAAACCACCCTCGTCTCCTGCCTAGGTTTCTGCTTTAGCCTCCTAGCTGGTTTCCCCATGCATTCGTGTCCCCCTAAATTTGCGATTCTCACAGAAGCCAGTGAGATTTTAGTAAAATGCGAATCTGACCGTGTCACTTAAAACCCCTCAATGGGATCCCAGATACCCTGGAACACAATCCACCCTCTTGAGCTGACTGCCACAGCCAGCTGCTCCAGGCTCATCTGCTCCTCTGAGCTCTGCTCCCACCCAGCTGCCTTCCTTTCTAGCCCCAAACCCTCATATTCTTTCCCTTTATCACATGTTGTTTCCTCTCCTATGCTACCTGGCCCTTTCCTCCCTCTCCCAACTTGCCCCACAGCTGCTCCCCCCAACCACACCTAGCCTGGCCAACCCCTCTACTCACCCTTCTGATGGCAGCATAAGTTTCAGCTCCTCAGTTTACCCTCTCATCCCCTAGACTAGGCCATCCCTGTTGCCCAATTTATAGCATCCTGGTCCTCTCCCCACCTCTGTCACCCTTGTAAGTACTTATTCAATGTGTCCTTCTCTCCTAGATATAAACTTAGAAAGGGGCGGGTGCAGTGGCTCACAAATGTAGTCCCAGCAGTTTGGGAGGCCAAGGCAGGAGGATTGCTTCAGCCCAGGAGTTTGAGGCCAGTCTGAGCAACATAATGAGACCCTATAAAAATAAAAAGTAAAAAAAACTTGGAAAGGGCAGGGACATGATTTCTCGCCCACCTTTAGATCCCCAGCACAGGGCCTGGCACAGAGGAAGGGTCTCAGCAAATGTTACCGAGCAGATGAATGCTAGCTAAGGGCTTGCCAGAGGGCTGGTGAAATGCACACCACCCTGTTGCAAGAAGGCATCCCCCAGGCCGGGCGCGGTGGCTCACGCCTGTAATCCCAGCACTTTGGGAGGCGTAGGCAGGTGGATCACGAGGTCATGAGATTGAGACCATCCTGGCCAACATGGTGAAACCCCGTCTCTATTAAAAATACAAAAAATTAGCCAGGTGCAGTGGCAGGCGCCTGTAATCCCAACTACTCAGGAGACTGAGGCTGGAGAATCACTTCAACTCGGAGGGTGGAGGTTGCAGTGAGCCGAGGTTGCACCACTGCACTCCAGCCTGGGTGACAAGTCTGACTGAGACTCCGTCTCAAAAAAGAAAAAAAAAAGGCATCCCCCACTTCTGTTCTGATGTATTCATTACCTTAAACTTAAGTTATGACGGTGATGCATGACTGCCTTGACCAAAACCAGAACTACAGATAAGGCTAACGTCTGCTTTGACTTCTACCCTCAATCCCAAACTTCACCAACAACAGGAGTTAACCACTTTTATCAGTAGAAACTTCATCTAGCACAGTATATTTTTCCAAATCCTTCTCTACACATTTACATACACACATACACATCTATGGAAACTACATGGAAATTGCTTTACGAGTTCGTATTTTAGATGAATATATCAGTATATATATTATTATATACTACTACTTGATTCTTTTTACCCAACATTAGGTCTTGGACATTTTTTGGAGTTCATGCACATTTAGGTCTTCCTCAAAAATTTTAGCTGCTATAAAATAGCTCATGATTTTGGAAGGCAGCTGTGCTCACCACTACCACAAATGCAAACATCTAATGATTTTGGTTGCATCCTAGCTTATTAAGCATTTTCTGATTGATGGATATTTCAGTATTTTCCAATATTTTGCTGCAATAGATACTT
Organism: Homo sapiens; assembly: GCF_000001405.40. Classification (NCBI taxonomy): domain Eukaryota; kingdom Metazoa; phylum Chordata; class Mammalia; order Primates; family Hominidae; genus Homo; species Homo sapiens. The sequence continues at coordinate 113,985,497 of NC_000011.10, forward strand.
CTGTCGTTCCTGGTACATATGTCTCTGCTGCAGATCTTGAGAAGTGGAATTACAATCTATAAGTGAGGATTTTGCTTATTTTCTTAATTCACTTTTAAAGATAGGCAGTTCCATCAAGGCAAAGGTGAAGAATGTTGACTTTTGTTCATTGTTGCAATGGGCAATTCTAACAGGGAAAGCTAGAAAGCTGTTTGGAAGGGGTGTGTGTGTGTGTGTGTTTGTGTGTGTGTGTGTGAAGGAGAGAGAGCGCTTTCTAATGAATGGTTTGCATGGTTCTTTGCACCGTGCATTTTCATTTAGGACTTCATCTGCCCTCAGTGCGGCCCTGTGAGATAGGTATGGTGAGTACCTTATTTTATAGCTGAGGACACTGAGGCTGAAGGTGATGTGCTGAGGTTGAGGTTGGGCCATCGGATATCAGCTCCCCTTAATTGCTGCCCACCTGTGTCCCATCATCACAGGGTCCAGCAGGCTCTGGGTACTAGATTCCAAAGCTGGCTTGCTTTATTCTCTCTCAGTCCAGGACATCAACATCTCTTTGTGGCGCTTGCCAGAAAAGGTGAAATCCGACAGGAGTGTCTTCATGAACCAGGGAGAGTGGGAGTTGCTGGGGGTGCTGCCCTACTTTCGGGAGTTCAGCATGGAAAGCAGTAACTACTATGCAGAAATGAAGTTCTATGTGAGTGGGAGTGAATGTGGGTAAAATGGTGAATAAAGCTTCACATCCAGGTAGACTTAAGGAGGCATACTGGGAGAACTTCTATAGCCTTTTTCCAACCCCAGGGTTGCACACATCTGGAACTTCAGTGAAGTAGATGGAGAAACTCCATGAATGTCCCTTACTTATTCTAAACAGCCATAAGCCTGGATTGAGAGGCAGGGTATGGGGGTCTGTCTGTTTTCTTCTCTGAGCAATCCAGGCTGGAAGCCCCATAAAACAAGGAATCTGAGCTTGTGGGGTGGTTCCTGGGAGCAGAGCCTGTTTGCCCCAGGCTTCCCACAAGCTCTTCTCCGGTCCCAGGTGGTCATCCGCCGGCGGCCCCTCTTCTATGTGGTCAGCCTGCTACTGCCCAGCATCTTCCTCATGGTCATGGACATCGTGGGCTTCTACCTGCCCCCCAACAGTGGCGAGAGGGTCTCTTTCAAGATTACACTCCTCCTGGGCTACTCGGTCTTCCTGATCATCGTTTCTGACACGCTGCCGGCCACTGCCATCGGCACTCCTCTCATTGGTAAGGCCCCTCCTGGCAGCAGAGCTCAGTCTGGTGAGAAACCCGCCCCCTCCCACCTCCTGCATGTGTCTCTTGCCTCTGCCCTGGGCTGCACAGGTGTCTACTTTGTGGTGTGCATGGCTCTGCTGGTGATAAGTTTGGCCGAGACCATCTTCATTGTGCGGCTGGTGCACAAGCAAGACCTGCAGCAGCCCGTGCCTGCTTGGCTGCGTCACCTGGTTCTGGAGAGAATCGCCTGGCTACTTTGCCTGAGGGAGCAGTCAACTTCCCAGAGGCCCCCAGCCACCTCCCAAGCCACCAAGACTGATGACTGCTCAGGTGAGAAACAGAAGGGAAGAGTCCATACAGAGGGGCTGCTTCTGGCTTGGATGTTGTGGAAAGTCTCTGGAGGGCGTGGCCTGCCAAGGAGGTGCTGTACTGCACATGGCATCCCATGCCCTGCCTTACTTGGGGTGGGGGCAGCCTTCAGCCAAAGATGTCAGTCCAGACCCTTTCTTCACTTACACAACCTCTCATTACCTTGGGTGTTGACAGAGAGGGTATGAATCCCAGAGGCTGAGCATGTCAGGAGCTGAGTCCTCTGGGCTGAGAATGGCCTCTCTCTAGGATGGACCCATGGGTGAAGTCAAACGGATGCCCCTTAGGCAATTATTGGTCTCCCTGCCTCACACGGTTAAATACTGCCACTGGGGTTTCTAAAACTCTTATACTAAACAGCCCAAAGCAGGGCATGGTGGCTCATGCCTACAATCCCAGCACTTTGGGAGGCCGAGGTGGGAGGATCACTTGAGCCCAGGAGTTCGAGACCAGCCTGGCCAACATAGTGAGACCTCATCTCTACTAATTTTTTTTTTCAAGTTGGCTGGGCATGGTCATGCACTCCTGTGGTCCTAGCTACTTCAGGAGGCTGAAGTGGATCACTTGAGCCCAGGAGGTTGAGGCTGCAGGGAGCTGTGTTCGCATCACTGCATCCCACCTGGAGATAGAGTAAGACCCTGTCTCAAAAATAAAAATTAAAAACAACAAATACACAGCCCAAAGACCATGTTCCTTAGAATTTCAAACACCTATGAGGCAGAGAGACATTAAATGTGGAGTTCATACTTCCTGAGGAATTGTTATAGCTACCATTTGTTGTAGTTGGTGGTGGTTAGTTGGTTGGTTTATTCACTGAACATTTTGTGCCAGGCGTGTGCAAAGCACTTTGTCTACATGATCACATGTAATACTCATGACAACCCAAGAGGATTCTCATTCTCATTTTTCCAATAAGGAAGCAGAGCTATAGAGAATTTGCTTGTCCTAAATCACAGAGCCAGGAATTGGTAGAACCCAGGCCCATCTGACTCTAAGCTTCTCTTTCTAACCACTCCTCTCCACTCCACTCCCCTTTGTCCTTCCTCCTGACTAGGGCCAGGCCCTTTACATGAGATTTTTGGCTCATCTAAGGCCATCTCATCAAGAGCTAGTGAACTAGTCTGCCAGCCTACTGCCTAATTTACCTTGGTGAAGGAAGCCACTTCTGTAGGTGTATTTCCTGGTCCATGACCTGCAGTCATGGACATGAGAGCAGCACCCTCCAGCCTGCTGCCCCTCTGAGGCAACAAAATAGAGCAGAAGTAGCAGTGGATTGGGAGTCCAGATACCTGAGCCTTGGTGGTCTCATCATTAAATGATCCTCCAAGTATGTGACCACAGGCTAGTCACCTAACCTCTCTCAGCTTCACCATTTTTTATATGGTTGGAATAGTTGGCTGGGCACAGTGGCTCATGCCTGTAATCCCAGCACTTTGGGAGGCCAAGGGGGGTGGTGGATCACGAGGTCAGGAGTTCGAGACCAGCCTGACTAACATGGTGAAACCCCATCTCTACTAAAATTACAAAAATTAGCTGGGTATGGTGACACACACCTGTAATCCCAGCTACTCAGGAGGCTGAGGAAAGAGAATCGCTTGAACTCGGGAGGCAGAGGTTGCAGTGAGCTGAGATTGCACCACTGCACTCTAGCCTGGGCGAGAGAGTGAGACTTGGTCTCCAAACAAACAAACAACAAACAAACAAACAAACAAACAGAATAGTAATCACGCCTACTCTGCCTCTTTTGTGAGGCTATTGTGAGGCTCAAATGAAATAATGTGTATCAGATTGCTGAGGAAAGCCCATAGGTTGAAAAGCAATATATAGGAAGGATACTTCGTGATATTAATGATCTGGAAGAGGGGTGGAGAATGTGTGTAAGGAGGGGTATACGAGGATCCTCAGTCATACTGGTTTTTCAATTTAAATTGGATGGTGGATTTGCAGGTATGTAAGTTACTCTTTATACTTTTTATGTCTAAAGTTGTTCCTGGCCATCCACGGTGGCTCACACCTGTAATCCCAGCACCACGGGAGGCCAAAGTAGGCGGATCACTTGAGGTCAAGAGTTCAAGACCAGCCTGGCCAACGTGGTGAAATCCAGTTTCTATTGAAAAAAAAAAAAAAATTAGCCAGGTGTAGTGGCACGTGCCTGTAATCCCAGCTACTTGGGAGGTTGAGGCAGGAGAATTGCTTGAACTCGGGAGGCGGAGGTTGCAGTGAGCTTAGATCACACCACTGCCCTCCAGCCTGGGTGACAGAGTGAGAAAAAAAAAGTTATTCCCAACAAAAATTTACAGGCTATAGAAGCATAAGGAACCATGTTCAGGTCACCACCCGGGGTCTCCCTCTCTTGCCAATGCCCTGCCCTTCTTCCAGCCATGGGAAACCACTGCAGCCACATGGGAGGACCCCAGGACTTCGAGAAGAGCCCGAGGGACAGATGTAGCCCTCCCCCACCACCTCGGGAGGCCTCGCTGGCGGTGTGTGGGCTGCTGCAGGAGCTGTCCTCCATCCGGCAATTCCTGGAAAAGCGGGATGAGATCCGAGAGGTGGCCCGAGACTGGCTGCGCGTGGGCTCCGTGCTGGACAAGCTGCTATTCCACATTTACCTGCTAGCGGTGCTGGCCTACAGCATCACCCTGGTTATGCTCTGGTCCATCTGGCAGTACGCTTGAGTGGGTACAGCCCAGTGGAGGAGGGGGTACAGTCCTGGTTAGGTGGGGACAGAGGATTTCTGCTTAGGCCCCTCAGGACCCAGGGAATGCCAGGGACATTTTCAAGACACAGACAAAGTCCCGTGCCCTGTTTCCAATGCCAATTCATCTCAGCAATCACAAGCCAAGGTCTGAACCCTTCCACCAAAAACTGGGTGTTCAAGGCCCTTACACCCTTGTCCCACCCCCAGCAGCTCACCATGGCTTTAAAACATGCTGTCTTAGATCAGGAGAAACTCGGGCACTCCCTAAGTCCACTCTAGTTGTGGACTTTTCCCCATTGACCCTCACCTGAATAAGGGACTTTGGAATTCTGCTTCTCTTTCACAACTTTGCTTTTAGGTTGAAGGCAAAACCAACTCTCTACTACACAGGCCTGATAACTCTGTACGAGGCTTCTCTAACCCCTAGTGTCTTTTTTTTCTTCACCTCACTTGTGGCAGCTTCCCTGAACACTCATCCCCCATCAGATGATGGGAGTGGGAAGAATAAAATGCAGTGAAACCCTAAACTCTCTTCTTTTTTTTTTCTTTTTTTGTATTTATACATTTTGCTTGTTTCTTTTTTTTTAAATTTTATTATTATTATACTTTAATTTTTAGGGTACATGTGCACGACATGCAGGTTTGTTACATATGTATACATGGGCCATGCTGGTATGCTGCACCCATTAACTCATCATTTAGCATTAGGTATATCTCCTAATGCTATCCCTCCCCGCTCCCCGCTAGACTCTCTTCTTAACCATTTGTCAGCAGCTTTGGGAAGAGGTTGGATGGTTAGAAGAAGAGATTTACAGTTAGTTAATCCCAACACTTTGGGAGGTCGAGACAGGCAGATCACTGGAGGTCAGGAGTTCGAGACCAGCCTGGCCAACATGGTGAAACCCTCCTCTACAAAAAGAAAGCCAAAAATACAAAAATTAGCCAGGCATGGTGGTGCATGCCTGTAATCCCAGCTGACTGGGAGGCTGAGGCAGGAGAATCATTTGAAGCTGGGAGGCAGAGGTTGCAGTGAGCTGAGATCATACCACTGCACTCCATCCTATGTGACAGAGCTAGATTCTGTTAAAAAAAAAAAAAAAAAAAGAAGAAGAGATTGGTGCCTCTAGGCCCAGGAAACTGGGAGATGACAAATAGGTTGAAAAGCATTTGCACAGGAAGGATAAACACCAACTTCATGATATTAGGGATCTGGAAAAGGAGTGGAGGATGAGACTAAGGAGGGGTATACAGGGATTCTCAGTTATATTAGTTTTTTAATTTAAATTAAATGGTGGGTTTGCAGTTATGTAAGTTACTCTTTGTACTTTAAGTAGCTGTTATAAGAAGAAACACTAGGAGGTGGGATTTAAGGTATGAGGGTCAGGACCAAGAACACTTAGCAATGGAGAGAAAAGAGGGGGAATCTCGGCTTTGCAACCCCTTGGAAAGATGCTGGAAGGGTCCACACAGCCCTGTTACCTGGGCTCATGATCTTTTAGTGAAGGTGGGAGCAAGCTCTCTCCCTGCAAGTGGATACTGCAACGGAATGGAGATGAGAGCTTCAGCACCACGGCCAGCACCAGCTGGTTTGGTGTTTGGTCATTGAATACTGTCTAACTGGCCGGTTGCTCCTAAGATGAACTAGGAATGAAGTTTCATCTGATACTTCCACTCCAGACATATGTGCTTTTGATTCTAGTTATCAGGGATTCATTAGAAATTTTATATTTATTTTTGCTTTGTTGATGGATAGAGATTAGGGTCTCCCAGCAAAAAGCAAAAGATTGTGAGGCTGGGGATTGGCCCTCACAATCGTTGTCTCCTGCTGAGCAGAGATTGGGCTAAAGATGGGGAGTGTTCATCACTTCTTTCTTGGGATGTCCCCTGGCCCCCATCTGTTGGAGCCTGGTCTGAGAACCAAAAGCTGCCCCATTCCACTAGGACTTGCTTGGACTAGCCATGCTGTTTGGTGATTCTCATGTCTCAGGCCAGAGGGATAGGAAGGTGAACATTCTGGCACTGTCAATGCATCACTGGTCAGTAAACGGGTGGCTACTGGCAAAGTGTCCAACCAGAGAGCTAGTAAGACACTAATCATCCTATTGATTCTCCATCTTTCTCTCCCCACCCTTCACCCACAGTCAATGGGGTGACAGAGCCCAGCATCGAGGCAGCCAATTAATCACCTTGAGAATGAGCCACCACATGTAACATCTTCTGCTCCAGTAGCTACATCCAATCAGCTCATAGATCTGGCATGTGGGCTGTGTTGCCCAGGTATGAGAAACTGAGGCCCAGGGCCAGAGACCCCCGCAGTGCACTAACTCCTGATCATCAGTACAAATCTTGGTCTTCTCCCAAGGAGACTTTTGCTCCATCGAGGGTATGAGAACATCCAGAATTTCCCTCCCACCTGTTATACCTCCTGGAAGCTGCTTCCTCCCCTCCTCTTGACACTTTAGCCAGTTGCCTCTCATTCTGTCCTAGCAGAGAGGAGACCAGAAACACTCATGTCTTTATAAGTGCTTCCGGGAAGCTTGCCAAGTCTCTTGCCCATCTCCGCTTCTCTCCTGCAGCCTTCTCTATTCACCAACAAGTACACTCAGTTCTCATTTCCTTTTCCCATTTACCCCGTTTCTCAGTGATGTTATTTCTACTAAAAAGATTCCATCAAAGGTGCTGAAAGTGCCCAGCCTGAACCCTTCTGTGAGTTTGTGACTGGCACTGCTTCAAAGCCATGGAGTCTGTCTCCTGCCATCCTGGAAAGGAGGCTGCCTTTCCTCTGGACGTTGGCAACCTGGCCTCAAGGATCTCAAGGGCACCTCCCAGGAGTGGACACTCAGTGGTTTTCTGAATAGCTCAGGCAGACTGGCTGCACTCAGAGGCCAGGATATGGGCATAGGGGAGATTCCCTTCAGAGAACACGAGGCAGAAAAGTTGCCTGGTTGGGTGAAGGAGGGGGAGGAAGAGCTTGCAGAGAGGTGCAGTTCAGCATTCACCAGCCAGATCCTCTTCCCTCCCCCACCTCCCCCCAGCTTCTGAATCAATACATTTTGAATCTAATCTAATAACAGAGATTTAATGAGGGGATAATGCATGTGGAGCCGCCAGGCGCTTTGTCTCTTCTTTCATGCAGCAGCTGGGGCCCATTATCTGGGGACAATGCCCCGTGCTAATCACTCCCTCTCTCTCCTCCCTCCCAAATGTTTGGGGAGGGGAGGTGAGCGAAAGAGGGCAGCTCCTCCCTTGATTGGAGGGAAGTGGAAGGGTGGAGGGGGGAGGATGAAGTCGAGAAGGTTCTGGATGGTTCCCACACAATAGTCTTGACCTGACGCCAACTCACTGGTCTTCTTCCCGGGCCACACTGTGCACCCTGATCAGTGAGAGGTTGGGGGAGCCCTACCAGTGCATACAAACAGCAGATAATTAATTATCAGCTGCAGTATCAGCTCTGGAAGTTGGGTATTTTTTTTTCTTTTTTCTAACTTGGTCCTCTATAATTTAAGCTATCCCATTGAGGCCTGTGATTGGCCAGCCCTGACTGTCATGGTTAGAGAATTAAACCCTGGTTTTAGAGACCAAGAATATCCCTCTCTGAAACAGAAGCCTGATCTATATTCTCTTTCTACTATCTGGAGGCATGGAGTTTAGACTGTAGGAAGAACTTTCTGATAATGCTATTACTAACATGAATTAGATCGGGAGTGGAAAGGGAAGGATTGGAATCTCATTTCCTAGAAGACTTTAAAAAGAGACCTTTATCTGTTGAGGTTGGGAAGGGGCAGATCAGGAAGAAGAGAAGATCTGCCTTGATTTCCTATCAGAGGTCCAGTTGGGAGGGCTCCCAGAGCTGGCACACCCAAAGCCTGACCACTCCTATTCATTTTTTGAAACATACTTATTGAGGACAGTGAAAGAGTGCCGTGTGAACAGGGAGATTCAAAACTTGAAATCTGGCCCCAACACAGGCTAGCTCTGAAACCCTGGACAAGCACTTAGCTGCCCTGTACTTCAATCTTCTCACCTGTAAAATGGGAATCATATTAGTACATGGCTCATAGGTGTGGTGGGGACCGTGCTCCCAATATGGAGCAAAAGTCCAGGAAATCATGAGGCTGTGGTGGGGAGACGGCTAGAGGCGTATCGGCCCTTCTCGGATGGCTCACATCTCATTCTGAATGGGTGAGAACTGCTCATAGGGCACTGTGGAGGAGAAGCCTTTCTCCTTCATGTCCCCATTTTACAAATGAGCGAGTGAGATGAACTGGTCACTCAGCATAAGCCCAGAGGGGGATGAAGCTCCTGTCCCTATCAGGCTGAATCCAGACCTCTGTGTCCAACACTTTCCTGACTCTTTTCTCCCATTACCACCTTCCCTCCTTTGCCTCTGCACACTCAGAGCTTCTTTGCACACGGTTCCTCCCTAAAACCACACCTTTGAGTTCCTGCTCTGGGAAAGCCTATGGGATACTGGCAAACTTTTCTGTGCTCCTCCTATGCAACACCACCTGCTGTGTCCCTGTATCTGCAAAGAGAGCTAAACTCTTGGCAGACAGACACATCATGAGTATGACAGCTGGGACTAGGGGAGCCTGGAAATTCACCACCATGAGCCTGGGAGAACTCCAACCCCCCCCTCCCAACCCCCGTCCCACTTCAGATGGAAAGAAGTATCCATCCTAAAGACCCCAGTGAGATGTCAATCTTTGGCCGGGGCGGCCACAACCCTGCCTTCTAAGTGGTTTCCACAAGGTGGCAGCAAAGTCCAGAAGTTCTATGGAGGGGCCTTTAGGAACTATTTTGTTGCCCCCTTCCGTCCCCCAGCCTCAAAATAAAACCCTCATCCCTCTCCAGGGGCCTTTGAAGCCCCCTTCCTTCAAGGCCAATACTTTCCTTTGGGCCATCATTAAGGACTGTGCTCCAGAGTGCTTTGGAGTGCTTTTACTCTATTCTGATGCTCTGGCAGAGGCCAGCCCCCAGTCCCCACCCCATCACACACCTGTGCCCATGCAGATCCCCCAGCAACTCAGCCTCCTACTTATGTGCTCACACCTGGACCTCACCTTCAGCTACACGTGTAGTTAGTTGCTCCAGCTATTTCCCTTTCTGCTGTTGCAATGAAGATATTGATGCCTGATGGCAAAGAAGGCCATTTTACCCCAAACCCACGTATACAGAGGCTACAGACTCTCTGCCTTTCTCTTCTGCCCATGTCTCTAAAGCCCCAACTCCAGCTCATCTCACACTGGCTTTGAGGTGCTCCTCAATGGTCCTAGGAAATGAGGGGCAAGAGTGAGGTGCTGCCCGGAGCAGGAGCTGGGGGAGGACGAGGTCCGTGGTTAGATGGGGAGGACGCGACCCTGGGAGATGTTCACTCATCAAAGGGCTCCAGGGCAAGGACTGGAGAGAGGAAGTTGGTTCTAGGTAGGGTTTTCGTGACATGATTGCCTCACCCATCCCATGGCAGGTGCTGTTGCTCCTGCTAGCTGTGTGGACTAGTTTCCTGTTGCTGCCGTAACAAGTCACCAATGTGAAACACAAATTTGTTATCATACAGTTCTGGTGGTCAGAAGTCCAACACATGGATCCACAGGGCTGTGTTCCTTCTGGGAAATCTAGGAGAGAATCTGTTTCCTTGCCTTTCCCGGATTCCAGATGCAAGACACCTGCACCTGTATTCCTCAGTTCGCAGTCCCTTTCTTCAGCTTCAAAGCCAGGAGCTCAGTACCTTTGACTCCTCTCTCTCTCTCTCTCTCTCTCTGTGTGTGTGTGTGTGTGTGTGTGTGTGTGTATCTCATCTCTGCTTCTCTGCTTTGCTTTGTCACATCTCCTTCTCTGACTCTCCTAACTCCATCTTTCCTTTATAAAAACCTTTGTGGTTATAAAGGGCCCATCTAGATAATTTAAAATAATCTCCTCATCTCAAGATTCCTAAATTAATTACACTACAAAGTCCCTTTCATCTTGCACCTTAACATAATCACATGTTCTGGGGATTGGGAAGTGGGCATCTTTGGGGGCCCATCATTCTGTCTACTATCCTGAGACCTTAGGCACTTTGCTTTACTTCCCTGTTTCCTCACCTGTAAAGGTGACATCATAAAAGCACTGCCTTATGGATTGCTGTGAAGAATAAAGGAGCTGATACAGGTAAAGGGTCTGGCACAAAGTAAATGGTTGACAAATTTCAACTATGGTTTTATTATTGTTCGTATGTATAAATCTAGAAGCTTCCTGCACAACAAAGTTGAGGTATGGTTCATCACAGACCCGTTGAATTAATACTGTAAAGGAAATAATACTTTTTATCAGGCATTTGTGTAAAATGGCAACTTTGTGGTGATGAATATTGAGTTCCTTTACAACTTTGTTTTTTTAGACAGAGTCTTGCTCTGTCACCCACGCTGGGGTGCAGTGGCACAGTCTTGGCTCACTGCAACCTCTGCCTCTGGGTTCAAGCAATTCTCCTGTCTCATCCTCCTGAGTAACTGGGATTATATTTATTTAATCTCATGCACCATGCGATGGCAATGAAGGTTTACCCAAAACCCATGTATACACAGGCTATGGAGGACTCTCTGCTTTTCTCTTCTGCCCATGTCTCTAAAGCCCCAAATCCAGCCCATCCCACACTGGCTCTGAGGTGCTCCTCAATGGTCCTAGGAAATGAGGGGCAAGAGTGAGGTGCTGCCCAGAGCAGGAGCTAGGGGAGGGCAAGGGTCCTCCCCCAGCCAGGTCCACACCTGGCTCATTTTTGTATTTTTAGTAGAGATAGGGTTTTGCCATGTTGGCCTGGCTAATCTCAAACTCCTGGCCTCAAGTGATCTGCCCACCTCGGCCTCCCAAAGCGCTGGGATTACAGGCGTGAGCCACTGTGCCCAGCCCCTTTATAACTTTAGAAGAAGAGAATAGAAAAGCAGAGTCATGGAGGTAATGATTCCAGGACACCAGACTGGCAGGAGACAGATGGTCAGGCCAAAGACGACCTCTGTCTTTTCCCTACCTCCTCCTACTCCCAGGATCTGCTCATCTTCCTGGGAAGATGAGGGGTTTAGATGGTGGTAAGCACTTTTTTTGAGCAGAGTCTTGCTCTGTCGCCCAGGCTGGAGTGCAGGGGCATGATCTCTGCTCACTCCAACCTCTGCCTCCTGGATTCAGGCAATTCTTGTGCCTCAGCCTCCCAAGTAGCTGGGACTACAGGTTTGTGCCACCACTCACAGCTAATTTTTTTTTTTTTTTGGTAGAGATGGGGTCTCACTATGATGGCCTGGCTGGTCTCAAACTCCTGACCTGCCTCAGCCTCCCAAAGTGCTGGGATTTCAGGCGTGAGCCACTGCTCCCAGCCCAGATGGTGGTAAGGACTTCTTGAAGCAAGAGGTGTTAAACACAGAATGGGTGTAGAATTATTCACTCAGAAGCCTTTAACAGAGACACCCACCCCTTCCAAGCCTCTCCTGTAGAGGCAGGAGATGGACAGGATGACCTCTAGAGACCTTCTGAGCTTCAGGTCCAGGAAATCCTGCCTTTCCATCTGCGTGACACCTAATCAAGGGCTCAGGCTCCAGCTCTGTGCACTCCATCCTTTCTTCTTGGTCAACCCTTCCACCCCCCCTGCCCTTTTCCCCCAAGGGCTCGTTTTTCTGGTTCTTACTAATGAAACTCAAATCCATATGGGCTTGTCTTTGGGCTTAAAATTCCCATGAGGTGTTCACTCCTAAAAGTCCCCTGAAGGTGAGCAGAGCATTTCTCCTCCTACTTTGTCCTCAGCCACGATGTGCTCTCTCAATGCCCTCTCCTACGTCTGTACTCTCCCAACAACTGTAATCCATGTGTTTATTGTTGGGTGATTTGTTTAGCATTTATCTGGCTCCCAGCCTGTAAGTCTTGGAGGCAAATATTTCACACCCTCTTTTCCACTCACACATCCCTTGACACACAGCTCACGCTTTGTATTTAGTGAGCATGGCAATGAATGAATGGACTGGGGCTGGGAACAGGGACATGGACCATGCAGAAGGAAGACCATATCTAAAACCCTTCTCTGGGCTACTCTTCAGCTCTCACCATCACTGCTGGTTTGAGTAGGGAGAAAAGAGTGGAGGCAGCTGAGAGTGAATCTTCTCTGAGACCCCTGAAGAAAATGAATCGGTGGCTCACGCCTGTAATCCCAGCACTTTGGGAGGCTGAAGTGGGTGGATCGCTTGAGTCCAGGAGTTTGAGACCAGCCTGGGCAACATAGTGAGACCCCGTCTCTACAAAAAATAAAAAAGTAGCTAGGCTCATCCCTCTAGTCCCAGTCCCTCAGGAGGCTGAGGCGGGAGGATGGATTGAGCCTAGCAGGTCGAGGCTGCAGTAAGCTGTGATCGTGCCACTGCACTCCAGCCTGGGCAACAGAACAAGTCCCTGTCTGAAATAAAGAAAAGAAAAGAAAACGAATCCTTTTCCCCCGGAAGTTCCACATTGTGCTCTAGTGGGTTTGGGGCTGTGTCTTCCAAAACCATGATCCCCTGTGGCAAGGACTTGACTGGATTTTACCCAGTGCCATATCGAGTCCTGCACGGTATGCTGGGCATAGGACAGAGGCTCAATCTTTGTAGAATTAATGAAGTGGGTGCTAGCGCAGGTTCTCTTGAAGTCCATTTCCTGTCAGGATGACCATAAAAGTTATCATCCAAACCGGAGAGTTTCTGTCCTGGAAAAAGAAGTGCATTGACAATTGCACATAGACGACGCCCTCAGGTGGGGCTGCCCCAGGCACGCAGGGCATACGGTGACGCTACCTCTCAGGTTCTCCCCTTCTTCCTCAGCTGAGACCAGAGCCCCAGCTGAGACCAGAGACCCAGCTGGTTGGGCTGTGAGCTTCTGATTCCCAGGGATTCTCTGACCTGCCCCCTAGAGTCAAGAGAACTCCGGCTAGGGGAGGAGGGGAGAGGTCTCAGCAAGGCCCTTTGTCCACTGTGGGGTCATGGCTTTTCTCCTGAGGTTCGCCTCAGGTCAGAAGAATTTCCTGTGGGGTCACAGGTCAAATGCCACATGTCCTCAACAGAGCTAGGAGGAGATCTAGCCCTGCCTCTGCCCTCCCCTCCCCCAGGAAGAAGGATGGGCTGATTCTGGAGCAGGAAGCAGCCGCTGAGAGGGTCAGGAGCCCTGGCCTGCAGGCGGGGAGGGGCTCTGAGGGAATCCCCTCTCCCTCCCCGTCACCCCACCACCCCCCACCGTCAGAAGGACAGGGTTCTGGTCACTCCCTCCACCCTTACCCAGAAGGCATCCTTGTACGTGGGGTGGGTGGAGGGGCGCTGCTGGCAAAGGGGACATGCTCCGTGGGGTGGAAAGTTGGCTCTATGGAGCTGAGTTGACAAGGGATCCCCAGATAAGCCATTGCCTTGAAAGTCTATTTTTCAATAATAATCCCATTTGTAGAGGAGAAACCCATATACTTCCCTGCAGAGTAAAGAGAATGCGCAATTGCTTTTGCTAAAGGGGGAAATAGATTTGGGTCTCTTCAGAGCTTCCTGAAAGCTCCCTGGGGGTTCCCAGAGTTTGAGGGTGAAACAGAAATCCCTCTAGGGCCAGGCCATATCTAAGCAGCAGCCCCTCTAAGGGGCCCGATGTCAGAGAGATGGTGGCAAACGGGGTAAGAAGCCCTGCGCCAAAGGTCTACTATGATGTATGCTGGGATGTGGGATCAGCATCACCATCTCCCGCTTGTGTCTGGGGCCCCAGCTTTACAGCATTGCTGTGTCAGGTTGCAGAGGTTGTGTACTGCACAGGCCTGGGTGCACCATTTACATAGACTCTGATGTGAATGGGCCCCTGGAGTTGTACCACTTAGGAAGCTCTCATCACATGGCTTTACACATGCTAGTTTCTCTGCCTAGAATGTCATTCTGGTAAGTTCCTACTCAACCTACAAGACCCAACTCAGAGTTCATCTCCTCCACGGAGTCTTCATGTCTTCCTCTTTGGCTCATGTATCATGCCCACACAGACTTCTGTTCTGTGACTTACTACACAGTGTTCCAATGATTTTTTTTTTTTTTTTTTTTTGAGACGGAATCTCATTCTGTCGTCCAGGCTGGAGTAGAGTGGTGTGTGATCTCAGATCACTGCAACCTCCACCTCGCGGGTTCAAGTGATTCTTCTGCCTCAGCTTCCCAAGTAGCTGGGACTACAGGCATGCACCACCATGCCTGGCTAATTTTTGTATTTTTAGTAGAGATGGGGTTTCACCATGTTGGCCAGGCTGGTCTCGAACTCCTGACCTCAAGTGATCCACCCACCTCGGCCTCCCAGAGTGCTGGGATTACAGGCGTGAGCCACTGCGCTCGGCCCCAGTGATCTATTTAAGTGTTTGTCTTCCCCACTCTTCTCAGAATCTTAACCTCCCCCATGTCCCTGCCTTCCTAGCACAGTGGCTAGAATATGGAGGCACGGAGTGAATAATGATGACTGAGTATTGGAGCTGGAAGGGCCTGTGGGGGATCCCGAACCCTTTTGTTGTACAGAAGAAGAGACTGCAGCCCAGGCAGGTGAAGTGTCTTTCACTTTTGCAGCAGATGGGAACATGCAGGATAGATTCAGGCAGTGATGAGCCCTCAGTACTGTGGACAGGGCAGTCTTACAGGAATGAGAGTGGTCTCTATTCTGAGAACCCTTGGAAACTGGGACCCAAACCTTCTTTTTAGTAGGTTACTCCCTCCTGTCCTCTTCTCTCTCTCCTCTCATTTCCATTGCTGGGTATTTTAAAGGCTATTTTGACTCTCTCTGTTGTAATAAGAAACTAGCAATTAACTATTATAAGGCTGTTTTACAATCGTGTGGAAGCCCCTTTTATCCACGTTGCTTTAAATGGTTACATCTTTTATCCCTAGTTTTCAGGAATATAAAACTTTACAGCGTTTGCTGCAAACCTTCATACTTTGCTTTGCGGTTTATTGCTCCCTCTGCAGATATATCTTTCACATAAATAAGACTTTCATCTGTACAGTACTGGGCTTCATCATTGCAGCTCCCTGTGATTTCATCAGTGGAACTTGGCCTTGGAGCACAAGGTGATTCACATGGAGCCCCCAGATCCCCTGTCCTCTGATCAGGGCTACAGCAACAACCCTGGGATGAAGGAGGTCATGGACTCCAGAGAGAGGGAGGCATGGTGCAGAGTCCTGGAGGGGGTTCCCCCCATTCACCCTGTGCCTGATCTGAGGTTTGGTTCCCCGGAGACACAGGTCGAGAGTGTCCTGGCTTCTCCCATCTTTGGGTGGAGAAGTCTTCCCTGGAGGTAGCTAGGGAATGGCAGAAATAGGCTTACTCAGAGCTCCCCGAGTCATGCCTGGGCAGAGGATGAACGAAGCTCATGGGCAGCCACTGCTCTGGCCATCTTGAGGTGCCAGTCTGAGGGGCAATCTGAGCAGAGGCACCATCTGGAACAGCCATGGTGGCAGGGAGGACCACACAGACTCCTGGGTTTGAACTGATTTTCTGTTTTACTGAATTTGGAGTGTTTGGATCAAACACAAAAATGGATGAATGAATAGCACCTCATATGGTGGCCATGAGAATGGCCTCCCCTGCACCCCCAACTACAGTGGGTGTAATGGATCAAGGACCCTAGCACTGCTCTGAAATCCATGGCAGCCCATGGCTGCTTTTGTGCCAAGGCCATGCTGCTCCTAGCCAGTGACTGAGCAGGACAGGGATGCTAAGGGAGGCCTATTCCTGGGAGACAGGGGACTCCTCTGAGGGCTGACAGGCTGGAGGACTCCCCAGTGGCCTTGCCAAAGCTTCCTTATGCTGCCTGGCAGTCTGGGAAGATCCTGCCCAAGCTTCCTTCCCTCCCTCCTTCACTCACGTCAGCACTGCATCGCTGTCTGACAGCTCTCACAGCCTTCCTTGGCTCCCTCCCCATTTCCCTCACAGGCTTTTGCCCTAATAAAATCCTTGCACATTTAATCCCGTCTTGGCATCTGATTCTCAGAGGACCTGGAATAGAGCATCTCTCATTTACATAAAGAGAGGACATTGTATGTATGAGTGTCACTGTTAGAGATTCTGTGTCTCCATATTGTTTGTGTAGATAGTTGTTAGGAAGACACAGAGACAGGTAGAAGTGGCGTGTAAATGTTTATTTGCAGTGCTGGAAGCAAAGGTGTATGTACCTCTAGGTATAGACATACGTAGGTGGGTATAAGTCAATAGCTATAAATATACTTTTAAACTTGTCATCCAACACTTGGGAATCAAATGCTAATTAGCTGGTGTTGTTATTATATATGTGGGAAGAGTAATGCATGTGTAGCTATAATAATAATCTAACATATACATCTTTATTTATACACATGATTTTACTTAATCCTCACAACAACTCTGAGAAGTTCAATTATGATTTCTATTTCACAGTTGAAAAATGGAGGCCAAGAGAGGTATTCCAGTAGCAAGTGGCAGAATCTGGATTCTTCTGCAGATAATTGTATGTATATTAAGCTAAACAATTAATGTGCATGCATAGAGAGGAACAGGTGGGATAGGTGGATAAAGTGTATGTATCTGAACATATGTGGCAGCTATGTGTGGACCAGCAAATAGATTAGGATATATAAACTTCTTCCTACAATCTTGTCTGTAACTCAGGACTGAGGATATGATTGTGTTTGAACCTGAGCTCAGACTGTGTTTGAACCCCAGCTCAGACTGTGTTTGAACCCCCAGTTCTGAAAACTTATTTCACTGCTCAGCAGTGAAAAACCCCATTGCCTCCTCTTATTCATCTCATCACCTGGATTCAAGGAATCCATGAGTTAGCTCTAGCACTTGGCATCGTCAGTAGCAGATAATGATGCATATATCACTTTGTGTTTTGTATAATTGTTCTCACGTCTTGTTTTCAAAACTAAACTGCTCTTGCTAAGATCAATACAGACTTCCTAGTTGTCCAATCCAATGGAAACTTTTCAGTGCTCCCTCTCTGTGACATTAACAGTGTTGAGCACACTCTCCCAAATCTCTTCTCTGTGGCTCCTTTGATGCCACCTTGTTCTGACTTTCTTCTCCTCTATCTGGGCGCCTCCCTCTCAGTCTCCTCTTGGCTGCCCTTTGTCCGTTCTGAGGCAGACACTACTTGTTGCCTACCTAACAGTTTTCTTCCCTTGCTCCTTTCTGATGGAATTCTGATTTTGGCCAAGCATCCCCCTTCCTCTGAGTGGCAATGGAGTTCCTGAGAGTTGAGCCCAGTCCTTGCAATGAATCCTGGTCAGTCTAAACTACCGGTTCTCAAAATGTGGTCCAGAACTAACAGCATCCACCTCAGCTGGGAACTGTTAGAAATTTGAATTCTTGGCCGGGCGCGGTGGCTCATGCCTGTAATCCCAGCACTTTGAGAGGCCGAGGCTGGTGGATCACAAGGTCAGGAGATTGAGACCATCCTGGCTAACACAGTGAAACCCCGTCTCTACTAAAAATACACAAAATTAGCCAGGCGTGGTGGCAGGTGCCTATAGTCCCAGCTACTCGGGAGGCTGAGGCAGGAGGACGGCGTGAACCCAGCAGGTGGAGCTTGTAGTGAGCTGAGATTGCGCCACTGCACTCCAGCCTGGGCGACAGAGCCAGACTCTATCTCCAAAAAAAAAAAAAAAAAAAATTGAATTCTTGAGTCTCTTTTGAGTCCTACTGCATTGAAAGCTCTGGGGGTGGAATCCAGCAACCTGTGTTTTAACCAACCCCAGGCCATTCTGATGCGTATTCAAGTTTGAGAACCACTGGTCCAAGCCAATCATGGTGAGTGAGTGGTCTCGTTCCCCTTTCCAGTAATTGGATTAGGCACGGATATGATAAAATTTTTGCAAATGTGAGATGAGAAGCTTGCTGGAGGAGAAGGTCTCAGAGAGATTTCTTTGCTTCTAGAAGAGACATGAAGAAGAGATGAGCCCTCTTCATCTGATGAACACTGTGGTGCCGACGTGGTGCCTGGGACTGTGGTAGCCAGGTTTGATAGTGAGGAACAGCCTACAGGCAAGCCAGCATGTTGAGAATGGCAGAGCAGAAAGATGGAAAGGGTCTTCTATGGGCCGAATTGAGTGCTCCCAAAAGGAATGTTGACATCCTCACCTCCAGCACCTCAGAATGTGACCTTATTGATATAATAAGTAAGACCATTGCAGATGTAATTAGTTACACTGTCTTACTCGAACAGGGAGGGCCCTGCATGCAGCATGACTGGTGTAACAAGAGGAGAGAGACACTCCAGAAGAGGAGGGCCGTGTGATGGCAAAGGCAGAGGCTGGAGGGGTGCATCCACAAGCCAAGAAATGCCAAGGACTCCTGGTAACGCCAGAAGGTGGAAAAGTCCAGGAAGGATTCTCCTCTGCCAGTTTCAGAGAGAGTGTGGCCCTGATGACACCTTGATTTTGACGTCTAGCTTCCAGAACTGTGAGAATACATTGTGGGTTTAAGCCATCCAGTTTGTGGGACTTTATTATAGCAGCACTGGGACACTAATACCAGGACCTCATGATCTAGAAACTAACCCTACAGACACCCTGGACTGAGACCGCTTGTTATGTGAAATAACTTTCCTTATCATTGAAGCTAGTTGAATAGCAGTATGTTTTTGTTTTTCAATTACTGGCTTGCTACAGTTTTCTGACTGATAACCCTTAGGTCTTCGTGTTCCTCAGGGTCTGCTCTTGGTCTCCTCTCTTCTAACTTTACAGCTGGGGAGACCTCATCCACTCTCACAGCTTCAGATACCACCCAATGGGCTCCTAACCCTCAAATCTGTGTCCCCAACCCAGACTGCACTGTTGAATTACATATCTAGTTTCTATCTAACATCGTCCCCTGGAGATCCCCCTCAAACTCAGCATGTGCGATTTCAATTTGCTATCAACCCCCTCCTACAAGCTGTACTTTCTATGTTTCCTGTTTCAGTGAATGTCACAACTACCGACTTAGGGGTCCCAACAACATACCTGGGTGTCATTCCATCTTTTTTCTCTCATGTCTAGAACATCCACAAGTTCTGGGTTTGTTTTTGGTTGTTTTGTTTTGTTTTGAGACAGAGTCTCACTCTGTTGCCCAGGCTGGAGTGCAGTGGCATGATCTTGGCTCACCATAACCTCTGCCTCCTGGGTTCAAGTGATCCTCCCACCTCAGCCTCCAAAGTAGCTGAGATTACAGGCATGCACCACCACACCTAGCTCATTATTGTATTTTTGTAGAGACAGGGTTTCGCCATTTTGCCCAGGCGCTGGTCTGGAATTCTTGAGATCAAGCGATCTGCCCACTGTGGCCTCCCAAAGTGTTGGTATTACAGGCATGAGCCACTGAGTCCAGCCAAGTTCTGTTGATTCTACCTTTTCTCCCTATTATCTGTTGCATTTATCCTCTCTTTACCATCCACATTTTTCCTGAAAGTCCCCATCATTTTTGCCTGGGATATAGCAATGCCTAACTCTAGCCTTGAACAATTCTCCATGTTACTGACGACTTAAAATGCATCTTTTAATGTTTGGTAGAATTCACAGGTGAAGTCACTTGGGTCTCTAATTTTCTTTGTAGAGATTTTTATTTTTTTAATTACAGATTCAATTTCTTTAATAGATACTGGAGGCCAGGTGCAGTGGCTCACCCCTGTAATCCCAGAGCTTTGGGAGGCCAAGGCGGCTAGATCACCTGAGTTCAAGAGTTCGAGCCAGCTTGACCAACATGGTGAAGCCCTGTCTCTACTAAAAATACAAAATTAGTCAGGCCATGCCTGTAGTCCCAGCTAGTTGGGAGGCTGAGGCAGAAGAATTGCTTGAACCTGAGAGGTGGAGGTTGCAGTGAGCCGAGATTGCGCCATTGTACTCCAGCCTGGGCGACAAGAGTGAAACTCTGTCTCAAATAAATAAATAACAAATAAAAAAATACAAGATTTCTCAAATTTTCAATTTCTTTTTGTGCCAATTTAGTAAGTTGTGTTGTATTAGGAGTGTGTCAATTTGATTTAAATTTTCAGAATCTTTTGGAATTAAATAGTTTGTTACAACATTTATAACTTTTTTTTGGATACAGAATCTCACTGTATCACCCAGGCTGGAGTGCAGTGGTGAGATCTTGGTTCACTGCAACCTCCACCTCCCAGGTTCAAGAGATTCTCTTGCCTCGGCCTCCAGAGTAGCTGGGATTACAGGCACACTACAGCCACCAGGCCCGGCTGATTTTTTGTATTTTTAGTAGAAACGGGGTTTCGCCATGTTGGCCAGGCTGGTCTCAAACTCCTGGCCTCAAGTGATCTGCCCACCTCAGCCTCCCAAAGTGCTGGGATTACAGGCATGAGCCACCATGCCCATCCTGTTATAACATCTTTATATTAGTTTTCCAAGGCTACTGCAAAAAAAAATCCCACAAACCGAGTGGCTTTCAAAAATAGAAATGTACTGTCTCTCAGTACTGGAGGCCAGAAATGAAGGTGCCAGCAGTGCCATGCTGTCTCTGAAATCTGGAGAGAAGACCTCTTCCTTGCCTCTTCCTAGCTTCTGATGGTGGTCGTCAATCTTTGGCATTCCTTGGATTGCAGCCATGTCACTCCAGTCTGCCTGTTGTCACCTGGTGTTCTCCTTGTGTCTCTGTCTGCTCTTTTTTTTTTTTTTTTTTCTGAGACAGAGACGAAGTCTCACTCTGTCACCCAGGCTGGAGTGCAGTGGTTCAATCTTGGCTCACTGCAACCTCCGCCTCCCGGGTTCACACCATTCTCCTGCCTCAGCCTCCTGAGTAGCTGGGACTACAGGCGCGCGCCACCATGCCTGGCTAATTTTTTGTATTTTTAGTAGACATGGGGTTTCACCATGTTAGCCAGGATGGTCTCGATCTCCTGACCTCATGATCCGCCCGCCTTGGCGTCCCAAAGTGCTGGTATTATAGGTGTGAGCCACTATGCCTGGCCTGCTCCTCTTCTTATAAAGCCATTAGAATATTGGATAAAGGCCCATCCTACTTCTATAGGACCTCATCTCAACTTGATTACATCTGCAAGGAACGTGTTTGCAAATAAGGTCACATTCTAAGATAGTGAGGATTAAGATTTTAACCTATCTTTCCTAGAGGACACAATTTAATCCATAAAAATCTTATTATAGTATCATAACTAATGCATTTATATCAAAATGCTTAAAGCCAAGAAAATCTTTTAAGAAGAATAACAAGATTGGAAGATGTACACTATTGGTTATCGAGACTTATTACATAATCACATGCAAACACAGGTAAATATACCAACAGAACAAAATAGAAAATCCAGAAGTAAACTCAAAACATACAGACACTTGATTTAGGTGAAGGTGGCACTGCACAGTGATAGTGAAAGGACGGTCCCTTTAACATACTGGGCTGCACATGGAGAAAAAAATGTATCTTGATCCGACTTCACATCGATCACAAACATCAATTCTAGATGACTGATACATCTAAATGCACAAATTAAAATGACAAAGTTTTTAAAAGAAACAGAGAATACTTTCATGATCTTATAGTAGGCAAATATTTTTTTAGCTGGACACAAAAAGCATCAACTATTTTGGTGATGTGTTACATTCACAGCCCTCAATGAAACACACCTGATTGTATTCACCGCCTTGTGTGGTCCCTTAAATCTGGGCTGGATTTGTGATTCTAATCAATAGAATATGGCCTGGCATGGTGGCGCATGCCTGTAATCCCAGCTACTCAGGAGGCTGAGGCAGGAGACTTGCTTGAACCTGGGAGGCAGAGGTTGCAGTGAGCCAAGATCGTGCCACTGTACTGCAGCCTGGGTGACAGAGCAAGACTCCATCTCAAAAAAAAAAAAAAAGAATATGGAAGGCTGAGAGTGGTGGCTCATGCCTGTGATACCAGCACTTTGGGAGGATTGCATGTGGCTAAGAGTTTGAGACCAGACTGGGCAATATAGCAAGACTCCATCTCTGCAAAAAATGAAATAGAATACAGCAGAAGTGCTGTTATTATGCTAGTTTCCAGCTACAGCTAAGGATTCAGGACCCTAGAGAGAACTCTTGCCCACTTTCCTGTAGGGCCTTTCATGGTAAATCCCATCATACCTGACATCCCTGTTTACTTTAGGAAGCTCCAGAAGTCCAAGCCTTTTAGACCACCTATTAGATCACTGGTCCAATGGATCACTTGTCTCCAAACTCCTGATTATATCTTCTAAGCTGACCCATTTCCCAGATCCCCCAAATGCTTTCACATCTCCTCTGGAGCTTCCAATCTATAACCAGTTAGCTCCGCAATATACTCATGTCTGTCCTCTGAGGACACAGTCTCCTCCGTAGTCCTCTCATGTAGTTCAGGGGTGAGCCCCCCGACACCATGTTACATATTTAACAAGTGCCTGGGTGATTATGCTGCTGTCAGGAATCACACCCTGAGAACCACCGCCCTTGATTCTGATCCTAATGCCTGCTTTACACATATCCTCAACTCTCTGGCTGGGAGGATCCCTTTCTATTGTATTTACCTCACAAAGCCACAACCTGATTGAGTCCATTTAGCCACGTTCTCTGCTCCCACATCTGAGTAGTTGAATGTTCTTGGAGAAAATCAAACTGAGGTGACTGGATTTACTATAAATTCACAGCCTCAAACCACAGTGGACACTAAACATGCATTGGCAAACCTACACTTCACTTTGAAGTATTTCTCACTCTCCAAATAATTCTTTTATTATTTCCCCTCTTTTTTTCAAACTTTCCACACCAGTCTCACTTTGCTTCGTGGTTAGATGACCTCATCCTTTACTCCTATAGAGAAAATAGGCGCCATTGCAAAGGAACCTCTTCCTCTTCCCGCCACCAAATCCACAGGCTGACCAGCTCCTTCACCCAGATTCTCACAGGCTAAAATGCCGGAAGGGGGATTCTTTTGAAGGCACCCCCACCTCTGGTGCTCTGAGCCCCACCCTTATTGCCTTCTCAAGGACTCTGCCCTGCAATTATCTCCCCTTTCCTCTGCATCATCGCCATGTTGCCCAGGCTGGTCTCGAACTCCTGGGATCAAGTGATCCGCCTGCCTCAGCCTCCCAAAGTGCTAGGTTTTCAGGTGTGAACCACCATCCCTGGCCCACATTTTTTTTTTTTTTTTGAGGATCTCACTCTGTTGCCCAGGCTGGTGGGCAGTGGCTCAACCATGGTTCACTGCAGCCTCGACCTCCTGGACTCAAGGAATTCTCCTGCCTCAGCCTCCTGAACAGCCATGTCTACTGCATCATCCTTACAAACCAACAGATTCTAGTGTCTCCTATCACTAAGAAAACACAAAACAAAGAAATCTCCCTTGAAACTGCTCCAAAGGGAAATTTGAAATAGCTTTTAATTTGCCTTTCCCACTTCTTCACTTTCAATTCTTTCTTTAACTTAGTCTGGCCTCAACACCCATCACTCCGTGAATCTGTCTTTGTCAAATTTACCAGTGGCTATATACAAATGGCCGATAAGCACATGAAAAGATGTTCAACATCAGCAGTCATTAGGGAAATGCCAATCAAAGCCACAATGACATATTTTTTTCATATCTATGAGGATGGTTCAAATAAAAAAGGCAGACAATAACAAGCAATGGTGAGGATATACAGAAATTGGAACTCTTATACATGGCTGTTGGGGGTATAAAAAGGGTGCAGTGACATTGTTTTTTGTTTGTTTGTTTTGAGACGGAGTCTTGCTCTGTCACCCAGGCTGGAGTGCAGTGGCACTATCTCGGCTCACTGCAATCTCTGCCTCTGGGTTCAAGTGATTCTCTTGCCTCAGACTCCGAAGTAGCTGGGATTACAGGCGCACACCATCATGCCTGGCTAATTTTTGTATTTTTCGTAGAGATGAGGTTTCACCATGTTGGCCAGGCTTATCTTGAACTCCTGACCTCAGGCGATCCACCAGCCTCGGCCTCCCAAAGTGCAGGGATTACAGGTGGTATGAGCTCCAGCACCTGACTAAGTGCAGCTACTTTGGAAAACAATTTGGCAGTTTCTTAAAATGTTAAACATAGACCTACCATATGACTTAGCAATTCAACTCTAGGTATATACCCAAGAGAAATGAAAACATATGTCCATAGATAAATTTGTATGCCAATGTTCATAGCAGAATTATTCATAATAGCCAAAAAGTGGAAACAACCCAAATTTCCAACAACTGATGCATGAATAAATAAAATTTGCAATATCCATACAATGAAATGTTAGTCATAAAAAGAATGAAATATTGATACATGCTACAACACGGATCCTTGAAAACATTCTACTCAGTGAAAAATGTCTGATACTAAAGGCCACATATTATATAATTCTTTTATATGAAATATCTAGAATAGGCAAATCTACAGAGGCAGAAAGTAGATTCGTGGCTGCCTGGAACTGGGATTAAGGAGAGTTGTGAGGAGGAGAAAGGGGAATGACTGCTAATAAGTATGAGGTTTCTTTTTAGGGTGATGAAAATGTTGCAAAATTAGATTGGGATAATGGTTGCACAGCTCTGTTATTATACTAAAAACTGCTGTTACTGTACACTTTTTTTTTTGAGAAAGGGTCTTGTTTTGTTGCCTAGGCTGGAGGGCAGTGGCTCAATCACAGCTCCCTGTAGCCTCAGCCTCCTGGGCTCAAGGGATCCTCCTGCCTCAGCCTCCTTGAGTAGCTGGGACTACAGGGTTCACCACCATTCCTGGTTAATTTTTAAAAACTTTTTATAGAGACTGGGGTCTCACTATA
Source organism: Homo sapiens (assembly GCF_000001405.40). Lineage (NCBI taxonomy): Eukaryota > Metazoa > Chordata > Mammalia > Primates > Hominidae > Homo > Homo sapiens. The sequence goes on from NC_000011.10 coordinate 114,010,518, forward strand.
TTGCCCAGGCTGGTCTTGAACTCCTGGCCTCAAGGGATCCTCTTGCCTCAGCCTTCCAAAGCACTGGGATTACAGGCATAAGCTGTTGGGCCTGGCCTACTGTACACTTTAAATTGATGAATTTTGTGACATGTGAATTGCCTCTTGATAAACTTGGGTTTTTAAGTTTTTTTTTCATTATTATTTCTTATTTTAAGAGACAAGGTCTCACTCTGTCATCCAGGCTGGAGTGCAGTGGCTCAATCATGGCTCACTGCAGCCCCAAACTCCTTGGCTCAAGTGATCCTCCTGCCTCAGCTTCCCCAGTAGCTGGGACTACAGGCATGTGCCACCACACCTAGCTAATTTTAGATTTTTTTTTTGTAGCAATGGGGTCTTGTTATGTTGCCCAGGCTGTATTTTTAAAAGCAATTGAAAAACCTTACCAGCAGGCTTCACATCGCCAATTCCCCTTTTCCTTATTCCACTCCCCTTGACCTTCCAGCAGGATTTGACAGTTTACCGCTGTCTTTTTCTCTTTTGCCTTCCATGAGCCCTCAGTCTCCTTTGTGGCTCTCTTGGCTGGAGAGCCCCAGGCTCTGTGTAGGACCTTCTTATCATCTCCATTGACACTTTATCACTCTGGGAGCCTATCCAATTCCATCCCATGACTGTAAACACCATCCGGATGCTGATGACTCAAAACAAATCTGAACATCTCCTTCTTAGTCTCAGATTGATCTATCCAACACGTATTCAACATCTCCCTATAGTGATCTCATAGTCATCTCACACTTAGTATGTTAAAATGTGAACTTTTAATTCCCATGCTCCCCACCGCACCACCAATTTTATTTCTACTCAAGGTTTCCTGTCCCAGTAAATGGCAACACTACTCACAAAACTGTCCAGTTCAACCTTGATTTATATATTTTCCTCCACCACTACACCCGATCATTCAGCATGCCCTGTCTGCTATATCCAAAATGCATCCCAAAGCCATCCACTCCTTCCCTTCTTTTTGACACTGAATTCAAACCACCCTCATTTTCCACCTGCAACAGCCTCTTAACCCTTCTCCCTGCTTCTACTCTTTTTATTACTTTCCCAGTAAGATCCCTCCTTGACTTCCCATGATGTGCCACACCCTTTCCTGCCTCGGACCTTTGAACATGATGTCCTTCTGCCTGAAAGGACTTAACTCTCTGTGTGGATGATGCATTTTCTTTCTTCCTCTCCCAGCTCATGTCACCTCCTCAGAGAAGTCTTCCCTGACTGTTCTTTCTACCTCCACCCCTCTCTCAGTTATTCTCTAACATATCATGCTGCTTTTTTCCCTTATGACACTTACCACAATCCATAATCATCCTCTGTATTCTACTTTTTATTTTTATTTTTTTCGAGATGGAGTTTCGCTCTTGTTGCCCAGGCTGGGGTGCAATGGTGCAATCTCGGCTCGCCACAACCTCCACCTCCTGAGTTCAAACAATTCTCCTGCCTCAGCCTCTCGAGTAGCTGGGATTACAGGCATGTGACACCATGCCCGGCTAATTTTGTATTTTTAGTAGAGACGGGGTTTCTCCATGTTGGTCAGGCTGGTCTTGAACTCCTGACCTCAGGTGATCTGACGGCCTCGGCCTCCCAAAGTGCTGGGATTACAGGTGAGCCACTGCACTCGGCCCTGTATTCTCCTTTTATCGGTCAACTAATTTCGTAAATATCTACTGTGTATCCTCTGTGCCAGGCACTGTGCTAGGAGCTAGAAGTAAAATGGTAAGCAAATAGACAAGATCTCCGTCCCGAGGAAGCATGTAACTTAGTGAGAGATATAGATAATCATCAAATAATCATACAAATGACAACATAGCCACAAACTCTGATCAGTGCTTGCAAGAAAAGCTGTTAGAGAATATAATACCTCATATTTACTGAGTGTTTATGATGTTCTGGATGCAGAGCTGAGTTACAACCTGTCAAAGTAGGGACTCATGATGTACAAGTTTACTCGTGAGGAAAGTGAGCCTGAGTGTAGATAAGGAACTCAGAGTCACATAGCTAGATGGTGGCAGAGCTGGGGTTCCACTCATGCGTGTCTGACTCCGCACCCCTGTTAACACGGTCTTGTCTCGCTACAGTCTTTCATCATTTTCCCCCTGTCTTTAGGACTCCTCTCTTCTTAGTCTCCATCATCATAATCACTCTTTTTGCTCAATCCCTAAGTGCTGGTGCCTCCTTGGCTTCTGTTTCCAGCCTTCTCTGCCCTGGGTGTCCCAGCTGGGCTGGAGCTGAAATCTGTACAGTAGTCACAAAGAGGTAGGCAAATTTTGGAGAGCAGTCTGGCACTACGTATCTAAATGACAAGCCAGCAGTTCGGCTCCTGAGATCCCAAAGCAGTTTTTACTCCAGACCTGGAGGATCCCTGGACAAGGAGAATCACAATGGCATTACCTGTGAGGGGGGCGAGGCTGCACAACCCGGGTGCCCATCACCAGGTGGGTGCATCCATCAGTATGTGTGGTGGCTGCAGTGTGGAGTACTCTGAGTCCATTGGAAGCAACAGATTAGATATGAACATGAACAGAGCTTAGCAGAAAAGGTAAGAAACAACAGTAGAGCCATAACAAAATATTTATGTACATTTAAAATGCATGTACCTTAAGACAAAAATGCATTCTAAGCCGGGCATGGTGGCTCATGCCTGTAATCTCAGCCCTTTGGGAGGTCGAAGTAGGCGGATCATCTGAGGTCAGGAGTTCGAGACCAGCCTGGCCAACATGGTGAAACCGCGTCCCTGGCCAGGTGTGGTGGCTCACGCCTGTCATCTTAGCACTTTGGGAGACTGAGGCAGGCAGATCACTTGAGGTCAGGAGTTTGAAACCAGGCTGGCCAACATGGTGAAACCCCATCTCTGCTAAAAATACAAAAAAAAAAAAAAAAATAGCCAAGCGTAGTGGCGGGTACCTGTAATCCCAGCTACTTGGGAGGCTGAGGTAGAAGAACTGCTTGAACCTGGGAGGCAGAGGTTGCAGTGAGCCGAGATCGTGCCATTGAACTCCAGCCTGGGTGACAGAGCAAGACTCCATCTCAAACAAAAAGAAAAAAGAAACCCTGACTTTACTAAAAATACAAAAATCACCCAGATGTGGTGGCACTTCTATAATTCCAGCTACTCAGGAGGCTGAGGCAGGAGAATTGCTTGAACCCAGGAGGCAGAGGTTGCAGTGAGCCGAGATCATGCCACTGCACTCCAACCTGGGCGACAGAGTGAGGCTCCATCACGAACAAACAAACAAAAAAAACAAACAGAGAACACATTTTATAAGAATATATAAAAGCAAAACCAGCCGGACATAGTGGTTTATGCCTATAATATCAACACTTTGGGAGGCCAAGGTGGGGTCACTTGAGCCCACAAGTTGGAGACTAGCCTGGGCAACATAGCAAGACCTAGTCTCTATAAAAAATAAAAACAATAGCCTGGCATGGTGGAACGCACCTGTGGTCCCAGATACTCAGGATATTGAGGAGGGAGAATGGATTGTGCCTGGGAGGTCAAGGCTGCAGTGAGCCGTGATCGCGCCACTATACTCCAGCCTGGGTGACAGAGTGAGACCCTGTCTCAAAAGAACAAAACCAAAACCAGAACCAAAACAAAAGCAAATGTACACACACAAAGTAAACCATATAGAATGGCTTCTTAGAGGAGACACAGGAACAGACATACAGTACAAATGGGTGCCCGTGTGTTCTACTTGCAGCAGCAGGCCTAGTTTATGAGCCCAGCATAATAAACATTAGAAACTTTTTTTTTTTTTTTTTGAGATGGAGTCTCGCTTCGTCACCCAGGCTGAAGTGCAGTGGTGCAACCTCGACTCATTGCAACTTCTGCCTCCTGGGTTCAAGTAATTCTCCTGTCTCAGCCTCCTGAGTAGCTGGGACTGCAGTTGCATGCCACCACAACCGGCTAATTTTTATATTTTTAGTAGAGACGGGGTTTCACCATATTGGTCAGGCTGGTCTCGAACTCCTGACCTCAGGTGATCCACCCACCTCGGCCTCCCAAAGTACTGGGATAATAGGCATGAGCCACTGCGCCCAGCCTCAGCATAATAATCATTAAATTGCCTCCTTTTCTTCTAAAAAGTGCTCTTGTTGGTAGGGTAAATATATGGTCACTGTAAATATGAAAAGAAAAGGAATAAAGAAATGAGAGATCTTACACAGACCTCACATTCTCCAGAGGTGACATGAACTGGGGACTACACTTAACTCAACTGTCTGCACCTGAGATCCAAATCAAAATAAAACAAACCACCAGAACTAGAGTAAGCAAAGAAAACACCAGCTCAAAAAACAAAACAAAACAAAAAAACAAAACAAAAAAACGCCAAAAAACAAAAAACAACAACAAAAAAACCACCACCAAGATTTACACAATACTTAGGTCTTCAAGTATCTGTTTACATGAACTGACTCACTTGGGTCGAAGATGGTTGGTGTATGGGGACAGGGACTCTAAGTATCCCCATCTGGATTCCAGGCACAGAAAGGCACATCAGGTGCACTGGAAGGGGGGAGGGGGGAGAGTGGGGGTAGCTGGCAGAGGACAAATCATAAGAACTTTGGAGCCTCTGGGAGAAAACGCCCCACAAAGGAGACTGGCAAGATGAGGTACATCCAACAACAGTGTCTGGCAGTCAAAGGAGGGCAGGGATCTAGGTACTGCAAGGCAGATGGTTTGGAGGAACCCTCAGAACCCAGTGGATGGCAGGTTGCACGCTGGGCTCTGAGGGTGGAGCTGAAGATCCACCATTATGCTGTCAGTCACTATGACAGCCTCCTAGCCAGCAGGGAGGAAGCATTCCTCTTCTGAACCTCCCAGAAGGCAGCCACGTGGCACCACCTGCACTGCCTGCAGCTTCTGTTGCACCTGGGGCAGAGCTACGCTTGGCTGCTGACACCTATGAGAAGGCAGGCATGGTGGACCTTCCGCAAAGGTGGGATCAGTCATTAACAACGGATTCACGAATGTGGGTGAAGGCTTTTTAAGATGTCAGGAGCTCTTGGGGAAGCATCTTTGCAAGGATCTTTGGGTGGGGAATCAGAGCTAATAAAATTGATATTTGGCTGGGCATGGTGGCTTACACTTGTAATCCCAGCACGTTGAGAGGCTGAGGTGGGCAGATTCACTCGAGGTCAGTCAGGAGTTCGAGATCAGCCTGGCCAACATGATGAAACCCTGTCCCTACTAAAAATACAATAATTAGCCAGGTGTGGTGGCAGGCACCTGTAATCCCAGCTACTTGGGAGACTGAGGCAGGAAAATTGCTTGAACCCAGGAGGCAGTGAGCCAAGATCACACCATTGTACTCCAGCCTGGGTGACAAAACAGGACTCTGTCTCAGGAAAAAAAAAAATTGATATTTCCCTGTGAATGTGCTAACATTTGTTCTTATGAACTGGTGAGATGAAGGGACAGCCAGCTGACACTGTCACAGTAAAAGCAACCATCTCTCACTTATTCTCCTCAAGCTAAAACCCAGATGTTTTCATAGACTCTCTCTCTCCTTCATCTTTCAAAATTAATTGGTTCTTAACTCCTGTTCAACTTTTTTTTTTTTTGAGACAGAGTTTCAGTCTTGTTGCCCAGGCTGGAGTGCAATGGTGCGATCTCGGCTCACTGCATGCTCCGCCTTCCGGTTTCAAGCGATCCTCCTGCCTCAGTCTCCCGAGTAGCTGGGATTACAGGCACGGGCCACCACGCCCAGCTAATTTTTGTATTTTTAGTAGAGACGGGGTTTCACCATGTTGGCCAGGCTGGTCTCAAACTCCTGACCTTGTGATCTGCCCACCTCGGCCTCCCAAAGTGCTGGGATTACAGGCGTGAGCCACCGCGCCCAGCCCTCAACTTTTTTGACACTTTTCTAATCTATAATTATTGTGTAGCTGTGGCTACTGTGCTTGTTCAAGCCCTGTCATTTCTCTCTTGATGTGACATTTATTTGTCAACTTGACAGAGCCATAGGTGTCCTGATATTTGGTTAAACATTATTATGGGTTTTTGAATGAGATTAAGATTTGAATCTGTAGGCCAGGCACGGTGGCTCACGTCTGTAATCCCAGGACTTTGGGAGGCCAAGGCGGGCAGATCACCTGAGGTCAGGAGTTCAAGACCAGCCTGGCCAACATGGTGAAACCCTGTCTCTACTAAAAATTCAAAAATTAGCTGGGCATGGTGGCGTGCACCTGTAATCCCAGCTACTTGGAAGGTTGAGACAGGAGAATCGCTGGAACCCAAGAGGTGGAGGTTAAAGTGGTAGTGAGCTGAGATCACGTACTCCAGCCTGGGTGACAGAGCAAGACTCTGTCCCCTACCCCGAAAAAAAGGATTTAAATCTGTAGACTGAGTAAAGCAGAGAGAGTGTCCTCCCTAATGTGGGTTAACCTCATTCCATCAGCTGAAGGCCTGAATAGAACAAAAAGGCTCACCGTCCCATGAATAGAGAGAACTCCTCCTGCCTGACTGCTGTGAGCTGGGACATCCATTGTTTTCTGTTTTTTGGATTTGAACTGAAACATCAGCTCTTCCTTGATCCTGAACCTGCTGGCTTTCTGACCGGAACTTGCACCAACAGCTCTCCTAGTTCTCAGGCCTTTGGACTTGGACTGGAATTACACCATCAAATCTCCTGGGTCTCCAGCTTGCCATCTGCAGATCTTGGAACTTCTTAACCTCCACATCCTGTGAGCCAATTCCTTATAATAAATCTCTTTATAAATATATACATCCATCCTATTGGTCTGTTTCTCTGGAGAACCCTGATACACTTGGATCACTGCAGTAGCCTCCTGAATAGTCTCCCTGTGTTACTAAGCCACTTGGCCTTCCACATTACTTTCAGAGTGATCTTCCCAAAACATAACCTGAATATGCGTTTTTTTGTTTTTTTTTTTTTTTGAGACATAGTCTCACTCTGCCACCCAGGATGGAGTGCAGTGGTGCGATCTCGGCTTACTGCAACCTCCGCCTCCCGAGTTCCAGCGATTCTTGTGCCTCAGCCTCCTGAGTAGTTGGGATTACAGGCATGTGCCACCATGCCCAGCTAATTTTTGTATTTTTAGTAGAGATGGGGTTTCACCATGTTGGCCAGGGTGGTCTCGAATTCCTGACCTCAAATGATTTGCCTGCCTCGGTCTCACAAAATGTTGAAATTATAGGCATGAGACACCACGCCTGGCCCTGAATATGACTTTTTTATGTCTAGCTCCTTTCAATGACTTCCCATGCTTCCATGATAACATCAAAACTCTTTGGCATCTCCACAAATTCCTTCATGACTAACCACTATCCTATGCCCTTCTCTTACCTCTGTCCACATGAATAAATTCCAGTCTCACTGAACTGCCAGCAGTTCTTCAAAAGGGCCTGGCCACCTCTTCCCTTTTGGAGTTTGCTCAAACTCTTCCTCCTGCCTGGAATGCCTGGGCAGGACATGGCCCATAGCTGGTCTACGGGCTTGACAGCCTGACTCAGAGCCTGCAAGGGCAACTAACTTTTATTCCAGTTCTATACACTGAGTTCAGGAGTGAGTATGACCAGGCTGTGTTGGAGAGTCAGGATCAGGTTTTCATTATGACCTAATGTATTGTGTGCAAACTGGAGCCTGCATACTACTCTAAGATGATCATGCACTCGGTGACCCCAGGTGTGGGGGTCTTTGGCAATAATGTGGCGTGGGTCATGTGCTGAATGTTCCAGCCTTGTGTGTAGGTATGGATATGTGTATATGAGTGTAAATGCAAGCAGATTTATCAGAAGCTAAGTGTCAAGGCCCCTCATTTGCACAAATCCCTTCCAAGGCCCTTAAAAGATGAATGTTTGGCTGGCCGCAGTGGCTCATGCCTGTAATCCAGCACTTTGGGAGACCGAGGCGGGCAGATCACTTGAGGTCAGGAGTTTGAGACCAGCCTGGCCAAAATGGTGAAACTCCGTCTCTACTAAAGACACAAAAATTAGCCAGGCGTGGTGGCAGGTGCCTATAGTCCCAGCTACTTGGGAGTCTGAGACAGGAGAATCACTTGAATCTGGGAGGTGGAGGTTGCAGTGAGGCAAGATCGCGCCACTGCACTCCAGCCTGGGCACCAGAGCGCTCCGTCTCGAATGTTTGCTGTATTTATTAGCTTTTTGTTTTTATTTTATTTATTTATTTTTTGAGATGGAGTCTTACTCTGTGGCCCAGGCTGGAGTGCAATGGCACTATCTTGGCTCACTGCGATCTCCACCTCCTGGATTCAAGTGATTCTCCCATGTCAGCTTCCCAAGGAGCTGGGATTACAAGCGGGCACTACCACACCTGGCTAATTTTTTGTATTTTTAGTAGAGATGGGGTTTCACCATGTTGGCCAGGCTGGTCTTGAACTCCTGACCTCAAGTGATCTGCCCACCTTGGCCTCCCAAAGTGCTGGGATTACAGATGTGAGCCACCGCACCCAGGCTTTATTAGCTTTTTAAAATGTGTAATTTGCTGACTTCGTTTTTCATTCTAAATAAATATTCACATTGTCCCTAATTGTATATTCATATTTGTATTATTCTTCTTGAAGAGGGCCCTTCATAAGCTTCATGCCCACAACACCTTGGAGAGATTCAGGCTTCCAGAAAACCTAATGTGACCCTCATTTACTCCGAAGCTCTCACTTGCACTGTCCTGGGAAAGGGTGTTGGCTTCTCTGCCATGCGTCCCAAATCAACTGGCTTCCTTCCCAGTCTGTAAATAAGAAGCCTTGCTTGATTGACCCAAGTGGGGCCTGCACCTGATCTTTCTCTCAATCCTAAACTAATGTGGTCATATAGGACTTCAACATCTGAATTTGAGGGGCACACAATTCAGCATGTCACATAAGTATCATCTCCATTTTATATGTGAGCAAACGGAGACCCAAAGGGGTTCAGTAACCTACCCCCCTACCCCCCCAGTCAGGTAGTTGGCTGAGGAACTCTGTCTTCTGATTCCAAGTCCTGGTGTTTTCTGCTACATTCCAGTCTCGAGGGTCACAGCCCTGTCCTCTGATTCTTTCCAAGAGCTCTCTGTCCTCACTGTCATCTTCCTGCCATTTCGTTTCCTGCAAAGCAATATATCTCTAGATGCTATGTGAACCCTGGTAACCGTGTAACTGGAGGATACATATTGGAGGCCGCATAATTGGAGGGCATGGGGCTGGGAATTCCTAAGCCAGCCCTGGCAGCTGCAGTAGCAGGCAGGGGGGCGCTGAGCTGCAACAGAGAGGAGAGGTTAGGGGCGCACACCCTGCAGCCAAACCAGCCAGGTTCACATCTTGCTCACTCACCTCCCACTGTGTGGCCAAGGCCAAGTTACTCAGCCCCTAAGTGTTTCAGTTTTCCCATCTATAAAATGGAGATAATAACTGTACCCAGTCTGTTTATTATTTATTGAGATGATTAAATGAAGAAATATGTGAACAGTGCCTAGCACTTAGATGTCCTGAATGAATGAGAGCAATAATAATAATAATTAATTAATAATTATTATTGGCTGGGCATGGTGGCTCACACCTGTAATCCCAGCACTTTGGGAGGCCAAGGCGGGAGGATCACTTGAGGTCAGGAGTTCGAGACCAGCCCGCCCAACATGGTGAAACCCCATCTCTACTAAAAATACAAAATTAGCTGAGTGTGGTGGTGAGTGCCTGTAATCCCAGCTACCCAGGAAACTGAGGCATGAGAACAGCTTGAACCTGGGAGGCGGAGGTTGCAGTGAACCCAGGTCGCACCACTGCACTCCAGCCTAGGTGACAGAGTGAGACTCCATCTCAAAAAAAAATTATTATTAGCAATAATGATTATTGCTATCATTCTCTCTAGGGATAGAGTTTCCTTAGTTCCACGTTTTCCCCATTGGGTTGAATTAAATCACTCTGAGGCAGTGGTCTTGGTTTCCTATTGAAAACTTATAGCAGGGAAAGAAAGTCAAAGACAGACAGATGTCTGGACTACACCCAGATCTCAGGGAAAGAAGATACTTGCTTTCACCTTTGAACAACAAGGTTCAAGGAGACGCAAGGTCCTTGGGGTTTCGGGCTGGCAGGGCCTCCGAGGCCATCCTCCTGCCTCTGGGCAGCTGTTTTGGAGAGGCTCTGCTAGTAGGAGGCCCTAAAGAGCCAGGTGACGGCGGGTGGCTGCCAAGAAGCTTTACGGTGTGGCATGATAGCTCCTCTCTTTCAGGACCCACAAAGGTCAAAGTCAGTCCCCACCTGCAGGGATAGAGAGATGTGTGCGGGGAGCATCTGGGTTTCCCAGCCTCCTGGGTCCCACTAACCGGGAGGCACGAACCTCGAACCCATCAAGCACAGGGTTTGACATAAACTCCAGTGCTGAGCCCCAAGGGGCTGCTCTGTACAGAGTCCGCAGTGAGCCAAAAATGGAGAGAAATACAACATCGTGCAGCTCATTCCTGGAGCTTGCCTGCCTCCACCTTCCCCATTCCCACAACCAATGGAGTAGCTTGGCTAACAATTAAATACAGTAGCAATTTAAAACTGCCCTGAGGTGGGAGCCCCCATGGGTTGAACAGGCTGCTGTTTACTCTGGCAAGGCTCAGCTCCTCAGCCTGCCCTGATGCTGGCACTGAAAACTCCCCCATAAAACACCCTGTTAAAGAAGCTCTAGGGCCCAGCGAGCCAGGCTTGTGACTGGGGCCTCTGTCCTCAGATCTTCTCCCCTGGTTCTGGAACCCAGCATACTCGGTGCTTGCTTTACCCCATGTCCCAGGGGCCCTGTAGATTTACAGGGGACCCCAGACCATCTGTAGGACCTCCAGACTTCCAGGTGGACAGATTTCAGAGCATTGACAGAGATCCTACCCAGGCACTCTGCAGAGGGAAGCCAGCTGTGGTGGAGGGGAAGGAACACTAGACTGGGGGCCAGAAGCCTCCAATTTCCATCCTGGGCCTTTCACTTACCAGCCATGACCACTGAAGTCAGTGGCTTCAATGTCTGGTCCCTGAGCAGCAGCATCTGCATCACTTGGGAACTTGCTGAAATGCCGGTTATCCACCCCTGACCTACTGAGTCAGAAACTCAAACTGGAGCCCTGCACACTGTGTTTTAACCAGCCCTTAGGGCGAATCTAGTGCACACTCAAGTTGCAGAGCACCCTGCGGTCATTTTCCTTGTCTGAGACTTACTTTCATTCATCTGGTAAATGGGAAGAAAAAGTCTGTTTGCAGGGTTGTTGCGTTAAATAGGGAGACAGCATGAAGTTCTTGGCACCACATCTTGTCACACAAGGGGCTCTGCAGTGTTGGCTGTAGTGGAGGGTTGAGGATCCAGGGTGCACCCGGCACCTCAGCCCTTACTCTCTTTCTGTGGAGGAGGGAGACCTCTCATGTGGCTCAGGCTTTGAGGGATTCTAAAGCCAGACTCCATCTCAGCAAGGACCAGAGACACTGAGTAAGCAGGTGCCTCCAAAGGTCTTACTAAGCCACAGGTAGGAAGGAAAAAGAAAGAAATCAAAACAAAACCAGGTAAGAGATCAGAAGAAGACAGGAGAAGGTGGCCAGGTGCAGTGGCTCATGCCTGTAATCCCAGCACTTTGGGAGGCCAAGGCAGGTGGATTGCTTGAGGTCAGGAGTTCGAGACCAGCCTGGCCAACATGGCAAAACTCTGTCTCTACTAAACATACAAAACTTAGCTGGGCATGGCGGTGTGCGCCTGGAATCCCAGCTACTCATGAGGCTGAGGCAGGGGAATTGCTTGAACCTGGGAAGTTTAGTGGGGGTTGCAGTACACTCCAGCCTGGGCGACAGAGACTCTGTCTAAAAAAAAAAAAAAATAGAAGACAGAAGGCGAGAGTGAGAAGACGAAGTTGTGACTGGTAAACCTAAAATGGCCATAGACAATTATTTAGTTGACTTTGGTGCCAATGGTCATCTACTTGTGGAAATCCCTGTGGCTGTGGACTTGTAACCAGGTAGAAAGGCTTCTTGTCCATGTTGCTGCTTCCAGACAGCACAGTATCTAACTCAGCCTGCCACAGCCTCCTCATCTTGCCTGCCCTTTTGTTGAAACACCCTTGTTCCTCATCTGTGCCATCAACAAGTGTTGATTAGGCACCTACTGTGTGCAGAGTGCCAGCAATAATAAAACACACTCACTTCCCTCTAAAGCAGAGGGGTCCAATATTTGGCTTCCCTGATTACACTGGAAGAAGAAGAATTATCTTGGGCCACACCTAAAATACACTAACGCTAATGATAGCTGACAAGCTAAAAACAAAAAAAAATCCTCCCAAAATCTCATAATGTTTTAAGAAAGTTTACGAATTTGTGTCAGGCTGCGTTCAAAGCTGTCCTGGGCCACATGCGGCCCATAGGCTGTGGATCGGGCAAGCTTGCTCTAAAGTATTACAGGCTGGTAGCCCGGGAGGAAAAGTGTGTTCTGGCACCAAAGACAACCCATGTCTCTCACCTGGAGATGCACTGGTAACTGAATGACTGTGGGGCATGGGCGTGGCCCTGGGGGATCTTTAGACTTTTGTGAGAAAGAGAGGAGGAGAGAGGTGGGTAGCCACATGCACATGGGTGGGCTGCAGACCCCCAAATCTCCTGGAAGACACGGACAAGACAGGTGACATGGCTGCTAATTTTATGCTTCAGCACCTGGCTCTCCCCAGTCATTAGGGGACAACTACATCCCACGGGCAATGGGAACCCAGAAACCTAGAACCCCAAGGCAGGCTTGGGCCTCAGATCTTCACCTCAAGCGTCCATCCTTCTGCCTCGGGGCAGGACTGCTCTCGAACAACCCCTAAGTCTGCTCTCTTCGCTAATGTTCTTCAGAACCTTCTCAGTTTGAGTGCTTCTAACTACATAAAAAACCATTAAAGTAGCTACTATTTATTATCTACCTCATGCCAGGCACTGTGCTATGCATGCTGCTTAGCACACCTATTATCTGTTCAATCCTCATCATAGCAAGGAAGGAGCAAGCTATTCATCTTTGTGTTTACAAGTGAGAAAAACTGAGGCTGATGGAGGGCGAGCAACTTACCCGTGGGCACACGAGAAGGAGCAGGTCCAGAATATCAGCTTGGTTCTGATTTCAAAGGTCTTTCCACAATAAGCTACTAAGGATTCTCCTATATTCACCACTTGTTCATTTGTTCAGTTAACATATATTTTACTTTTATTTATTTATTTATTTATTTATTTATTTTTTATTTTTGAGGTGGAGTCTCACTCTGTCACCTGGCTGGAGTGCAGTGGCGCAATCTCGGCTCACTGCAACCTCTACCTCCTGGATTCAAGCGGTTCTCCTGCCTCAGCCTCCCGAGGAGCTGGGATTACGGGTGCCTGCCACCACGCCTGGCTAATTTTTGTATTTTTAGTAGAGACAGGGTTTCACCATGTTGGCCAGGGCTGGTCTCGAACTCCTGACCTCAAGTGATCCTCCCACCTCGGCCTCCCAAAGTGCTGGGATTACACGCGTGAGCCACTGCATCCGGCCTCAGTTAGCATATATTTTTGAGCACCTACTATGTGCCAGGCATTGTGCTGGGCACTATAGCTGAACTGAGTTCCTTCTGCTTCAGTATAAGCTAGCTATTTCTTATCCTTCTTATTAGGGAAAAAGATAAAAGTGGACTAATGAGTGATTTCCTCCATTATTTAGGGAGTTGAGTCAAATAAGGTAACACGAAAAACCTGAAAAAATGGTTTTGGGTCCTTGATTCTTTCTGTCTGTTGCTCCCGTGCATCTCTCCACCAGTTGGGAGAAAGATCAGCGTTATCTCTGAATGTATGGGAGAGCCAGGGGAAGGTCTTCAAGGGCTGGGACAAGCAAGTATCCTGCAGGGCCCACTCCTGGTGCCTGGAGGTATGTGAGATGTAACTTTATCCAAGTTTATCTAGATATCCCTCAACTAAGGGGTGTCCTCAGTCCCTTCCCTTCCCCCATTCTACACACACACACACACACACACACACACACACACACACGCATCTGTTCTGATATGGTCTAGGAGCTCCATCAAGGGCAATCTCGATTGACCCAGAATCATGGGTCCTTTGGTGCTGGGGACACGTCACAGGTTTGCCCTGCTATCTGCTGCTGGGGAAAGTTTTGCATTACCTTTCCTCTGACACTACCACTTAAGGGCTGCTGTTGGTCATCAAGAAACCCCAGGGGCTGCTGAATAACTAGGGGTAAAAATAAGGAAGTCAAGAGGGGACAAAATGGCAGATGTGTTTCTCTTAATGCCACAAAGACCTGCAGAACTGGGACTTGTTAAAGAAGACTCTGAGTGTGTCATTGTTATGGAAGCAGGCTGGCTTGGCCATGGACTGTCTTACAGGCTTTTGGAGTTGGCCTGGGAAGAGGGCATGGTGGGCCTTGGTTAGACTGCCATTTCCACACTTGCTGTCTGCTGAGGATGGCTCCTCTCTATGCTGGATGGACCCAGGAGGGGACAAATCAATGAACTTTCTGGTGATTGACAGTTCACCCCTCCCTAGGCTGCCTGGTTCCTAAATTAAGGGGACAAGATTGCTCAGGATCCCACTGATGGGTTAAAAGTCTTCCTTCCCTTCCTGTAGAACAGTGATCAACTTCCCCCTAGGCTCTTAAAAATTATAAAATTCAAAGGGAGGCAGTGGAGATCCTGGCGGCCATGACTGTGCTGTAAGAAAGGCATTTAAGGGGAAAGGCTCAGTAAAGGGCTTTAATAAAGGAACCTCTCTCTGGAGAACGAAGCTCAGCTGATGAACTGAACAGAAGATGCTCTTGGCATTAGGCCTTTTGGAAATGTCTGTTGCTGTAAGCCCCAGATCCTGGATTCTATGGAAGCTTAGAAAAGACAAAGAACTGTGGGTTGGTTGTATGTGGACACTCATTGCAATGCCTTTGCTTCTGTGCCTAGAGCGCTTGACTCCATTTATTTATTAAATAGCCATGTATGAGGCACCTAATATATGGCACGTGCTAAACAGCTAGCCTGTTCCCTCAGGCTCTGATGTGTCAACTCTGTAAACTTTCTCCCAGGAGGAGGGACTTGGGAACTTGTGTCTAACTTCGTTCTCCCTGTCTGGCTCTCTGTATTTATGTTTCTCACTCTCCACATCTCACTACAAAACTGGTGAGATCTGAATAAAGTCTGTGCTTGAGTAATGGCATTGTGCCAATGTTAATGTCCTGGTTTTGATAACTGTGTTATGGTTATGTAAGATGCCAACTTCAGGGCAAGCTGGGTGAACAGTATGTGGGAATTCTCTGTACTATTTTTTCAATGTTTCTGTAAGTCTAAAATTAGTTCCAAATAAGTTAAAAGTCTCCCTAAGAGTCTTGTCAACTCTCCTTTTCCATCTCTCTCTTGGTGTTGTCATTCCATCTGTCTTTCTATCATCCTTTTAGTCTCTCTTTGCCCTTTCTCTCTGCCTATCTCCCTTTCTCAGTTTCTGTCTCTGTCCTTCATCTCTCCTTCCCACAAAAATCTGCTCTCCTCCCACGTGAACATCTAATCAGTCAACAAATTTCTGTTGATTAAACTTCCTGAATAGCCGTCAGCTCTTCCCTTCTTTCTAGTCCCACTTCTAAGGCTCCTGGATCATAGCATTACTGCCTATACTTACAGTCACCCAGATACGTCCAAGAGCCCCTCATTGGACTTCCCACCTCTTGTATGGGCTCAGCTAGTTCATTCTCTACCCTCCTGCAGTTCCAATTAGGTCTCTTCCACAATTAACACCATCACTGGCTCTGTGTTGCCTACTGAAAAGTGCCCAACCAAGCTTCATCATAATCAGGTCCCTATTTCCCCAGCGTCCACTCTCTCCACCAGTGGCATAACTAGCTCAAATGAGTCCCAAAGCAAAGCCCAACAGGGAGTGGATTCTGTTCTGCAAGAACAGTGCTTCTTTCTCCTGAAGGCAAGAAGGTGGGTTTGCATATAGAAAAGTGGGCTGGGTATGGAGGAAACCAGAGGAAAGCCTAGAGGGAGCAGAGAGGGGATTTTATTTCAGTACCTGCAGGGGGAGCCTACCAAAGAGAAGGAAGGAATCCTGTAGGCCACTGTGGTCATGTGGTCTTTGCGGTCTGGTTGCTGCTGTGCAGAGACTACAAGTGATGCTAAAGCAGCCTGTGTCTTCCAGGTGGATAGGAAAATAGTCTGGGGTCACAGCAGAAAGTGTGGCCTCATCCAGCCACACCAACACCTTGTCCCTTTCAGCTGCCAGCTTTCAGCAATGCCGCCTCTAGCCCTGTCATTGAAATGAGCTCACTGCATATGCTTTAAAAGCTCACAGTTCCTGTGCAATGCAGAGGTTGCATATTCCTAGTTTCATAACTGCCTACCCCCTCCTCAGTCTTTTATGTTTCAACAACACCCAACACCTCACAATGTAGTAGCCACTGGGGGCAAGTATTGATAGATTTGTACACATGAATTCAATGAATATTTAAAGGCTACCTCCAGGGTGGGTAGGAGTCAGTTTGTATAGATTCCCGGGCACCTACAGCAAAGTAGATTCCAGCAGCTTTGAAGACAGTCAATCTACAAAGGGACACAGGTGCTGGCTACTGGGAATGAGCACACGCCGGGAGTCCGTGCACATGAAAATGGCAAAGGGATCTGAGGGGATATTGACAGAGCAGGACCAAATCTGCTATAAAAAGGAGGTGTTTCAATTCTAGAGAAGGAGGTCCAGAGAAGACCTCCTTGAGAAGATGACATTTGAATAAGAACCTGCAGGAAGTATGAGCCAGCTATGCAGGTACTCCTAATTTCCATTGCAGTGCCTGGCATGTAGCATCTACTCCATGTTGTTTGTTAAATAGCTGAATGAATGGATGAACAACGAACGATGTTTCATGTTTGCTTTCACTGGCATGAGAAGGATTCCAGGCTCCTGGTCCCTACCTTGAGATCGGATGCTGGAGCAGGTGACTTGTACCAGCCAGGAGGTCCAGCTGCAGGCCTCTTGCATCATCTCTCCTGCTGACCTCGCAGAGCCGGGAGAGAAATTTGCATTCCAAGTCCCACAGCATCCTGGTGAAGAAAACACTCCAAGTGTTGGAGAGTTGCAAACTTGCTGGGTGCGTGTGGGCTGCCTCAGGAGCAACAAATGAGCCTGTGCAGATGGTGCTGAGATAAACGGCGCCATCTTTTTACTGTAGCAGTACAGTCGTAATTTTCCAGAGACATTTATTAGGTGGCGTCTCCCTTCTGCGGGACTGTGCTGTGGCTGGCGTGTAGAGCTGTTGCAAGCAAGGTGGAGCACGGAACCCAGTGCTAATGGCGTGATGGGCACCCAAATCTCTCCCATTCCTTTCCTCTCATTCTCGAGTCTGACAATTTATAGGTTAGTTTGATGCTTGAAAAGCTGTGTCTCTCTAGTAATATGTATTCTTTGTAAGTATGCCCTGCTGTGGCATATACTGAAAGAACTCCATCGGATAATTATCTTCCCTTTTATTTATTCTCCTTCTTTTCACTTGATCTGCATCACTATAAAATATTCCAGTGGTCTCCTCTGAGTAGAAAGTCTTCTTCGTGATTGTAAAGTGTATTTATATACAGTATTAAATGCACACTAGGTGGCTCTTCATCACAGCACTTGCCTGATGAGACAGAGCTCTGTCCGTGGTGGGGTTGACGAGGTCCCACTATTTCCAGTTGGGAGAGGGAAAGCTGGGGTTTTTGAGGCCACTGGCTTGGCCACAGGCCCCAGTGGTATGGAGAGACCATCTCAGGAGCCTATGTTTAGCTTTAACTTCCCCTCAACACACCTTGACTTGGAGAAAGCAGCCATTCCCCCACTGCCTCTGGGATCTTTGCCCAGAATCCCCAGGGAGCCTCCTTTGCCATGGGAGTCTTGGTCCAACTTGGTCCAACTCCCCACTCTTCTCAGAATCTAGAGAAAGTGAGAGCTCACTAGTAGACCACAGCATCTGTGTCTGGGTCCTGGTGACTTGCTTGCTTTAGTGTCCTCCAGCCCTTTCATGTGCACATTGCTTCTCTAACTAGACAGAAAGCTCCCTGTGGACAGGCACAAGATCATCCACCTCTCTTGATTTCCCCAAAGCCTTAAGCACAGAGTTGGGTGATCAACTTACGATGAGCAGTAAATAGGTATTGCCTTGAGTCCCTTTCTAGGAAGCACTGGCGGATTAGGTCCTTCATTCCATGTCCTTGATGCTCATATTAACTTGCATATTTAATACACGGCTTTGTCAAATATTTAAAAGTCTCTTCAACCAGATGACAAGCCCCTGTAGCATCTTACAATCTCAGAACTGGAAGCCTCTTCAGGGGTCCCACTGTCCTCCTTACATCCAGTGTATGACTATGAATCCTGGAATTTCTTTTGCTCTTTTTTTTATTCTCTCAATGCCCAGATTATATAACTGGAATAAAAAAGATGCAAAAAATAATCTAGAAAGAAAACGTACTTAGAGTCAAGACACCTGGGTTCTAGTCAATTCCTTCACAGAGTCACAGAACCTTTCTGGCCTTTATTTTCCTCATCCATAAAATATGGAAATACTTATAATCTTACAAAAGCTAAAGATCTAAAGGTCTTTTGGCTCAACCTTCTGCTCCCAGATGGGTATCTGTGTAACCTGGAAAGGCTGCCAGAGGGGGGATCTCAACAACTTTACTTAACAACTTTACCTGTGTTCTTACCTAGGGTTTAACCACCCTGGAGTTAAGAATGTCATCCTTTTGCCTCTATGTCTTGCTTGTAGTTCAGGCAGAATCTCTGTGTTCCTCAATTGCTTACCAGGGAGAGTGTAGGTATTTCTCCTTCCACCATCTGGAGCTGAGAAGGGGAAGTTTAGAGTGAGGGCTGGGTGTGGACCTTCCAGGGGAAATAGTTCTCCATCCAGCTTTGCATCAGGAACACCTGTGGAGCTTTCAACACCTGCACAGGCCAGGGGCACATCTTGGATCCGTTGGATTGGAGCCTCTGGGGATTGGGTCCCTGCGTCTGTGTTTTTCAAGACTGCCCCCAGTTGATTCTGAAGCTCCAGCAGAGTTCAAGGGCCATGTGGGGATCCTATGGCCCTTCTCCCTCACCCTCTACCTCTGTAGGTAGGAATTGGGAATACCTTTGGGGTCTCAGCTTCTATCACTGGGTTTGGTGGTAGGAATTATAAACAAGGCAGATAATAGACTCCACTTCAGGACCACTAGACTCCACTTCAGGACCACAGCAGCAGCTGAGTACCACAGCCTTGGGACAAACCAAGGGCAGCAGAGAAAGTCGAAAACCCAGAATGGGGCTGAAAAGGACCATGGTGATCCTGTATCCTGGCAGCACTGCCTGGAGAAGCCGTCACCCACACCAGCTGCCTGGCAAGTTGGGTTGATGCAGTGCTTCCTCTCCTGGTCACCTGTGGAGTATACTTTTCTGATGTCCATCTCACTCAGGTTCCCAAGTGCATACAGGCTAGCTGCTAAGATCAGGTAGGTTCCCTGCCTTCTAGAAGCTTAACATCTATAGCAATGCCCCATCCTTCATCCTACTCCCAAGCCTCAGCCTCTGCCTTATGTAGAGAACTTCTCAATGCCAAAGCTCCTGAGGCCTCTCTCCTATAAACCCTACTGTTGAGTTTCCATAGCCTACCCAAGATCCCTGCCTTCCAGATGAGGCTGAATGTGCCTTAGACCACAGTAGGAAAAGGGTCTTTGTCCTAGCTCTTGAGGAAGGAGGGACATGGCCACTCATGGTCATCCCTTGCAGGGTTTCACATTTTGGGCCAGACCCCTCTTCTACACCTGCCTCTGGGTCTTACCTGGTCTCAAGACCTTCCTAACTCTCCTCTGTACATTTTTGGCCTTCTTGGCTTCTCTGACCCAAGCTTCTCCCATTGTCTTCTTGACTTATGCAGATATTCCTTATTTCCAATCTCCTCTCCCACGTCTCAGCCTGCCCCCTTGGCCTCTCTCTGAATGCGGGAAAGTTTAGCACAGGGAGTGCCAAGTGGGGTTTCCCATCTCTTTCGGAGTACTCTTCTGGAAAGGAAATTTCTGAGCTCTCCAAACCACAGCCTGGGGCATTGCCATGGGAGGTGGCCTGATGGATGAGAGGTGCCCTGGCACGGGCATCTTCTAGGGAGATCCAGGGTCTTGAAGCATTCTCTCTTGTCACACCTGGCTTGACCTGTTCCCAGGAAGTTCCCTTTCTACAGCCAACCATTCTCCTCTATCTTATCCAAGGCTGGAGGGCCAGTTACAAGCTCCGAAAATGAGCTGGGAAGAAATGCCTTTCCCCCTGGCATTGTGGTGTGCTCTTCTCACCCAGGGAACCTTCCAGGCACCACTGAAAGTTCAGCAGCAGCTGTTCGGCATTTACATTTTACACAGTGCAAGGTTATTTGACTGCCAGGATTCGATCCTCTCTAGTTAATAACCTTGACTTATGGAATAATAGCAGCAATGGCTCAGTTTCTTTTCCTGCCAGGGATTCCTGCTGCTGGGAGTGGTGGGTGAGCATAGACCCCGCTCTCCAAGACCTTCTGTCTTCTTGTCCTTCAATGAAGGAGACCCTGTAGGACTGGAGAAGTATGCTCAGGTCTGCTACGAGCATCTCCCGTACGTCCTCTCTTTGCTTAACAAGCCTCCTTAGAACTAACTGGTCCCCTCCTTTGGGCACACCTTTCCTGACTCTTGTCCTCCTTAGTCTGCAGCAAAGTAGAATGGGCTACAATCTTGATCCTTCTCCTCTCTGGGAGTACTTCCTGGCAAGGGTTAACTGTGTGTATAAAATTGATTGCGATTTTAGTAATTCGGTATAATCACAGTCTACCAGCAGGTTGCTTTTCCAGCAGGAGGGTTTGGAATTATTTTCTGGAGTTTGCAATATAGAACTTAAATTAAGCCTCGGAAGTCAGGGGAGCTCCGCAGCATCCCTAATGCGGTGCTAAATTCTCAGCAGCACAGTCTCCGTGTTAAAGCCTTCGCTGGCAATTAGGTTCATTAACTATCACAATACCTTATTTATTACTCATCGTGCCATATGGTTTCCCAGCTAAAGAATGGCGCCCGTTCTCCTACAGACCATTTGGCATCATAAAAATGTTAACAAATAATATTATGGCTCTCGGGGGCACAAGGCCTCGCTGGGTTCTGGGTCTGAGCGGCGGGAGAGAATATGAAAACATTTTTCTTCTATGGCGAAGTAAAAAATTCCTCAAGACAGAAGTATTCAAAGAATAGAGCACTTGCATAACATAAATGGGAGTTTTATTTACCCTCATAATGGTTATGTCAATATTTGCATCAGCTGGGACTGTCACTCATCTTCCTCCCCGCTCTCTTTTGGGGTTGTTTTCACTTTCATCTTTCCCCTCTTACTTCTTTATTTCTGTGGCATGAGGTCAATCTCAGCCCACACCACCCCAAGGCCTGGGGGTTTGCTGCTGATGGGGTGATGGATGCGCTCGGGATTCTCCCAATTCATCTGCTCCTGGGGTCCATCATAGCCCAGCCCCCTGGCCCTGGCAGCCTGCTGGGTTCTAATCCCTCCTCAGGGCTTTGTCTCCCTGTTCTGCCTTCTTCAGCCGGTGTTTTCAGTAGAAACTGGAAATGGATGCATGTGCCAATGTTGCCCTGTGTTGAGCAACGCATTCTGCTGCCCAGGCCTTGCCAGTCCTCCCACTGTGGAGGGTGGGGCCGGGGTGGTCAGAGCAGGAAGAGGAGACTTCAGGAGGGGTGGAGAGATGCACCTCCTAGGGCCAATCCGACAAAGCCATCTCAAGAGGACGAAGCATCTCCCTGTCCTTTATCCCCTGGATGTAGAAGTGCAAGGCATTTGCCTTGGGGCTACAAGCAAAGAACTACAGCAGGAACTCGGGGGGCTCTTTAGTAAGCAGGTCCTCCAGCTGTGAGGGGCTCCCCTCATCTCCCAGCTGCAGCGTCCTCTGAATGAAGGGTGTGCCTGGGCAGTATTCCCATGCAGGTTCCAGAGAGTACCTTGTACTTTACCTTTTCTCAAATGACTCCTTGGACCTGGATGGCAACTGTCTTTGGAAAGCCATCAAATGTAATGGTTAAAATGATAAACCCTAGAGTCTCTCATTTCAAATCCTAGTTTCACCATTTACTTATCTGTGTAACCTTTTTATGGCTCAGTGTCTTCATCTGTAAAACGAGGATAAAAATAGTACCTTGCCATAGGGTCATTCCTACAACTAAATGAGTTGGTCTCTTTAAGGGCCTAGGACAGTAGCTGGCACAAGGCAAGTGCTACACAGGGGAGAGCTGGGATTGGGGAAGGCTCTACTGAGCCATCTCTTTCTTTTCTTTTCTTTTTTCCTTTTTTTTTGAGACAGAGTCTTGCTCTGTCACCAGGTTGGAGTGCAGTGGTG
Organism: Homo sapiens; assembly: GCF_000001405.40. Taxonomy (NCBI): domain Eukaryota; kingdom Metazoa; phylum Chordata; class Mammalia; order Primates; family Hominidae; genus Homo; species Homo sapiens. The sequence goes on from NC_000011.10 coordinate 114,032,881, forward strand.
CGATCTTGGCTCACTGCAACCTCCGCCTCACTGGTTCAAGCGATTCTCCTGGCTCAGACTCCCAAGTAGCTGGGACTACAGGTGTGAGCCACCATGCTCTGCTAATTTTTGTATTTTTAGTAGAGACGGGGTTTCACCATGTTGGCCAGGCTGGTCTCGAACTCCTGACCTCGTGATCCACTTGCCTCGGTCTCCCAAAGTTCTGGGATTACAGGTGTGAGCCACCGTGCCTAGCCTGAACCATCTCTTACTTTTGCTCTGATGTTTCCTTTTATCCCTTTGAGGCATTTGGGAGGGTGGACTGCTCCCAATTCCACAATCATACTGCATCATCCCACATCCTGATTCTGACCCTGAGGTCAAGCCATGTGGGCAGGGGCAGCGCCAGGGTGACATTTCCCTCATTTCCACATCATTTCCTCCACTGGACCATGTGTCGTTTGGGGCTTACAACTACATGACTTCCCCCGCACACACTACCCCTACCCTCAAACCATGGCAGCCAAGGCTGCTAAGGACCTGAATGGAATCAGAGACTCAGAATGTCAGGCTGGATGAAACCTTAGAGATGACCAGAGAAGGCAGTGATGAGGCCACCATTATACAGCAGGGAGAGGGCAGAGGCCAGTCCCTAGAATACATTCCCATCCTCCAGCTCCACTCAGCAGACCAGTGAGGAAGGGAACTGAGTGCAGCAGAGGAGAACTTGAAATTAAATTCCATTAAGTGCCAATCACATGCAAAGCACAGAAGGGATCAGGCCTCATTGCTGGAATCAGTGGATGAGGCTTTGAGATGAGCTGACTCTAGCATAGCAATGCAGGGAGAGCTGCCCCTCATGCCCAACCTGCTGAACCTGAGTCCTTCAGGTTACTCTGGGTGAGAACAGTGTCAAAGGAAAGCCTGTTCCCATTTTCATGAGCCTGCTTCATCATTTGAGGTGAGAGTCATACAGATTGCCCTACCCAGTTGGCCCAGCAGGTTCCTCCGGAAGCTTTCCTCTGTCCGTAGGCACCTGGCTTCCTTTCTGGCTAGTTTTCTCCTACTAGTTGCAGCTGACCAGTTTGTTTCCCCTGGATTCTTCTAGGAGGGAGGGTGCAGGGCCTGGGGTTATGCAGTGATAATATGCAAAGATGTGTGTGTGTGTGTGTGTGTGTGTGTGTGTGGTGTGTGTGTGTTCCTACATGCACAGATACAAGCAAATACTATACCTAAGTATGTGCATAGTTCAGTGATATATTCTTTTTTTCTTTCAGTACATGTAATCAGATTCCCAGAGGTCACGTTCCTGATCTATCACCCAAGAACTGTGTGTCTTTGGGCATGTTTCCTGATACCTCTCTGCCTCATCTTTCCCCATTTGTAAATGGGAGTCATCAAAGGTTCTACCTCAAAGTACTGCTGTGATGATTAAACACAACCTATTCAAAGCTTAAAACATCATCCTGTAGTGTGCACTGAATAAATACTAGCTATTACTGTACTCATTAATATTATGCATGATCATCTACCATGGGGCAGGTTCTAGTATCTATCTAGCTATCTATGTACATTATATATATATATATACACACACACACACACATATTTCCCTATATTTTCTCATTTAGTCTTTACAGCAATCTGTAAGATAGATATTCCCTTCTCTATTTTGCAGAAGGCAAGGCATGCTCAGAGGGGTCGAGTTACTCATGGAAACACAGGCATTGGAGCCCATATGCCTGGACTCTAAGTCTGGTGCTCACTCCACCATAAGGTGTTGCCTTTCCTCTGCCTCCTGAAAGGACAGGCATGGGGAGTGCAAGTCTCCATTCCCATGGGACCTCCGTGAGGGCTGAGGCACCAAGACAGACTGTCCCACTCCTGAGGGTCACTCTGCCTCTGGATGTTGCCTCTGGCCAGCTCCCGCAGTCTGGGAAGGAGAGGGTCAGGCCAGTCAGGCCCGGGGGACAGGGGTCTCACCAGGACTTTGATCTACAGCCACATGTAGGGGAAGGAAGGGCAGCTTGGGACGGGCAACGCAATCAGGAGTGGATGTACCAAAAGCTGAGACCATAAGAAAGAGAAATGAGGAGAAGCAGAGTATCAGGAGATCATTTTCAGGAACATTAGATAGAGGCCAGAAAGGAGAAGTGGGTAATTTTAATCCCATGCAGCTGCTGGAAATTAATTTAATTGTGCTGGTGCTGGCTCTTCTCCCTTCAAACCCGTTTCATCAGGGCCTGATGGAGTGATGAGACCGAGGAAGACAGCCCGGCCGCGCCAGCCAGCAGCCCTGGGTATGCAGCTCCAGGCCGGACTTCCTCCCGTTCCTATGGCTGCTACCAGAGAAGATGGGAAAACTGGCACTTTTTCAATCTAGACGTTTCTCCTCTTGACAGGGGACTGAAGTGAGACAACAGGAAGAACTTCCCAACAGCAAAGAGTGTGAACTATGCGAATACGTGAAGGCGGCTGCAAACCATCTTCTCTAACTCTTAAGGATAGAGAGACATTGGTAGGACCCTTCGCCTCCTGAGTCTGCACCTAGTGTATGAGTTCCACCTCAGCTCACTCACTCCATGCAGGCACACGGACCCACACCACAGTCAGACATCAGCATCACACACACACACACACACACACACACTGTCAGGCAGGCACGAAGTCCACACTGGTGTCTGACACTGGATGCAGGGACAGACTGGATCAAGGACAGACAGCCATATGCAGACACTGACATTACACCCAGCGCAGACATCCACAGTAGAGGCGAACGAATGCCCACTTTTGCCCAATGGCTCTCTATCAGGCTGCACGTTAGAATTCCCTGGGAGTTTTTTTGTGGGGGTGCGTGGGGGCTTTGAGACAGGGTCTTGCTCTGTCGCCCAGGCTGGAGTGCCGTGGCACGATCATAGCTCACCACAGCCTCCACCATTCAGGCTCAACCCATCCTCCCACCTCAGCCCTCCTAGTAGCTGAGACTGACTACAGGCACGCGCCACCATGCCCGGCTAATTTTTGTATTTTTTGCCAAGACAGGGTTTTGCCATGTTGGCCAGGCTGGTCTCAAACTCCTGGGCTCAAGTGATCCACCCACCTTGGCCTCCCAAAATGCTGAGATTACAGGCGTGAGCCACCGCGCTCAGCCTCCAAGGGAGCTTTAACAACGATATCCACGCTCAGGTCCCACAGTCGGCGCTTCTGACTTAATTCTGAACAAAAGCCTGCAGTGGGGCTTGCACAGTGGTAGTTTTCAAAGCTCCCAGGTGATCCCAATGTGCAAACCAGGGCTGAGAACGCGCCTTGAGAGGTACCTTCCTTCCCACTCTGGCCTAGCGCCCGTTCGGTTCTGCCCGGTGACCACTAGAGGTCAGCAGGGCTTGGAGGACGTGGCCGCGGGTGGCCCAGCAGGGTCCCGCCCGGCGCTGCGCTCTGGCTGCGGCGGGACCGTCAGCCTTCTCCCCTTCTGGCCTCCAGCGGACGGAGGTCAGGCGCTGACTTGGCCCCGGGCTAAGAGGGGACGCCGCAAGGGGGCAGGGGCGGCCTGCTGGCAAAATCAGGCCCGTGAGCCGCAGAAAGTCAACTTCACTTGGAAGGTTTTTAAAAAGCATCCCAGATTGAAGCCTCACAATCCCGCCCCCACCCTTCCGCAGCGGGAGCCTCTCTGCACCAGGATTCTCTGACCTGGTCACTGCCTGGCCCTGTGCGCGGGTGGGCGCGAGCTTCACGCGCACTCACAGCCAGCCCGGCACTCCAGGGCCCCCATAAGTATAAAATAACTATTCTGTCTTTTCCGTAGGAGGAGCCAGCATTTGGATCCCAAGGGTTGTTTATTTTGACTCACTGCTGTTTTTGCTGGAGAAGGGTAAAACAGAAAGTTCCTTTACTTTGGCTAAGATGTGGCACACATAACTGCCCTGAGCCCGAATTTCTGATGAGCAAATAGAAGCGGACCAGTGGTTCAATCTTCCTTCATCATCTTCAAAAAGAATAACACCCAAGGGCACATAGGATTGGCTTCTCTACATTTCAATTTAAGAGAAATGGAAAGAAGACTCATCTACCACTGAAGATACCTGAACTCAAAAATGAAAAATAAGATGGCCTCCCTGATCAGCTCCAGGTTCTTCCTTCCTAGTTCTGGCTCCTGGACACCTCATGACCACATTGCGCATTTGCACTCTTAGTGAGTGCTGCTCATAACAGGGTATTATGATTCCTCTTATAGAGTCCACCTTTCATTCCAAATTGTGAGGCTGCTGGATGGCAGAATAAGTTCTGGGCACATAGTAGGTGCACAATAAACATTTGTTAAACCAAAATGTTTGTTGTCAATCTTGTCTTCAATCTAACTTGTCTAATATGTAAAACCAACCCAGAGAGAAACTTTTCTAGACCCTTCTCTGTTAAGCTCCACACAGGTCCCCATTCTTTTTGGTGTTTTGTTTTGTTTTGTTTTGTTTTGAGACGGAGTTTCGCTCTTGTTGCCCAGGCTGGAGTGCAGTAGCGTGATCTTGGCTCACTGCAACCTCCACCTCCTGGGTTCAAGCAATTCTCCTGCCTCAGCCTCCTGAGTAGCTGGGATTACAGGCGCCTGCCACCACACCTGGCTATCTTTTTTGTATTTTTAGTAGAGACGGGGTTTCACCATCTTGGCTAGGCTGGTCTCGAACTCCTGGCCTCAGGTGATCTCCCCGCCTTGGCCTCCCAAAGTGCTGGGATTACAGGTGTGAGCCACTGTGTCCGGCCACAAGACCCCATTCTTAACTTGCAAATGTTTGGTGAAGTTTGCTAAACCCTACCTACCCTCCCAAGAGACGGTGATTGGGTAGGTTTAGGGTGGGGTTCAGGAACTTGCATTTGTAACAACTGAGAATGGTGATTCTGAAATTATCAAGGGGGAATGCATTCTCTCTCTGCTGCCCCCCATCTCCAGGCTAGGCTCTTTTTATAGCCTTGACTTCAGCTCTGGTCCAGGGAGACAGGCTAGGATGGGGTTTGACACTTCTAAGGGGGCTGCAGTCCTTTTGTCCTCCTAGCAGGATGAGCTGTGAGCCGCTCTCACTGGTTCCGGCGCCAAGGTCATCAGGGCGGCTCTCCCTCTCCACCTGGCCTGGTTCTCTCTCAATGGCTCTTCTGTCTTTTCTCCTAACTCCTAATTTATGCTACGCCTTTCCTTGGTTCTCCTTACCAATCCCAGGAGCTGATGCAGGGCAAACATTCTGGGTCCACACCCCACTATGGGATAATTGTGGGGCTGTTTGAAACTTGACCTGTTGACCAAACTTGGGGCCCTTGTGGATGTGGTTCTGGGTCTTGCCCTGGCCCTTAATGGAGTGAAGAAATGAGGGGCAGCCAGTGGAAAGAGGGCTCTGGGGACCTAGAGTTTAATTTCTGTGTTATCCAGCAACCTGGGCCCGCCTGGCTACCGCCTGGATCTCCATCAAAACCTTCTCCAAAGAGCCACAGATCACGATGATACAGCCCTTTCTCTTTTCTCACAAAGACACTGTCAAAAAGGCTGCCATGCAGCGAGCCATCTCCATGATCCCATCTAGATTAGGGCAAAAGAAAAAAAAAGCTATAATTAAAATAGCTACATAATTGAACACTTACTATGTTCCAGACATTAGACTAGGCACCTTTATATACATTACATTAAAACTATACCAACTTTAGGCTGGGTGCAGTGGCTCACACCTATAATCCCAGCCCTTTGGGAGGCCAAGGAGGGTGGATCACCTGAGGTCAGGAGTTCGAGACCAGTCTGACCAACATAGTGAAACCCCATCTCTACTAAATACACAAAATTAGCCAGGTGTGGTGGCGCATGCCTGTAATCCCAGCTACTTGGGAGGCTGAGGCAGGAGAATTGCTTGAACCCGGGAGGCGGAGGTTGCAGTGAGCTGAGATTGGAGATTGTACCATTGCACTCCAGCCTGGGCAACAGGAGTAAAACTCCATCTAAAAAAAATAAAAACCTCATACCGACTTTGAAAAATACCACACATATGTATTACCAGCTCCATTTTACAGATGAGACCCAGAAAGTTTAAGCAATTTGCCCAGGACAGACAGGCAGTAAGGGGCAGAGATGGGATTTGAACTCACATCTGTCTGGCCAATGCTCAACCTTAAAACAAAATAAAAGGTAAAGCCTCTTATTATTCTGTCCAAGCATTCTAGAACAAAGTGCTTAGGGCCAACAAAGGTCTATGAAACTGCCTGACACCTGACAAATTGCACTGATTCCAAAATGCAAAGAGAAAATGATGAAACTGAAAGGTTTAAAAACATTTATTTAAATGACAACAAAACAACATTGTGACAAAGTAGTTAACACAGCTCACATGTTATGCAGTTTTATAGAAACGATTTTAATGAGGGGCATATGCACATTCTGATAAGCTGATGGTGGCCTCTAAGGGAGATCCTAGGATCTTCCCCTACGATACTCACCACCAAAACCTCCCTCACCCCACCTGGCCCTGTCACCTGCCCAGGTTCCTACAATAGAAATGTGAAGGAATGCAAGGAGGACCAGAATAAATCCAGCTCTGAGCAACCTCCTGACAGCCACTTATTATGTCAATTTTCCTGCCTGCAGAATGGGGATGATATATTTGTCCTACTTAACTCCCAAGATAGGCGTAAGGCTCAAATAAAACCATCTTTTAAAGAGCATCAAGTCCCGTGGTCTATCCGAGACTGGATTGTAAAAAAACAAGGAGAGATAGTTCTGGGATGATAATCTCTCAAAACAGAAGAGATGGCCTCAAATCAAAACAAGAAAACATTTAAATAATTTTTATAAGTGAAAAAAATTCCCAGTCTCTTATGTTACTCTGTTCTATCCCAGATCTCACGGGGTTTCAGATTTCATAAGGATGATTACCAACACTTACAGAGCTCTTCTCATTCCTCATCCCATGCAATCATCCTAACTATCTTGTAAAGTAAGTAGGACTCTCTTGCCTTTTTTGTTTGTTTGTTTGTTTTTGGTAACAGATGCAATATAGCTGATGCTCAGAGAGATGAAGTGACTTGCTTAGGGTCACCCAAATTGTAAGAGCTAAAGCTTCTAAGACTGATCCAGACACCAACGCCATTTATTAGCTGTGTGAACTTAGCTACAAATGTCACTCTCTGAGCCTGAATTTTCTCATTTGGAAATAGGTATAACACTGTCTTCCACCTTTGGGATGGATATAACAGAACGTCATAAACTGAGTGACTTATAAACATTGAGCATTTATTTCTCACAGACCTGGAGGTTGAGAAGACCAAGATCCAGGGGCTGGTAGATTCCATTCTGGTGAAGGCCCATTTCCCGGTTCCTACATGGTGCTTTCTGGTTGTGTCCTCACGTGGTGGCAGGGATAAGGCAGCTCTGTGGGGCCTCTTTTATAGGAACATTAATCCCATTCATGAGGACTCTACTCTCATGACCTACTCACACTCCAATGGGCCTACTTCCTAATATCATCACCTTGGTGATTAAGTTTCAACACATGAATTTGAGGGGGTGTATAAACGTTCAGACTATAGGAAATACCCGTCTTTAAAATGGGTATATAGCAGCCAAACCCATCTTCTAGGATTGTTGTGAAGTTAACTGTGAAAAAGCATGAGAAATCACTCACTCAGCCTAGTTACTATGGAGTTAGCATTCTGTAAATGTAGACATCATTATTATCTATGACTATAATTATTGTTATCACAGCATTCATGTCTGTCCTTTCTCCCCCAAAGCCTCTTCTGAACCAACACATACATAAACTTTCTTTCCAGGAACAAAGATCTCAGATCTGAGTTCCTTGGGGAGACCAGGCCAAAATGTCAGCCTGACTTTGGCTTGATTCTCAAGATCATGCAAAGAAGACAGAAAAGTTGAAACACAGAGGAGGAGGGGAAACAAATAGATGGCAACTTAGACAAAAAATGGGGAGGAGGCGAGCCGCCAGAGTCTGGGCTCTGTACAGCCTGCATGTTAAGCCTGCAAACCAGTTACATATCCCTGACCCCGGCGGCTTGAGGAAGCCTGAATGCTAAAAGGCAAAGTCTAAAAATGGGCCCTGGGTAGATTGGGGAGGTCCCGGGAAACCTGGTTTCATTTTACAACCAACAACTAGGATCCAGGTTGTCACGGGAAAATACTATATAAACAAGTTAGTTCAAAGAGTGACTCACACTTAGCCAGGCTATAAAGTTAGCTCTGCCCAGGCTAAGTACTAAAGATAACTCCCCAACCCCCTTTTGCGCAGGGAATGTAGGGCAGGAGCCCTGGGAGGCCCTGGCTGGCTGGCTTGGTAGGATCCCAACCCTGTGCCTAGCACTAACCTCCTAGATCTGGATACCCCTCTGGCCACCAGGAATGAGTTGGGTTCACATCTGATTTCTTTTTTTTCTTTTTTTTTATACAGAGTTTCGCTCTGTTGCCTGGGCTAGAGTGCAGTGGCATGATCTCGGCTCACTGTAACCTCTGTCTCCTGGGTTCAAGCGATTCTTATGCCTCAGCCTCCCGAGTAGCTGGGACTACAGGCACACGCCACCATGCCTGGCTATTTTTTTTTTTTTTAATTTTAGTAGAGATGGGGTTTCACCATGTTGGCCAGGCTAGTCTTGAACTCCTGACCTCAAGTGATCTGCCCATCTCAGCCTCCCAAAGTGCTGGGGTTACAGGTGTGAGCCACCTTGACTGGCCTGATTCCTTCCAATTTCTTTTCTTTTCTTTTCTTTCTTTCTTTTTCTTTTTTTTTTTTTTTTTGAGACAGAGTCTTGCACTGTCGCCCAGGCTGGAGTGCAGTGGCACAATCTCAGCTCGCTGCAAGCTCCGTCTCCTGGGTTCACGCCATTCTCCAGCCTCAGCCTCCTGCGTAGCTGGGACTACAGGCACCCGTGACCACGCCCGGCTAATTTTTTGTATTTTTAGTAGAGACGGGGTTTCACCGTGTTAGCCAGGATGGTCTCGATCTCCTGACCTCGTGATCCGCCCGCCTTGGTCTCCCAAAGTACTGGGATTACAGGCGTGAGCCACCGCGTCTGGCCGATTCTTTCCAATTTCTGAGACAATCATGGCGAAGAGGAAACCAAAGGAGAAGGATGGGGGCGGGTCACCCCAAACAAACTGTCAGCCAGAGGTAGTATCTTCCGGCCTTTTAAAATTCCATGGCACACGGATGGATTTCCCAGGACTAATGAGGAAAGAGGACCTTACGCTGGCTGTCAACTGGTCCGCCATATCCCAATACACATGTGCAAGGACTTATATTCATCCCTCATCTCTCCTCACCACATTCACCATCCTCCTCCTTAGCCTTCTCAGTGGCAACGTGCCGAAGGAAATCTGTAATCTAAGGTGCTGCAAAAGTCTCAGTATCTTTGCACTTCTCCTAATTTGGAACTTCTCTCTTCCTCTCATCTGTCTACCTAAATGTTCTCCAGACTTTCTGAAAGTGAGGCAGTGTGCTGGGCACAGGTGACCTTGGAGTTAGACTTCAAAGGAGAAATGACTTTGGTCTAGACAGACAGAGAAGGGTGCCTCGAGTAGAAGGCACAGTCTGTCCAGAGCTGAGGAGGCATGATAGTGCATGGCCGAGTCAGGGAGTGGGGAGCGGTTCACTGGGGTAGGAGAATGCTGCCAACGTGTAAAGGTCTTAAAGGCCATGCCAAGTTGTTTAGGGTGTTTTTTTTTTTTAAATGTAGGTCATGAAAAGAGCCCTTGAAGGGGAGTGACAGATCTGTCCTTTAGAAAATAATTCCATCGGCCATTTGGAGAGGAGCTTGCCAAGAGGTGGCTAGAAACAAGTTGGCAGAGTGGGCCAAATCCTCCTCCAAGATCAATTCACTCTCTGGTTATTTCAATGCTATTTCTAGACAAAGAAGCATCAGATGACATGAGAGAAAAGGACAGAGAACTTGCAAAAAACTCCAATGGGCGGGGCCAGCACTGGGTGAGGCAGTGTGTGGCATTATGGTACAAAATGTAAGGAGGCATCACACTTAGAATCACGCAAGTGCTCCGAGAGTGATACCTTTTGAATTTTGCATCCTAGCTGCCTCACTTGCCTCACCCTAGTCCTGGGCCTTGCTCGCAAGCTTCTCATCACCTGCCCCATCTACAGGGGCTCCGGTTTTGACCTCTCCATGGGGAGCCAGGAAGCCTGTGTTAATTTTTTTTTTTTTTTTTGAGATGAAGTTTCGCTGTTGTTGCCCAGGCTGGAGTGCAGTGGCACGATCTCGGCTCATTGCAACCTCCACCTCCTGGGTTCAAGCAATTCTGCCTCAGCCTCCCAAGTAGCTGAGATTACAGGCAGCCTGCCCCACGCCTGGCTAATTTTTGTATTTTTGGTAGAGACGGGGTTTCACCATGTTGGCCAGGCTGGTCTCGAACTCCTGACCTCACGTGACCCTCCCGCCTTGGCCTCCCAAAGTGCTGGGATTATAGATGTGAGCCACCACACCCGGCCGCCTGTGTTCATTTGTACTATGTTTAAATGCAAAGGCAAGAGTGCTGATGTTGCTGGTGGACCTGGATCCAGGTCTTAGCTCTATACTTTACAAAGTGGTAAAACAAGCTACTGCTATGTAAAAGTACTGGGTATAGGTCCACACAAATTTCAGACATTATCATTCATTTTGCCTTCTTTTTTTGTTTTGAGACGGAGTCTCACTCTGTCACCCAGGCTGGAGCACAGTGGCACGATCGTGGCTCCCTGCAACCTCCAGCTCCTGGATTCACGCGATTCTCCTGCCTCAGCCTTCCAAGTAGCTGAGACAACAGGCACGTATCACCATGCCTAGCTAATTTTTGTGTTTTTAGTAGAGACGGTGTTTTGCCATGTTGGCCAGGCTGGTCTCGAACTCCTGACCTCAAGTAATCTGTCCACCTTGGCCTCCCAAAGTGTTGGGATTAAAGGCATGAGCCACTGTGCCCAGCCAGCCTTCTTCCTGGCTGACCCACCCTCAGACAGCAGGGACATAATGATGCATGAGGCTATTTCTTTCGGTTAGCAGTATCAATGAAAATAACCATAACACACAAATGGAATCTCTACTCAGAGCTGATGGAAGGACATATTCCTTTCATTTCCCCAGCTGTTAATTTTTTGGGCCTGAATCCCACATTCTCAAGAACATGCTGCCTGTTTGTTTAAAAGTCTTCCTGGGGAGAAAAAAAAATAGCACATTTCTTGTTTTGTTCTTTCATTCTTTGAACAAATATTTATTACGAGCCTCTTTATGCCAACCATTGTCCTGGAGCTTGGGGTATGACGGAATGAATCACAGTCCAGCCCTCTGCCCTCATGAAGCTTACACTAACTAGAGGGGAGCCCTAGGGAGTTTCCAGGAAGGGCGGCGACAGGAAATAAACAAGGTCATATACACAAAGGAAACCATTTCTGGGAGTAACAAGCGCTATAAAAACAATCAAACCCAGAGGAGGGCCTGAAGGAGAGGGAGACAGCTCCAGACAGGGCAGCTGTAGGGAGGTGCTCTGGCTCTCAGCGGGGAAGAGCTGTTTGATGCGGATATTGAGAAAAGGGCCAGTGGAAACGAGTATTGTGTGCTGCAGAGAGAGCTACAGTCAGGGGGAGCAGCAAGTGCCAAGGCCCTGAGGTGGGCACTAGCCATCTTTCGTTATGTTATCTGTTTTGAGTCAGGCATATGCTGTTTGGGAATGATCTCTGAACAAGGGAGGAACAGTGTTTGCAGACCTGATTCAAAGTAGCATTACCTATATCTCTTTCTAGTTCTTCATCATCCCCCTCTATACCATGGACCTTATTTGGGTCACAGCTAAAGCCTCCATAACCACAGGTGCCATGCCCTCCTCTCCTACTCCCTCCTCTATGACCTGACTGTGGCTTCACTGCTGCTATGTTGTTTCCTTTCCAGAGCCACAGAGAGCCATCATTGGCAGAGGCGCCTTCCCATTCCCTGCTAAAGTTGAAGCCCAGCTTGAATTCACTCTCCTCATTCTGCTCCTGTGTGTGGAGTCCTCTCAGTTCCTGAGCACCCTCAGGATCGGGGGGCAAGGTTGTGATAAAGAGACCTTTCTTTAAGCACACCCACATCACACCATCTCTCCATCCGCAGCTACCAGCACCTCATTTCAGTGTATCTGATAGAGTTCACAGAGTATTAGAGAATTTCCTAGGTAGAGGAGGTTTAGTAATAAAACTAGCTCAACATCTTCATGTTCTCCACAAGGAACCCAAGGAGGGGAATTAACTTGCTGAAGCTCAGAGTCAGTTAGAGACTACTCTTAGAGCTCTTCTCAAAGAACTGAGCAAGTACTTTAAACTGGTCAAAACTTTTTCCGTATATCTCCAGTTTTACACAGGAGAATGTTGAAGCACAGAGAGGTTAAGTGACTTGCCCAAGGCTACGCAGGAAGTGTTTGGCAGAGCTGACCTTGAATCTAGGCCTTCTGAGTGGAAATCTAATGTTCTCATCATTTCACCATGCTCTCTCCAATCTGTCTGATGGAAATCAATAAGTAAATATTTCAGAACATTCCAAAAAGATGCTGGGGAAGAAAAAAAAATTACCACCCCTCCATGATTTTTTTCTTGTTACTAAAGGCACTCAGCAGGTAGTAAACTCAATTAAGGAAAATCATCTTTCTGGAAAGATTGGATATTGTCTTTCTTTGAGAAGAACTTCTACACAGTCAAATATTGGTGTAGTTTATTCGAATGCTTTCCCTTGAAAGAAAATCTCTTCTGATGACTGAGAGTTTATACAGAACGAAGAAACTGGAGAAATCCATGTTTTGCAGTAGACTGTAGTCAATTTTTAGTCTTTCCTGCTTTTCACCAAATTTCTCTTCCTGGCAATATTTTTGGCATTTTATTTTTAGTCATGGGTGAGGGAGTGGGAGAGGATTTTTTTTTTTTTTTTTTTTACTGGAGTCTAATATACATATCACTAGAAACATACGTAATCTTAACCTATTGGCTGCTTTCACACAGGGCAAAAGTGGTAGCTTTAAAAAGAAAAGATTGGGCAGGATCGGCATCTCATCTCCAATCCAATAGTAGTATTCATTCCCAGGGAAATGCCCTCTGCTTCCCTATGCATGGGGTGCAGTCAGAGGGGCGTCCAGGAAAGGGCCAGCTTTGGGAATCCGATAGACCTAGGTTTACTTCCAGCTTTGTCTCTTATGAATGGGAGATCTTGGCCATGTTCCTTAATTTCTTCAAAGTTACAGAGACCTTAGATATCATCATTATATTGGTAAAGAAACTGAGGCTTAAGAAATCTGCCAAACTTTCATAGCTATTAAATGATAGATCTGGGTTTGAGACCCACATTAGTATGATTTCAAAGCCTAGACCTTGACACCGCACATTGCTTCTCCACGGAATCATCTCTCACCCCAAAGAAAAACATTAATGGATTGTGCACGTAGAAATCACACCTATCAAGTAACAGGATTCTGACATTTAAACTAGTATGTCAGAATGACTATACACACCTGTGTGGGTGTTGACACACATAGGTATATATATATATATAAACAGATATAGCGATAATATATCTCAAAATGTAGATTACATGTTGAGAAAATATACGTTACACATTGAGAAAGAGAATATAAATCTTTTTTTTTTTTAGATCGAGTCTTGCTCTGTTGTCCAGGGTGGAGTGGAGTGGTGTGATCTCAACTTGCTGCAACCTCTGCCTCCTGGGTTCCAGCGATTCTCCTGTCTCAGCCTCCCAAGTAGCTGGGATTACAGGTGCCCACCACCATGCCTGTCTAATTTTTGTATTTTTAATAGAGACGGGGTTTCACTATGTTGGCCAGGCTGGTCTTAAACTCCTGACCTCAGGTGATCCACCCCCCTTGGCCTCCCAAAGTGCTGAGATTCCAGGCGTGAGCCACGGCCCTGAGAATAGAATTCTTACCACTATGTTGCTGTTATTGCTGGGTTATGAGCTACAGGAGGATTTCAACTTTACTGCTCCCTAGTCCCCCTTGTTTGTGACCTCAAATTTTATTACCCAGCTTCACCACCCTCTTGAGATATTGGTGCTAGTTTTGAAAATCAAATCTTCCCTCTATGGGCAAGACATGCCATGACTGAAGATTTTAAAAAAAATTAATGCTATGTACTTGGAAGGCAATACCAAAAGATCTCCAAGAATGGCTGAATGGCTTCCATGACATCCTCATGATGGCCCCAAACTGGCTCTGGTCCCAAGTCCTGGCTCTCATTGGCCGTATGGCTTTGGGAATGCTGTGCCACCTCTCTGTTCTGCTTCCTCTCTTGTAAAATGGTGAGATTGGACTGATGCAGGGCAGGTGAACTCCAACCTGGGGCTTAGCCCATGAGGGTCATTGGTTTCATCCAGGAAAGAATTCAAGGGCAAGCTGAGGTAGAAGAAAACAGCTGTACTGAAGCAGCCGTGTTACAGCTCCAGTGGTGCTAAGCTCTGTGACTGCTCCTGCAGACCAGAGCCGCTCCATAGGCAGAGAGCAGCAGCTCAGGGCAGCTTTGCAGTCATATTTATACCTACTTTTAATTACATGCAGATTAGGGGTGGTTTATGCAGAAGTTTCCAGGGAAGGGGTAGTAACTTTTGGGTCAGCAGTTCATTGCCAAGGAAAGGGGCAGTAACTCCCAAGTATTGCCATGGCAATGGTAAACTGACATGGCACACAGGTGGGCTGTGTTATGGAGAGCTGCTTCTGCCCGTCTGTGTTTTAGCTAGCCCTCAATCTGGTCTGGTGTCTGAGCCCCGCCTCTGGAGTCGAGTCCCACCACTCACCTTAGGACTAGTTGATATTTCAAGTCTCTTTTGCTTCTAAGAGTCTATCTGGCATTTTGAAGAGGGCAACTATTTTGAAGAGGGCAAACTCTTGCATGCTTACGGAAAAGTGAACTGCCTTGTCTTCTAGTTATACCTAATGTATACGAATAGGCATGAGTGCCTGGTGAGTACTCATTTAGAAATGAACATAACAGCTTTACCAGTCTATCTATTTTTCATATTAACCCACCGCCCCATTTCCTCTCCTCAACCTAGAGGAAAGAAAAAGAGGCTGGGCGTGGTGGTTCACGCCTGTAATCCCAGCTCTTTGGGAGGCTGAGGCAGGCAGATCCCCTGAGGTCAGGAGTTTGAGATCAGTCTGGCCAATATAGTGAAACCCTGTCTCCACTAAAAATACAAAAATTAGCCAGGGATGGTGGTGCATGCCTGTAGTCCCAGCTACTCGGGCGGCTGAGGAAGAAGAATCACTTGAACCTGGGAGGTGGAGGCTGCAGTGAGCCGAGATCACGCCACTGCACTCCAGTCTGGGCGACAGAGTGAGACTCTGTCAAAAAAAAAAAAAAAATCAAAGAGAGAAATGTTGGGTGTCCTCTGTTATATTTGGTAGGGGAAAGGAAGGGGCATGGCAGGAAAGCCAGAAAAGAGACCTAGGAGCATCTCCATATTCAGAAATAATTCATCAGCCAGAGTTTTTTTTTTCTCTTTGCCATATATTTATCAGCCTGACGCTAAGTTATCCAGCAGAAATTTGCAGGGCAATGGCCAGCCTCTAGTTGTTAGCTAGTTGACCAGGACCATGTATATTTAGCTTAATTATACCAGGAACCTGGAGTCACAGAGGGCTGAAGTACAGTGGTGTGATCGTAGCTCACTGCAACCTCAAACTCCTGGGCTCAACTGATTCTCCCACCTTAGCCTCCCAAGTAGCTGGGACTACAGGCGCGCTACTATGCCTGGCTAATTTACATATATATATATTTTTTGTAGAGACAGGGTTTTGCCATGTTGCCCAGGCTAGTCTCAAACTCTGGAGCTCAAGTGATCTGCCTGCCTTGGCCTCCTGAAGTGTTGAGATTACAGGCGTGAGCCATGAGCCCGGCCCCATCTCCTTCCCTTCTCTTGATGCAGGACCAAATGCCTCTGCCATCAGGAATGGAAATTAATCCAAAGAGGAAGTATAAGGACAAGCAGTCCAGGCATGGAGTCTGTGGGAGCTGGCTGCTCTTTAGCTTTGTGGCCTCAGGAAGGCTGCTTTATCTCTCTGTCTCATTTTCTTCAGCTGTAAAATGGGTTTGACAACAGTCCACAACTCATGGGATTATTTGGATAAGTAAAGGAGATGACACATGTCAAGAGCCAGAGCCTGACACCGAGTGAGTCCTCAACCTGTGTTAGCCATAGGTTATTCCCTCATAAGCAGTATTCAATAAATGTCATGGCCAAGATAAATGGAAGGTATGGTTTAAATTTGTTTATACCTATCAAATCAATATTCATTCTACATAAACAACGGAGTTTATCAAGCTGCTGGCAGGGGCCCCTCCAAGAGACTGTAGGAAATTGCTCAGCCAGACAATGGTTACTCTGTTACCTTTGACCCAGGCAGGCTCTGTGTGGTGCTTGTCCTCCCAAACACCTCCCCCTCCCCCATCCTCTTTCATTTTGGGAAACAACAGTAACACAAGGCCTCCCACCACCTGCCCTTCCTGATTCCAGCCTTGCTTATTAAACAGTAACCTTCCTGAGGGCAGAATTATTTTTTGACTGCAGATTTCCCCCAGTGCCAGCCCAAAGGTACCCTCGGATTTTTAACAAAGCAGCAACACAAGCACCCTAGGGCTGGGTGGTGGACTTTTTTTCTTCTCAGAGATTTTCAGAGACCAAACTGTTCAGAAAAGCAAAACAAGCTGCCCACATTCAGGGAACTGCCATCTCTGCCAATTCGTGATTAATCAACAGGGAAGAAGGTTGGTTCCTTGAAGGAAAATAAAAGAAATACGGACTGGAAGGGGGAAAGTCACGGAGAGTGGTGGATCTGGGATAGACAGCTTCCTTAACACTTCCTCCTTCCGTGTAGCCCTCTGTGACTCCAAGTTCCCGGTATAATTATGCTAAATATATGTGGTCTTGGTCAACCAGCTAACAGCTAGGGGGTAGCTGCTGTCCCTGCAAATTTTGCCTGGATAACTTAGCAGCTGGCTGACAAATATATGGCAAAGAGAAAAAATTCTGGCTGGCAAATGATTTCTGAACATGCAGGCACCCCTAGAAAATCTCTTTTCCAGCCGGGTGCGGTGGCTCAGGCCTGTAATCCCAGCATTTTGGGAGGCCGAGGCGGGTGGATTGTGTGAGGTCAGCAGTTTGAGATCAGCCTGGCCAACATAGTGAAACCCTGTCTCTACTAAAAATACAAAAACTTAGCTAGGCGTGGTGGTGGATGCCTGTAATCCCAGCTACTCCGGAGGCTGAGGCAGGAGAATCGCTTGAACCCGGGAGGTGGAGGTTGCAGTGAGCTGAGATCGTGCCATTGCACTCCAGCCTGGGCAAAAAAAGAAAAAAAAAAAAAAAGAAAGAAAGAAATCTCTTTTCCAGCTTTCCTGCCATGTGTTTTCTTTTCCTCTGCCCAAATGGAACAGAGCACACCCAACATTTCTCTATTCACCCAGCACAAGCCATCTCTCACCCCAGATTGGTAGGCTGGAGCCTCCCAGCATGGCCAAAGTGAACACTCACATGCTTGCCTTTCTTGTCGAGAAGAGATGCAGGCTGAACCGAGGTGGGTAGATGGGAGCCTGTAGTCTGTGCCTGCGTCACCCTGGGCGTCTCTACAGACCCCCCTGGTCTTGTAAGTGTAATGCTAAAGGTTAATAATAATCACAACAGGCAGCCCATCATTGCCTCCCTGTCTGGCTGAGAGGTTTACAACTTAAACTCATGGCAGAGGGAGAAATTGGCTCAATCACTTGGAGTAATGGTACATGGAGAGCCAGTTGGGCATGACTGCTATTTAACTCAAGGAAACCAGGCTGCTGCGCTTAACGTACGTACACACTAATAAACATGTCATGCTACGAGGTGAAAATTACCACCACCCCCTGCACACCCTGCCTCGCTCTCCATTTGCCTGCTCACCTCACTCCCAACAGAATGAACGAGACGAGCCTGGGAGAACAGGACCACAAACAGCTGCGCTCAGCTGCAATTAGAAGCCAAGAAACACAGGTCATGCTTCATTCTTTTAAAGAGATTTAAAATTGGCCGGGCACGGTGGCTCACGCCTGTAGTCCCAGCACTTTGGGAGGCCAAGGTGGATGGATCACCTGAGGTCAGGAGTTCAAGACCAGCCTCTTTAAAATGGCAAAACCCCATCTCTACTAAAAATACAAAAATTAGCTGGGCATAGTGGTGGGTGCCTGTAATCTCAGCTACTCGGGAGGCTGAGGCAGGAGAACCTCTTGAACCTGGGAGGCGGAGGTTGCAGTAAGCTGAGATCACACCACTGTACTCCAGCCTGGGCAACAGAGCGACACTCCATCTCAAAAAACAAAGCAAAACAAAACAAAAATAAAATTAATTACAATGCCTTACTCCAAATATTTATAATGTTATTTTGGAGGAGGAGGGTAGAAAGAAAGAGATTACCTGACAACACTAATATTACCTGACGTTTTCAGATCTTTTACTGTGGGCCAGGCACTCCTTGAGCATTCTCACAGAAACTTTAGTGAGGTGGATACTCTAATTGTCCTCAGTTTACAGGCGAGCACACTGCAAATCAGAGAGCTTAAGTAATTTTCCTGAGACCACCCAGGACCAATGTGGTGGACGTATTGAATATAGACCCACCTGATTAAATCAAAGCCCAAGCTCTCAGCCTTTATGCTACAAAGGAGCATAAAGTATTTACGGTACAAAGGAGGAAGCGGAAGATGGGAAGATCACTGGCTTGACCAAGGTCTTGAATAGGTCCACATTATGATGCCTTCCTTTCTGCCCCCATCCTTGCACCCATAGAAACCCAGTCAGGTAGAAGAGGCTGCTAAGGAAAAAGAGGCTCGTAGGAGAACGGGTAAACTGGAAACTGTCAGGATCTTTCCTCATTTGCCCTTTGGTCCTGTCCACACAGGATGCCCCATGCATCACTTCCTCGTGGTCAAGTGGATCTGGAGGCCTCTCCTTGTCCCAGGTGAAATCCCAGCTCAGGTGTTATATCCTTGCTGCTTCTGACAAATGAAACCAAGGTGTATTAATTAAGGTAATGCTAGCTACTACAATAAGCTGAAAAATATATAATAGCTAAAAGCTAGGGTTGCCAGATTTAGGAAAATAAAAACAAACAAAAAACAATTGAAATTTGAATTTCAGATAAACAATTTTTTTAGTATAATTATGTCCCATGCAATATTTGAGACATACTAAAAAGTTATTCATTGTTTATCTGATATTCAAATTTAACATTTTCATTAATTTATTTTATTTGGCAGCCCTATGGAAGACATCAAAAGTTTATTTCTTATTTATATAAAGTCCAAAATAGATGTTTTTTAGTAGGCAGGCAGCTCTTCTCTAAGCGTAATTCAGGGCTCTGGGTTCTGTCCATCCTGGCCCTGACGTCTTTCATTGCTCAGCTTCTAAGATAGCTCTATGCTCATGGGGTCAAGTCACAGGAAAGAAAAGGGAATGTGGAGTTCCACTTGGGAGTTTTTATGGGCCAGTCCTGGAAGCGGCACAGAGGATTTCTGCTCACAATCTATTGGCCAGAACTCAATCACATGGCCTGCACCTAACTGCAAGTTAAGCCAGAAAAATGTAGGTGTGCCCAGGAAGAAGTTTGGGGAACAGCTAGCCAGTCTCTGCCACACCTGGTAACAGCAGAGTGAATCTGTCAGTACTCGTGCCTAATGCGTGTCTCATATGCTAGTGCTGGATTCAGTCAGCAGTCCTATATCCGCTGGGGTCCCTAGGAGGGGTCAGATGCTCTCCTCTTTGCCCTGAACTGGTTAGCTACTTCGGACTGGGATGACAAGGCCATTGTGAGAGTGATAAGCAATGTGATTCAAACAAATTCATTTCACTTCAATTCAATGCAGGTTTTTTTTTTTTTTTTGAGACGGGCTGTCATGCTGTTGCCAACCCTGGAGAGCAGTGGCGCCATTACGGCTCACTGCAGCCTCCTGGGCTCAAGCAATTCTCCCTCCTCAGCTTCCCAAGTAGCTGGGACTACAGGTGCATGCCACCATGTTCAGCTCATTTATTTTTTATTTTTTTGTAGACAGGAGGTCTCACTATGTTACCCAGGCTGCTGTCCAAGTCCTGGACTCACGTGATTCTCCCGCCTCAGCCTCCCAAAATGCTGGGATTACAGGCGTAAGCCACCATGCCCAGACAATTTAATAAATATTTATTAAAACTTCTAGGATATTGAGAAAAGCTTGGTTCTAGGCCACTGGGGAAGACATCAACTGAAACAGCCCAGTTATACTCTCAATTAGCTGTATACAATTAAATTCACAGATATCCTCAACCCTTATCCATATCCCATTCATCTTTCAAAGGTTGGTGAAAACCTCATAGCACAAAGAATTCTGCCCTAAATGTTTGAATACAGAATGGTCCCCTCTCTCCCTAATTCCTAAAATATTTGGTCTCTATGTTCATTCATTCATTCATGCATGCATGCTTTCAGTTAGTTCATCGACAAACATTTACATCTACTCTGTTTGACAGTGTGCTAGGCTCTGGGGCTTGGGAGTGGAAATACTAAATTGAACAAGACTGAGGCCTTGCCTTCCAGAAACTCACAAAGGAGTGGGTGGTCAGAATGCACATGACTCAGTCAGATATAAGGCAGATGGTGGTAAATACTATGATAAATGTTCAGATAGTGCTAAGGGGCTTATGGAGAATGGGAGAAATTAAATCTGACTCAAGGGTGGGTGGAGAAGATTACATCCAAGATCCAGCAATGACTTCCAGAAGAGACAAATGAACCTGGCCTGGCAAGGGAGGCAGAGTCAAAGTGTCTGGCTCAAAGCCCACCACAGCCTTGGCTCACAGGCATCTCCCGGTCTTCCACTCACTCAGTCCTTTCAGGGAAAGGCACTGAGCTTTTCTCAAGGGAGAACTCCAAAGACGTCTTTCATTTCATCTTACAAATCCACACAAATTTGCAATTCCACTCCACAAGATACGAGCATTTGTCTTGCTATAATTTTAATATGATTGGCATAAATTACCTGTTATCAAGTAAAATAGTTTCTTCTTATGGCTTGTGTGCCCCTGACATACCACTGCTATTTGAAAAGAGGCTTCTCCAGAAACTCAGTGTCTGAGAGTACGTGACTGGAAGGTGAGTGTTTGCTTACCCCTTGCGTTTTCTCCCTGTCAGGATAAATGGAATATTCTGCTTTAAGGACCCTAAGTCTGGCAATATCATGTTTTGTGAACAGCCAACACAGTAACTATGGTTGAGGCCTGTATTCGATGAATGAGGTTTTCATATGCTTCTTTCACATCAGGAGAGAGAGAGAGAAAAAAAAATAATAAACTTGGTAGAGGACGTGGAGTTGTATTTCTGGACTATGGTGGCACCTCTAAGGAGCATGGTTTTCCTTTTGCATGGCTTTGTCCATTACTATAACACTCCTGTTATAAAATAGCTGCCGTGGATTGAAATCCATAATGTTAACTCAAAAGTTAAGCAGTCCGCTATTAAACAGCATAAGAAACTGTTACCTATCCCCTCTTCCTGGCCCCCCAACAAAGAAACAGCAAACTGTTAAAAAAGCCCATGTCTCCCCATGAGGACTTGGGGTTAATTTTCAGCATGGTGTCTGGGGATTCATCTGTGGGACTCCTATTACCCATAATAGGACTCATGCTGCTTCATTTCATGCACACGATATGGAAAATGCACCCTTCCCTAGTGATGAAATTTTAGTTTTGAAATTGAGGCTAGCTTTTGCAGAACAAAGCAGATTCCCAGAAACACCAAAAACTATTCAATGTTGGCCTAGAGCCTGTGTGTCCGTGCTTAGGTGAGTATGTGTATCTGAAAGGGAGAAAATGCCTTCCTCTAAGTGCGTATGCCCCTCTCAAAGACAATATTCAAATATCATGCCCGATAGCTGACAGCGGTCAATGGTTGCTATGCTTCATCCCAAAGCTTTGTTAGGAACCCCATAAAACCTGGCACATGGTTTGTGACACCCAGTGAAACACCGTGCTTCTTCCATAATATCCTGAGCCCTGCTGCCTGTCATTAAGGGACCTCTCTTATTAAGCATCTCTTTTTTAAATGGCTGCCATCATCTGGTCCCAGTGTACATTAAATCCCATTATAATTATAAACACACTTCCCCATAACATTCGTTGCAGATCTCATCCTCAGTGCCTACCCCCTTAGGGCATCTTTGCACTAATAACAACTCAGATTTGCTATCTGAGTTGACAACATTAGGTCCCAACACCATTTGCAATATGCTGGGGAAAGAGACAGAGAGAGAAGAAAAAGCTTTTTCTTCCTTAATCACGAAGATCTTGGGGTCACAGTGACCCAAGGCCTCAGGAGCTAAAAAAAAAAAATCCCTCCTCCTACCCTTTTGAAAAGTCACTCTCTACTCTACAGATGAGGGAAGGGCATACTTGGCACCTGGGAGAGAAACTCAAGTTTGTAAACACCACTAACCAGGTCTCTGTTGGTTGGGGCGGTGATGGTGGTGGTAGTGGTGGGGTGGGGGATGAGGGATGATGGCAATCACTAATCAAAGAAGCTGTCTTATTTGGTTTGCTGAGCCTCAACTAACCGGAATGCATACATCACCTGATTCTTTCCCCCTCTGCTTTTTGGAGGGGGCATCTAAGGACATAATGTAAAAGAATTAAAATTTAAAAACAAAAACAAAATGTCAACATATGCAGGAGTAAATTCCACTCTGCCTAATTTTTTTTTTTTTTTGAAATGAGATCTTGTTCTGTCACCCAGGCTGGAGGGCAGTGGTGCAATCTCAGCTCACTGCAGCCACCACCTCCCAGGTTCAAGCGATTCTCCCGCCTCAGCCCCCTAAGTAGCTGGTATTACAGGCACGTGCCACCACGCCTGGCTAATTTTTGTATTTTTAGTAGAGATAGGGTTTCACCATGTTGGCCAGGCTGGTCTCAAACTCCTGACCTCAAGTGATCCGCCTGCCTCGGCCTCCTAAAGTGCTGGGAGTACAGGCATGAGCCACTGCGCCCAGCCTACTCTGCCCAATTGTTGACATCACCTACAGCTCTATAGTAGATGTCTGGAATGATGATCTGAAGGACTGTAAGACTGTAAGATTTTTTGACTCCAGAAATGGACACAATAGGCTTGCGGTGTCTTCCCCTAACAGTCCCTGGCAGGGTAAAGGTCTGATGCCCTGGTACGTTCCCCAGTGGCAATCTGGAGTTCTCAACTGCAGAGAATACTTTTCCTCTACTCAGGGGCGTCACTACCTGCATCTCTCCCTGAACATGCTTCATTTTCCACTCATCACAAGTTTTTGGGGAAATGCAAAGTGGCATCTTCTCCCCAAAAGGTAGGGATCTTTGATTTTTTTAATCACGATAGAAAAGTTTACTTTGAAATAAAAAAATTAAATATATGTTCCAAATTAAGAGTTGGAACTTAAAGAGTTGCAACATTCCATTCATACTCAGATACTCAAAACACCACTGTATTCTTCTTCCTATCTCTTTAGTTGAAGTTTTTTTTTGTAATTCAAAGCCCCCTCCCCAATTTCTGCCTGAGATTCTGAGGGAGGAGGAAAAGTGTAAGATCCTGGGGGATCTAAGTCTCTTTACCTGGTGACCAAGCTGAGAACCATTTGGTCCTCAGCTTGGCTGGCTGCTGCACAGATCTTGGCCTCAGCAGAGTAAGAGAAGAAGGAAAATTAAAAGCCCTTGCTTCCTTCATCTATTTCACTAGAGGCTACATAATCTAGAAGTTAAGAGCATGAGCTTTGCAGTCAGAATGGTCTGATTTAAAGTTTCAGCTCTGATGTTTAATAGATCTACAGTCTGCAGTAAGGCACTTAATCTCTCTGAACCTCAGTTTTCATGTCCACAGAAATTGGGAAAATAATAGCACCTGCATTAATAGGATTGTTATGTGGATTAAATAAAACAACATAGGTAATGTGTTGAGTTTCGTAGTCAGTGCTCAGAATGAGTTATTATTTTCGCTGTCTCCTTCCTGTATGATCTCTTAGAACTGCTATACCCTCCTGTTCCACTAACTGAGCTCTGAAAGGCTGCCAGTGGTGGGAGGTACATGGGTAAAGAGGGAGATGAGGGAGTAAGATTTAGCAATGGAATTCCATGCAAAGGCCAGCTCATCTATTCCTCTGTCTCTAGCATGATCTCCCCCTAAGATTGAGATCTCCTGTATTTTTAGAACTGATACCCAGGTTTCCCTTAAAAGACGCTTCAAGAAAAAATGTAAAAGAAAAATCACTCTAAATACACGAACATGAGAGAGACAGAAAGAGAGCGGGCATGTGCGCGCGAGAGAGATTGAGTATTCTCTTGTAATTTTCCATCCTGCTTGTTTTTAGGTGCTGCCATATGAAATCTCTGAACTGAGGATTCTCATCAGCCTTCCCAGGACCCAAGGACATAGCTCTGGCTATAAATGGTGCCAGTTTTGGTGGGGGAGCTGCTGCTGCTTTATCTGGGCCCAATAAACCTTATCAAACTGCTGTGCAGCCAGCCTTCAGCGCTAAGTGGAAATGCTTGGAGCCCAATGCTGGCATTCAGCCCACAGCCTCGCCTGCCTTCTTCCTTTTTGTTACCTTCTCCACCTCTTAAATTCAGGCATTAATCTCTCTTTAACACTTACTAACAAGGGCTGGGCTTTTAATGGGCAGCGTTTATGAAGCAAGGGAGATTTTCACATAGAGTGAATATGGCACGGGGGTGGGGAGGCCAGGGCCATAGAGGATTGTGCTTTCTCTCCCATTGTTTCCAGAGATTCTCTCTTTCTCTGATTTGAGGATTAATAGGAGATTAGGATCAGGGGTTAATTGTGTGCTTCTCCTGCTACTGCACTGAGGAGAGGCTGGTAGGTGGATGTGGACAGCAAAGCGGAAACCTCCAGCAGGCACTATCTAGGCAGAAGCTCAACAAGTGTAGTGATTCTTTCTTCTGTTTCCCTGGTGAGGCACCAGGAGGGTCTTTTCTCCTCTCCTTACATCCCTCCACTCTTGCTCTCCTTGCAGCCCAGTTCTTTCCTAACTTTCTTTAAATCCCTTTCCTCTAACAGGGTGTATAGACCTTAGTTAGAAAAACAGGTAGTCTCTAAATGGGATTGCTCTTTATTGTTAATGAAATGAATACCCAGGGACTGGGCTTCCCCTCCGCTTGCCCTGGGTTTGATGTGGTTGTATCCCGTGCTATCAGAGGAGCCCTTCCTTCACTCAAGTGTGTTCCCCTGCCCAGCTCTCTCCGCAGACTCCTGCTGGGCTGAGCTTTCCCTGCTCTTAAGAGTCAGGAGTGGCTCTTGCTGGGATGGAATGACCCGTCTTTGGGGCTGCCTCATGAGCGGCTCTTGTGAACCCGGATCAGTTCCGATGTGTAAACTCTACCGCCTGGCCTTCAGCGAACAGATACAGATTTCTGCCACCTTCCATGACCCTACAGTTCATGGGACTGGGTCTGGGGCAGTGCCAGAGGCACGCATGGAGGTGTGATTCTAGGTGAGTCCTGCGGAAAACCTCTGGCCCACCCGTGAGTCACGGACAGAACATGCAGACTCAGGCCTTGGTGACATAAGCTCCGCATTGCTAAAACCGCGTGACCTCGAGGGCTGACTGGCCTGAGAACCCTGGATGGCGCTCTCGGCCACCCCCACCTCCCACCCCAACCTCCTGGGCTTCGGTCAGAATCCACAGCCCGTGCCCGAAGAGCGCTTCCCGCCTCTGGCACCCTACCTTCGCTCAGCTCCAGGGAAAAGGGGAGAGGGCAGCTTTCTGCAGTCAGAGGAAGAGTACATTTTCTTTGGCTGCTCTACCCTCTGAAGTAGGGCGGCCAGCTGAAGGAGGACACACTTTTGAGGGGCCCAGAGGTTGTCCAAGCTTCCCCCTGCCCCCTGAAGACTGTGCACTGAGCTGGGCGCAGTTCTCGGGAACTGTTTCCACCCAGATTGCTGGGGGGCGGGGGGGTAGGATGAGGGCAGAGCCGAGAGGCTGTCCAAGGTTTGGGAGAGAGAAAAGTTTCTCCCAGGACTCGACCTTGGCCTCCAGCAATCGCGACAGCTAAAAACGGGTGTCTCGCTTCGACAATAGATCCCCGCGGACCTTCTGGCACCTGGTTCACTAGCGCCCGCGAACTCTGCCTCGGGAGACTTATTGAAATCCGGATGCTCAAGCCGGGAGGCGCGCAGTAACCAGGAGGATGAGAGGGCCGGGTTTGGGCTAGGAAAGCGGCCTTTTAAAACAGATGTCAGGGGGACTGCAGCCCCGAGCCATGAGAAAAAAGTTAAAGGCGAGATGACACGCACTGAATTGGGGCAAACATTGGAAGAGGAGACAAAACTGCGTGCTTGAGCACCGGGGTGCGGGGAGGGGGGGACAAAACCCGTATCCAGTGCAAATTAAAATCTTGGGAGTAGGTGGGGGCTGCTGCGCGCCCTTCACCCTCAGTTCCCCTATTAAGGATTCTGAGTCCCCATGCACTCCTGTCCTCTGGCTCCTTCCTTCCTCTCCGCTCGGCCGGTGAGAGGCGGCCGCCGGCGCCCCAGCAGCAGCTAGATGTCAGGCGAAGCCCGGAGCGCGGAGCGCGGGGAAGGGAGGGGAAGGGAGGGGAGGGGAAAGGAGGGGTGGGGCGGGGAGCGCGCGCGGGCTCGGCCAGTGCGGGGTGGTGGGCGGGCTGAGCCCGGGGACGGCGCGGGAGGGGGGAGGGAAGGGGGGCAGCTGTGGGCAGGGAGCCGGGCTCGGCCGCCAGCACTAAAGATGGAGAGGCGCCGGGGCCTTGCAGGGGAGGGGGCTCGGCGTTGACGTGGGACGCGGCGGAGGCGCAGCAGCCGGTGGTGATTTGCTAACCTCGCAGCAGAGAGGAGTTGAGGGCGATGAGAGCGGGTACTGCGAACTGCCGGGCGATGCTGTCGCTGCCGCCGTGATACGGAGAGCAACAGTTCCCCAGCAACACCCCTCCCCGACACAGGCACACACCCCCCGACAGGCACGCACACCCACCCCACAGTGCCCGGCTC
Organism: Homo sapiens; assembly: GCF_000001405.40. Lineage (NCBI taxonomy): Eukaryota > Metazoa > Chordata > Mammalia > Primates > Hominidae > Homo > Homo sapiens. The sequence continues at coordinate 114,059,876 of NC_000011.10, forward strand.
GGCTGCGGTGAGTGAGGGGCCGGGAAGAGGCGCACCGCCCAGCGAGCGCCGCGCGCCGGGGCTTCCCGGGGCTGGAGAGGTCTGGGGGGCGCGCGCTCGCTTCGGCCACTCGGCCGCTGGGCTTGTGCCTTTTTTATTTGGCGTGTTCCCTTCCTGCCGCTGCAGCCGTCGCCGCCACCGGTTGGGGGTCGGCTAGAAGGGGGAGCCCCGGCTGTCAGCCTGGGCGCAGCTGCCTCCCCAGCCCTTCCTCTTCAGGGCACGGTCGGGGTGAGAGGTGGGGGGCGTAGCGGTGTGCGGGGGCTGAGGGCGTGAGCAGAGGGGTCGGGGATCCGGAGGCTTTGTACCGCCAGGGGCTGGCGGAGCAACAGAGCCCGTGGGTGCTCTTATGTATGCGGACCGGTGCGCGGGCGCAAGATAAGGTTGTGGTTTATTTATTTGTGTGTTTATTCGCCGGCCGGCTGGGAAGCTAGAATCGGAGGAGCTGACGAGTAGATCTGGGGGCGGAGGGGAGCAGGACTGGGACTGCTTACGTTTTGTTTCTCTTTGAGAAAACGTGGTGGGCTTTTTCTTGATTGGACTTGATCCCCACCCCCCTTTTGCAGGGGAGGGAGGGAAGCTCCAGAGGGTCTGCAGCGCTGCGGGCCCTCCTCGGCTCTCGGCGGGACCGGCGGTGACACCGGAGCTCGCCGTGCGCTCCCGGCCGCTCTCGGTGGGTGCCGGTCTCTGCACCTGATGCGTTCGGGATGCCTTTCCCACCCTGGCGCGCCCGCCGCTAGCTCGCACAGCGCCTCGCACACTCCCGCACGCGCTTGAAATGCGCACGGTCCCGCCGGCCCGCGGAACCACCCGGACGCACGGAGCGCTCCGCACCGACTCGCTCGCCGCCTCCCCGAGACGCTCGCACCGTGCTTGGGCCGGGCGCGCTGGCCGCTGGCGCCGCTGGCCAGAGGCCTGGGACCCAGCCGGTCGCTCCCAGGGGGTCACGGCCCTGGGTCGGAGAGGGAGGGCGGGCAGACCCCTTCTCGCCTTTCCTCCCACAACTCGCTGCGGGGCTTTTGTGCTTCCCCTTCGCCGCGGGGCGGGTCCGCCTCCCCTGCCGCTCTCGCCGCGGAGTCCAGCCCGCCCGGACTGTCGCCGTTCCTCCCCGTCTCTTTCGCTTTCCCTCGTCCCTAGCTCAGCTCTCCTTCTTTCAGGAGTCTAGCTCCTCGGGAAAAGTTGCTTCCCCAAGTTTGCTGAAGTCGTCTCCAAGTCTCGGTGGGGGTCGCTGGGAACTGGGGGGGTGTGAGAGCGCGGTCGATCCCCGGAGCTCGGGCGGGTTATCGCCGGCTCTTCCCCGCGCCGCCTGGCTGGACGCTGCAGCCAGCGCCAGCCGGATCGCGGGCGCCGAGCGGCGGGTGGGGGAGACGGCTGCCCGTGGGCGCCCAGATTTCCCTCAGGACCCAAAAGGCTTGTTTCAGGGCGCCAAGCTTCCATTCTTTTGGCTGTTCCCTCCTAGTTCTCAGAAACCCCGATGTCTGCGGGAAAGCACGCGGTGGCTCGGCTCGGCTGAATGCTCATCCCAACCTTGACGGCCTCCGTCCCCACCCCGGGGCGGGCAGCAAAAATGTCTTGACCAGCCGTCCTGTGAATCCTTTCTGCGTGAGCTTGGTGGCTCCTGAACTGATAGAGCTCCTTCTGGGGGTGGAGGCAAGCAAGCAGTGTTCGAAGAGTGAGGGAGAGACCTTGCTGTTCCTTGCTCTCAGTGCATTCACTGCAATATTGGTCGCTGTAAGACAGACACGGGGAGGGTCCTGGGCCTGCGCGGTCTTTCTAACACTCCTGTAAGCGAGGTTTGGAGTCTAGGAGCCCTCTTATTGATCCCGAACAGGCTCTGGGAGAGGCCTTTGTTTCCCAGCCCTGTCTTCCCTTCGTACTGGTTGTAACTCACACCACAGGTGCTGGTGCCAATATCACTTCCAGCGCCTCTGAGCCATGTCCAGCATCCCTTGCTGCCCCTGGTCACAGGACTTGCAGACTCCTTGGAGCCTGTGGGACACACGTGGAGTTCACACACCCAGCCCAGCATGAGCACTCCTGGCTGTAGGGGACCATATTTAACTATGGTCTCTCTCCATACCTTAATGACCCATCCTTCTTCGTTTTTTAGATCCTCCTGTCCACCGGGCAGTTGTGGGCAGGAGGGTAGGTACGACACCTTACGTAAGTGTGTGTGTGTAAACACACACACACTTTTTTTTTTTTTTCTGAGACGGAGTTTTGCTCCTGTTGCCCAGGCTGGAGTGCAGTGGCACAATCTCGGCTCACGGCAACCTCCGCCTCCCGGTTTCAAGTGATTCTCCTGCCTCAGCCTCCCGAGTAGCTGGGATTACAGGCGGGTGCCACCGCGCCTGGCTAATTTTGTATTTTTTGTAGAGACGGGGCTTCTCCATGTTGGTCAGGCTGGTCTCGAACTCCCGACCTCAGGTGATCCGCCTGCCTGGGCCTCCCAAAGTGCTGGGATTAGAGGCGTGAGCCACCGCGCCCTGCCCCACACACTCTTTCTGTCTGTCTCTGGCTGGTGTACATACACACAGTTCAGATTTTATATTATACATACAATAACTTTGAGGCTTCCGTGGGTAGAAATGACCCAAGTTAGTGTGTGGGTTGTGTGTGTTCCTGTTAGTACCTAGGGATGGGGACAGGCCTTGGGTCTGCCAGTGCTTTGCAGCCCTGAGAACAGTAGAAGGCCAGAGGCCAAGGCTGATGGTGAGAGGATAGCCTTTGCGGAGGAGAGCCCAGTGTCCATAGATTTCTGTGGCCATGGCTACAGGCTCCTGGCCTCCAATGAGTTTGACTCTGCTTCTGGGGCTCCTGTAGTGAGGCAGAGTTTGGAAAAACTGTTTAAAGATAAGGCTTGACATCCAGGGGGCTGGCGTGAAGCTGACAAGGAAGGGGCTAAAGTCTTGCTAATTTTAAGTAAGTGCACTTCATCATAATGAATGTTGGCCTTGCCTAGGGAGCCCCTACTCTCAGACACAGAGAAAGCTGAGGACTTATAGGACTTCACTACAATTTTCATTTCACTTCATCTAACAGATGTCATAGAGTAGTGAATTAGGCATCTGCTGTGGCAGAACCTTCTTTTTACTCTCAGCATCCCTGGCTTGAAAGGCAGATTTGTAGATTTCTAGGAAGCTACTTCAATTAAAATCTCTAAGATCCTCTTGCTAAGGGCTTGGCAACAGGGAGGAGGGGGCATGTTGTAGTGGTTGAATTCTTACTTTTAGGGACACTGATGAATTTGTCTTTTGTTCTCTCATCTCTTTTGCTTCTTCCCCTCTTCTTTCTCCTAGCCTCCTCTATTGGCCCAGGAAGCCCACCCAGCCCCGCCACGCAGAGCCCAGAAGGAAAGAAAGCCTCATGCCTGAGCCGAGGGGAGCACCATGGATCTGACAAAAATGGGCATGATCCAGCTGCAGAACCCTAGCCACCCCACGGGGCTACTGTGCAAGGCCAACCAGATGCGGCTGGCCGGGACTTTGTGCGATGTGGTCATCATGGTGGACAGCCAGGAGTTCCACGCCCACCGGACGGTGCTGGCCTGCACCAGCAAGATGTTTGAGATCCTCTTCCACCGCAATAGTCAACACTATACTTTGGACTTCCTCTCGCCAAAGACCTTCCAGCAGATTCTGGAGTATGCATATACAGCCACGCTGCAAGCCAAGGCGGAGGACCTGGATGACCTGCTGTATGCGGCCGAGATCCTGGAGATCGAGTACCTGGAGGAACAGTGCCTGAAGATGCTGGAGACCATCCAGGCCTCAGACGACAATGACACGGAGGCCACCATGGCCGATGGCGGGGCCGAGGAAGAAGAGGACCGCAAGGCTCGGTACCTCAAGAACATCTTCATCTCGAAGCATTCCAGCGAGGAGAGTGGGTATGCCAGTGTGGCTGGACAGAGCCTCCCTGGGCCCATGGTGGACCAGAGCCCTTCAGTCTCCACTTCATTTGGTCTTTCAGCCATGAGTCCCACCAAGGCTGCAGTGGACAGTTTGATGACCATAGGACAGTCTCTCCTGCAGGGAACTCTTCAGCCACCTGCAGGGCCCGAGGAGCCAACTCTGGCTGGGGGTGGGCGGCACCCTGGGGTGGCTGAGGTGAAGACGGAGATGATGCAGGTGGATGAGGTGCCCAGCCAGGACAGCCCTGGGGCAGCCGAGTCCAGCATCTCAGGAGGGATGGGGGACAAGGTTGAGGAAAGAGGCAAAGAGGGGCCTGGGACCCCGACTCGAAGCAGCGTCATCACCAGTGCTAGGGAGCTACACTATGGGCGAGAGGAGAGTGCCGAGCAGGTGCCACCCCCAGCTGAGGCTGGCCAGGCCCCCACTGGCCGACCTGAGCACCCAGCACCCCCGCCTGAGAAGCATCTGGGCATCTACTCCGTGTTGCCCAACCACAAGGCTGACGCTGTATTGAGCATGCCGTCTTCCGTGACCTCTGGCCTCCACGTGCAGCCTGCCCTGGCTGTCTCCATGGACTTCAGCACCTATGGGGGGCTGCTGCCCCAGGGCTTCATCCAGAGGGAGCTGTTCAGCAAGCTGGGGGAGCTGGCTGTGGGCATGAAGTCAGAGAGCCGGACCATCGGAGAGCAGTGCAGCGTGTGTGGGGTCGAGCTTCCTGATAACGAGGCTGTGGAGCAGCACAGGTAGGCCCCGCTCCAGCCCCGCACCTGATGTAGGACTTGAGGCCCTCACACCCCTCCTTCACACCCTGGCTGCTCCCAAGTTAGGGGCCTGGCTCCCCTGTCTTGGCAATTTGTGAAAAAACCAGAACACTTCTTCTAAAGTTCTGGCGGGGAGGGGAGCAGGTTTTTTAAAGTGTAGTGAGGGGGCCTAGGATCTTTCCAAAAAGCACCAGGGGACACTCATGGGCGCAGCTTCTTAATAGGCCCTTCCCTTTGTTTTTTGCTTTTGGGCCCCTGTTTGTTTTTTCGGCTGTTTGGTCTGTTCTCCTTTGCTTGGAGTGACTGATAAAATGGAGAGAAGGAGAAAAGGAGTGGGATGAGGGTCTCTTGGGCCCTGCATCTGACCATGTTACTAGGTTTCAGGTCCTCGGGTTCCCATGCAGTGGTCCCTGTGAAGACAGCCTGTCCCTTTCTGCAGCTTGGGAGAATGGGAGGGTCTGGGGGCTGCTTAAGCCACAAGAGCAGCTGCAGGTTCTGAACCTTATTCCTGGTGAAAGTTAATCTCCTTGCTCTGTCTCCCTTCTCATTCTCTGATCCTGCACATGCATTTAGGGGGAATTGATTTAAATGCAAGGGGAAAGGATGGGTATAAGAGTCTTGGTCTTGCAGCCTGTGAAGTCTCATTCTTATCCCATCTCTGCTCACACTGAACTAAATGCCGCTTCAGGCTAGCATTGGCTTCCCTCCGGCTTCCGTTTCCTTCTCTATGAAATAACCATTCATTGAGCTCTTATGACATGTTTGGTTCAGTACTAAGCACTTTCCATGAGTTGCATTTTCATTACAACAGCCCTTTGAGATAGGTAATGTCCTTCTTTTTTTTTTGGATGTGAAGTTTCGCTCTCCTTGCCCAGGCTGGAGTGCAATGGTGTGATCTCTGCTCACCGCAACCTCTGCATCCCGGGTTAAGGTGATTCTCCTGCCTCAGCCTCCCGAGTAGCTCGGATTACAGGCACGCACCACCATACCTGGCTAATTTTGAATTTTTAGTAGAGACGGGCTTTCACCGTGTTGGTCAGGATGGTCTCGAACTCCCGACCTCAGGTGATCGGCCTGCTTCGGCCTCCCAAAGTGCTGGATTACAGGTATGAGCCACCGTGTCCAGCTGGTAATGTCCTTCTTTTACATGGAACAATACTAAGGCTCAGATGTCAAGTCTCTTTTCTAGGGTCACATAGATAGTAAGAGGCAGAGCTGGATTCAAATTTAGGTCCTTACCCCCTGGTACTTTGCTGCCTCTTGGAGTCACTTAGACTTGAAGAGGATCATGTCTATGGAACAGAGCGTTTTGAAGATTGCTTATAGGAAGTGGAGTAAATAACAGGGGGGATAAGTAGCGAGTTTGTTTTTTTTTTCCTTGCTTCTGTCATAAACCACGTGCCCATCATTTTATCCTCTAGTTTCTGGGTCAGATGAATGGAGTCAAGAAATCCAGCTTTCTGTTGTCATTGACGACAGCATTTGGCTGCATACCCTGTGGTCTGCTGTTTTGCTGATCTTGGGTGGATTCTCCACTTCCTCCCCCTTCACCCCCATTCCCCTGTTGCTCGTTCAGGTACGGGGGATGTGAGTGAGAGGGGTTGGGGTGGGGATATCTGGAAGTTGATCTCATCACCCCTAGCCGGAATCTGCTCTGACCCTGCCTCCTCGACAGCTCAGAGGCTTAACTTGTGGAAAGTGTGGCAGAGCTAAACGTAGCCGACTTTTTCCAGTGGGTGCGAAAAATAACCGCCACTAAGGTGTGTCTTCTTGATGCTTGTACCGCTCAGAAATAGACTGAGGTTGTGTTTGTTTTTGCTCAAACTTTCCTAAAGAGGAAACCCGCTCCCCAAAGTTGACCAGATAGATGTATCATCTTTCCGGATGTGAATTATTTCGGCTGTGTGCTATGAGAACTGGGTATGGTGGGAAGTAATTGTTTTTCTGGCTCTCATCAGGTCCTGGTTCCTGGTTGCTTTTCTTTACCCGAGAGGGCCACAAAAGATACCACTCTCCTGAGACTTCCAAGTTCCCCTTCAGCAAGACCCTCATTCCTCTGGGGAGAGAGGGAGAGTTGGCCATGTTATATTCGAAAGAGCCTGGGTATTGGAATTGGCCATATTTAGTGGTGAGAGCCTGTGATACTTATTTAACCTTTCTGGGCCTTGTTTCACTCACTACATTTTTTTTTTTTTTTTTTTTTGAGACGGAGTCTCGCTCTGTCACCGGGCTGGAGTGCAATGGCGTGATCTCAGCTCACTGCAGTCTCCACCTCCCGGGTTCAAGCGATTCTCCTGCCTCAGCCTCCTGAGTAGCTGGGACTACAGGCACCTGTCACCCCGCCCAGCTAATTTTTTGTATTTTTAGTAGAGACAGGGTTTCACCATGTTGGCCAGAATGGTCTCGATCTCTTGACCTTGCGATCCATCCACCTCGGCCTCCCAAAGTGCTGGGATTACAGCTGTGAGCCACCCCGCCCGGCCTTCACTCACTTCTTAAAATGGAGACGGTCAACAGGGTTGGTGCTGAATTAATGAAGTAAGATCCAGAAATCACTAGAGCTGTGATGGGCACATAGTCACCGCAGCGGTGGAGAACTGACCATCTGTCCCTTGTGTTGTTTAGGCCTCATCTCTGCATGGTCCTCATTGGCTCTGAGTTCTAGTGTGTAGTGTCCACAGTGCCACCCTCCATGAGGGTTGTGTTGACTGTGAGGTGGTGCAGAGAATGTCCCTGTCCTTGTGAGCATATGACAGCAAGACACTGGCCCTGGAATCCTCCGTGTCACATGTGGGCTGCTGACAGGAAGAATGTGCTTTTGTTGTTGTTGTTGTTGTTGAGGCAGAGTCTTACTCTGTCGCCCAGGCTGCAGTGCAGTGGCATGATCTTGGCTCACTGCAACCTCTACTTCCCGGGTTCAAGTGATTCTCCTGCCTCAGCCTCCTGAGCAGCTGGGACTACAGATGTGTACCACCATGCCCGACTAATTTTTGTATTTTTAGTAGAGATGGGGTTTCACCATGTTGGTCAGGCTGGCCTGGAACTCCTGGCCTTAAGTGATCCACCTGTCTCGGCCTCCCATAGTGCTGGGATTATAGGTGTGTGCCACCCTGCTGGGCCGAGAATGTGCTTTTGACTGAGGGTGGAAAGTCAGCAGCTGCAGCCCAAGAAGTTAGAGCCAGGGGCAGTGCCTTTGATGGGAAGCTTGGGGGTCTAAAGAAATCAGAAAGGGGAGAAAATAATCCTGCGTGTGCTCAGCCCTCACTCAGATCAACAGCCCCTCGGGTCCCAGCTAGATGTACTTTGTAGAAGGCTTTTTTTCTCCCCCTCACCCTCAAAACTCCAGGATTAATGTGCTATTCCCTTTTTTCTACTGTTCTCTGTCTCCCCCCAACCCATCAGCAGTCTGAGAAATGCTATGGTGGAAAAAAAAAAACAACAGCCCTATAACCAGTACAAACAAAAAGCCAAGACAAAAAAAAAAAAAAAATCAGAAGGGGAGATTTTGAGGCCAGGAAGCCATGGCATTCACTGGAAATATATCAGTGATAAAATAACAGGCTACAGGGTTTATTTTATTTTATTTTTAAGTCAATAGGCCTGAGTGTTGGTAAAGACTAGATACCCAGCAGTCCTTCTTGCATTTCTTCTTGGGGTGGGGGGGCAGAAGGGAATGGAGAGGAAATGAAGGCGGATTGCTGGTAAGTGAGGCAGGAAGGCAGGGAGTTTATTATGGAATGTCATCGGTAAGTTTCCCCATGATTTGATCCCAAGCTGGTGTGGAGTGAAGGGTAAGCTGTTGGCTCAACAGATAGTGAGAATCAAACTTAGTGGAGTTGTAGAGCCTGTTTCCTGCAGCGGACAGCAAGATGTACAAGCCGTCCACTGCAGGAATGACGTGCTGTAAAAGGGATGCAGTGTCAAGTGTAGTCATGGATGGGTGGGAAGACCAGACAAAGGCATCCAATGGGACTGACTTACCTAAACAAACCAGAAGGAAGTCAGAACAGTGGGAAGATCTGATAGATAAGCAGTATTCTGCAGGCAGATGAAGGAGCAAGCTTTGGGCCCCCAAATCTTCACCAGTGCATCCACATTACAGAGGATAATGCCTGAGGGAGGGGAAGATCATCTCAGGATTCTGGAACACTGGGCCCTCCCTTTCTTATTCCAAAAGGCTGGAGCAGTTCTGCATGTAGGCTTCTCTGGAAATGGTCTAGGAACCAGCTCATCCAGGCCAGGAGCACCTGATCATTCTCAGAGTTACGTACATATGCGATAAGATTGCAGGGAACAGTATAGTTCTATAGACTTAAGTGTGAACATAGTCCTCATTTATAGTCCCTAGTCTCCCATGGCTCACGCAGCTTGGTCTTTATGTGTTTCTGAATTTAGTGCTGCAGAGGCACAATGGGGTCTGGTTTCTGGATCTTATACAGACAAGCACTTAGGTCAGCTGCAGTGGATGTCCTGCACAGACACCGTCGCAACTCTTGCCTGGTTCCTTTTTGTTTTTGGAGATGGAGTCTCGCTCTGTCTCCCAGGCTGGAGTGCAGTGGCGCGATCTCAGCTCACTGCAAGCTCTGCCTCCCAGGTTCACGCTATTCTCCTGCCTCAGCCTCCCAAGTAGTTGGGACTACAGGCACCCGCCACCACGCCCGGCTAATTTTTTGTATTTTTAGTAGAGACAGGGTTTCACCGTGTTAGCCAGTATGGTCTCGATCTCCTGAACTCGTGATCCACCTGCCTCGGCCTCCCAAAGTGCTGGGATTACAGGTGTGAGCCACCACGCCCGGCCTATTGCCTGGTTCTTGAAGGGATTCTCAGGAACCACAGGGAATGTCTGAGCCAGCTTTCTGGATCCGTGTGTACAGCCCTTCCCAGAGGCTTTGTGGAGCCAGCTGTACGGTGCATGAGCTTTGTGGCTAAGATATCAGAGTTCTGCCTGGCCCTTGGCCTTGGTCTCTCTCAGATGGTCAGCTGCTCTGTTTTTAGTGGTTGATCATGTAGAAGGCCAACAGGTGTTGACCTTGGTTTAGGCTACTTTTGGGATTTTTGAGGTTTCCTGAGACTCTTGGTTTTCTTTCATCATCCCGTCCAGAACCTCTGATGTCAAACTAAATTCTGTTTGGAAAAGGGTATGCTGTAGAATAATGATAGCCACAGCAATGATATTAATAATACCTTTTATCGGTTGCAGCATTTTCTTCTTTGCAAAGCACCTCTAATGACTTTATCTCTCTTGCCCTCACAGCCTTCCTTGAGTGGGTACAGGTCCATAATCCCATATCTGTGATAATGAAGTCTGAAAAGCTCTGAAAACTAAAAAGTTTGCAGTAAACTCATTTAGTGGCAAAACCTGATCTGAACTGATGTGAGGCTATATTTATCCTGCTTAGTTTGAATATTCATATGTTTTGCTGCAAAAATATTAATGTGTTTGATTACAGAGTGCTGCCCTAGACTCTGCTGGGGCTGTTAAACACGATAGGTGTCAGAGTACCTTTCTTTTTTTTTTTTTTTTTTTTTTTTTGAGACGGAGTCTCGCTCTGTCGCCCAGGTCGGACTGCGGACTGCAGTGGCGCAATCTCGGCTCACTGCAAGCTCCGCTTCCCGGGTTCACGCCATTCTCCTGCCTCAGCCTCCCGAGTAGCTGGGACTACAGGCGCCCGCCACCGCGCCCGGCTAATTTTTTGTATTTTTAGTAGAGACGGGGTTTCACCTTGTTAGCCAGGATGGTCTCGATCTCCTGACCTCATGATCCACCCGCCTCGGCCTCCCAAAGTGCTGGGATTACAGGCGTGAGCCACCGCGCCCGGCCCAGAGTACCTTTCTAAAGTCTGAACAGTTTTGGTCGTTGAAGCACCTGAAGGTTTTGGATAAGGGATTATGAACGATTATCATTCTCTATTGACAAATGAGGAAAATGAGATTTGGAGCAAGTAAGTGACTTCCCATGGTCACACAGCTATAAATGGGTAGAACCAGGCACTCAGCTTGCCTTCTAATTCACAGTCCTGGGCGCTCTGCACCAGGCCATATAAGAACATGAGCATTGCTCTTCTGGGTCAAATCCATCTGACCTAGTCTTTGGTTGCCATCACCATGCCTAAGATACCACCATTGGAGGCTACAACCATCTTCCTTGACGTCAATCCTAAAGGTCAGGTGTAGCTTCTCTTAGTAGCTATTTATGGCTGCCTTGTCATTCACAGATTTGCCAAAATCCTTTTTGAATCCATTTCCATTTCCAGGAAGTATCCTTTTTAGGGGTGATGAATGACAAGTTTATAATCTCCTGGGCTCCTGGAAATCTGGTCTTTTGGAGAGAGGTTGTTGGTTGTGAAGATAGGAAGATGGCAGAAGGCTTTGTAGTGGTGAGGCCAGGTCTAGACCTAGCTCTGCGTTTTTCAGCTCTGTCACCATTGACATCGTTTTTTTCATCGTGAGCCTTAACTTCTTCATTTTTAAAACTAGGCACTTCAGTGAGCTCTTTCTGGATTGTTGCGCTCTTTAAAAAATTCTTTTATTCTTTGTGTACCCACTTATATCTTCATGAAGTCCTTTTGGTTAATTGAATTTTGCTGTTTTGGAATCTGGATTGGCAGTTCAGCCAGTTAAGTAGGGGGTCAGTTTGATTTGATTCTGTGTGTTCTGACTTTTTTTTTTTTTTTAAAATACTTTAACCTGCTTAGGGTTACTGAGCCATCTGGGATCTAGACTGAACTCTTGGAACTTTTGAAGATGATTTCCTTTATTTTATTTTCAATGGAGGAAAGTTGCCCACTCTTTCATCTCAGTGAGAAGTCCCATTTTAATTTGCCATCACTATTGGATGGAGCCGCTAATTGCTGGGAGGGAGAAAGCTATAGTTTAGCAACACGTTTTCCTCCTGCTCGTTCTAGGAAAACTATTATGAATCTTTAAAATAGTGATTATCCTAAACTGTTAAAATCAAATTCTATTCACAGCTCTTTGATTTCTTGCTAATTCAGGAGAGAAACTTTTCCAATCACTTTAATTTTTTTTATTAATTTAAAGCAAGCCCTGCTGAAAGCCCAAGTATATATGACTTAGAGTCTTACTAAATGAATACAGGTGTGCCTCAGTTTGTCCATTGGAGGGTTTCTGAATTTTCCATAACTAAAGATTTTCTATTCTGTTTTGGCTGGGTGTGTGGGGTGAAAGCTCTTACTCTCTGGCAGTTATTTAAGTAGTAAGAAATTTGCTACAACTCTTCCCCACCCCCACGTTTTACAGATAGGAAATGAGCACTTTGACTGTCCAGGTCAGACTTCTGATTTTGCTACTTACTAACTGTGACAGTGGTTGTGTTACTTAACTTCTGTGTGCCTGTTTGCTCATTTGTGAAACAGAAATAATAGTAGTACCTACTTCATTGGGTTGTTATAAGGATTCATCAGAAAATATTTATCCTGTGTGAGGAACGGTGGCACAAAGTAAGTGCTCCATAAGTGTTTGCTAGGGTATTTTTCTTGTCATTGTGTGAAGTAGGTCATGCTAGCCATGCAGGGTGAAAAATGTGTTCATGTTGGTCCAGATCCTGCTTTCTCCCTGAGACCGTTCTTCCGCATAGGCGTCAATCCGTACAGTGCTGTAAAACTGCTGCCTCGGGCACCTCATGTTTGGGGCTGAGACATTGCTTCTGCGTCTTCCCCAGAAGCTGATCTCTTGTACTGTGGTGGCCAGGGTACTCTTTGTCCCATTGACCTGAGGCCTGGTGAGTCATTCCAGTTCTCGTTTAAATTTAGCCGGGCAGCGCTCCACTGCCATCGGGTCCAAATGCCGGGGAGGCTCACTGATGCGGTGTCCTGTTGCCTGTGCACGTGGCCAGGCGTGCACATCACTGTGCTTATGAGAGAGATGAAGAGCACAGATACCACCTTACTGATGGGGGTCCTGGGGCTGGGCTTGTGGGTGTTGGGGGTTCCAGAGCTCCTTCCCTTTCCTGCCTGTCAGTGCAGGATGCTTCTAAAATGTGGACTCAGCAGACATTGTTTTGAGTGCTTGCTACATGTCAGATTCTGTGCTAAGTGCACTCACAGCCAGCATCTCTGTAAGACCTCTAGCTGTCCTGTAAGGTGGGTATCAGTTTCACATTCTCAGATGGGCGGAGAGAAGCCCAAGAGGTTAGTGGACTTTTCTCTAGTAAAGAGTTGTACAGGCCGGGCGCAGTGGCTCATGCCTGTAATCCCAGCACTTTGGGAGGCCGAGGCGGGCGGATCACGAGGTCAGGAGATCGAGACCATCCTGGCTAACACAGTGAAACCCCGTCTCTACTAAAAATACAAAAAATTAGCCGGGCGTGGTGGGGGGCGCCTGTAGTCCCAGCTACTCGGGAGGCTGAGGCAGGAGAATGGCGTGAACCCGGGAGGCAGAGCTTGCAGTGAGCCGAGATCATGCCACTCACTACACTCCAGCCTGGGCAAAGGAGTGAGACTGTCTCAAAAAAAAAAAAAAAAAAAAAAGAGTTGTACCAGGATTTATGTTCAGGTCTTCTGGCTCCATGCTCTCTGCAGCTGGGTGACCAGGGGGCTCATGGCTTCACCAGCTCTGGCCTCCTCAGTTCCTCTGGTGGCTTCTTGCGAGGAGGAAGGTTACTGCAGAGGGTTCAGCTCTTTAGGGGCCCAGGCCGCATGGATCCAAGGACTAGTACGTCATCTCTTACCAACACAGAGAGATCAGCTTCTAGTGATAGAGGCCTTTTATGCTGACTTGAAAAACAGAAAAAGAGAGAAAAAAGAAACCCATTTACAAAAATAAAAATCCCATGCTGTTAATTTCATGCCAGCATAATCAGAAATTCCCCTTTCTACTGTTTCCCCTTAAAAGCCCCGGTGTCCTTATTATGCTGGTGCAGTCTGGAAAAACTATGGTTGGGTTTTGCCTACGTGAGGCTTATCTCTGCAGCTGCAAGGAGGGGATCCGGTACTTTATTGTCAGCATGGAAACTTCCGCTAAATACTTAGAAAAACCTTAATTCTAAATTCCTAGCTCACTTTCAACTGTGTCCTCGGGACCTGATTTTCTTCGGTGTGAACAGATTGTGTTCAGCATTGCAGTAGAAAGGGTCCAAGTTAGGTAAGAGAAAGGACTTCCTGAGACACTGGGGTGTTACTGAGAAAGTTGTTAGAAGACTGTCACAGACATTTTGATGAAGGGGGGACATTCTGGGCCATTTGAAGTGGTTTTTAGAGTTCTTTCCTCTTTAGGGCCATTCGGTTCCCCCAGAAATAAGAAGAAAAGACATATACACGCACATAAACCACCACCACCAGGCTTGCTGAGAACAAGTCAAATGTGCCACCAAACCATCGTCTTAGTGGGAGATGGGGTGGCACTGCAGGGGCAGAAAGACTGACGTCTGATGGACTTGGGTTTGAATACTAGTGCTCCATGGTGAATTTGGGCAAATGACTTCACCTCTGTGAAGCAGCAGTATCCTCTTCTGTGAAGTGAGGTTAGCCCCTACCTCTCAATGTGGTTTTTAAAGTATGTTAATGAGATCACTTGTAACCTAAAGCACACAGAGTGTGAGGCCACCTCCCTACTTCCTGCTTCTCTCATGACCCCAGCCTGACAAGGGAGCCGCTGAGCCCCCTGCCACCCTCACCCGGCGTTGTGCTCTAAGTGGATTAGCTCAGCGTTGTGATCTTAATGCCATTAGGCCTGTTGGCACGGCTCTCCTTGCCATAGTGAGAAGCAGATGTGGCCGACCATAATGGCCCTTAGCGTGATCCATCGGGCCCACAGTGCTGGGGCAACCATTATTAGTGTTAATTTGGGGGAGCTTTTTATGGTAGCTGGGGGAAATGTGGAGGGATTGTTGGAAATTTATTTAAGCTGTTCAGCAGGTTAGGTGCTGCTGGGGTCTACTATGGCAAAACCCTCAGCTCCCCCAACCCATCTCTTTAAGGAACGTCCCTCCCCAACACCGAAGCCCAGGCCTGATTACTTCCAGAGTTGGAGAGACAACTTAGCAGGCTCTTGTTTCTTGCCGATGTACCTTATTAGTAGCACCTGGCATCATAACCCACTAATGGGAACCAGTGCTCTCCTCCTGCGTGGCCAGTGACAAGTAGCCCTGTCAGCCGGAGCTCGCCGTGCGAGGAAGTTCCTATTAGCTTTATGGTCAGGAGAACTTGTCCTGTTCAGGAAATGAATGTTGCCGCTAAAGGTCCGCGGCCCTGACCCTGGCGGCATAACCTGTGCGGGCCGGGGAGACCCTGTGCAGGATGCTTGGGATTTCAGCCCCTCTCTGGTTCTTGTCATATGTAAAGAGGGAATCATTGTGGTATGTTGCAGCCTTGAACTTTTGATTTATGCAGTGAGGGCGACTTAACCGTTTCCATGCCTGGACGGCTGTGCAGTGACAGAGCCGTGTTGTGAGCGTATGTGCCTAGGTACATGTGTGTGTGGGGTGGTCAAGGGGAAGGAGAGACCCCCACGTGCTAGCAGGGGCTGTTGCTGGGAGTGGGTGGATTTCATGGGAGGATTCCTTTTCTTTTTTCTTTTTCTTGCATTCTTGCAGCATCTAAATTTCCTGCGATTGTTGGCTGCAAAGTGGTAAGAAGCTGGAGAGCATTGTGTCTGGAATTGAACCTGGGTTCGAATTAATCTTCTGTCTCTTAGAGGCTGTGTGACCGTGGCAAGATTCCTCACCACTCACTTCCTCATCTGTGAGATGAAGTTAATAACTTCTGATTCATACTGGTGGTAGAGCAGTGTTGTTAAGTAGGTGATGTATAGAGAATACATGGCCCAGCGTCCGGCCAGTGGTGTGGCCTCAGGTTGTATACTTGAAAGGATGTGTATACTTCAGTATTTTTTCCATTGTAAAATTAAGGGTTTTTTTTCTTTTTTTCTTGAGACAGAGTCCTACTTTGTTGCCCAGGCTTGAGTGCAGTGGCGCGATCTCAGCTCACTGCAACTTCCGCCTCCTGGGTCCAAGTGATTCTCGTGCCTCAGCCTCCCAAGTACCTGGGACCACAGGGGTGCACCACCACACCTGGCTAATTTTTGTATATATATATATATATATTTAGTAGAGATGGGGTTTCGCCATGTTGGCCAGGCTGGTCTTGAACTCCCGACCTCAGGTGATCTGCCTGTCTCAGCCTCCTAAAGTGCTGGGATTATAGGTGTGAGCCACTGCGCCTGGCCTAAGTTTTTAAAAATTAAAAAGAATGGCATAGTGCTTTTTTGCTCTTTAACAGATCAAGACCAAAAGTTTTCCCCCCATCATAGCCCAAAGTCCTAAAGAAAGGCTACTTAAGTTGTTCGTTTTCTTTTGTTTCTCCCATGAGTAATGTTTCTAAGTGTGATTTTTGCAGAGAACAGCAGTGTCTGACCTCATTCTTGAGGGGAACTTTTCTGCCTGCCTCTTCTTGAGAAAAAATGTTTGTGAGTTGTCTGGCAAATGGATGCGTTACTTTTGCTGCTGTTGCTGCCGCTGCCGTTTTAAAGGCCCCTGGTGACAAAGGAGTGAACTGCACTTTCGGGGAAAGCATGCCGGAATCTGGCCCAGAAAAGAGGGGCCGCTGGGGGAAGGGTTTGGAGATGACGCCTCCTCAGGAACTTTAAAAGAAATCTGTCCATCTGTCTCTGGCATTTATGGCATCGTTGACAGCAGTTCAAGGAAAAATAAAAATAAGTTCTTATCTGATTGCGGGGCTGATTGCAAAGCCGAAGGACTAGAGTGGCCAGCGAGTCGGGCGGCTGGATCTGGAGTTTTGGAGAAAGGGCCACTGGCTCATTTCTGGGCACGCACGCTCACGGAGGCAAGTTCTCACCTCCTCGTGGGCTTCTCTTCACTTTACGTGGAAAAACTGTGTACGTCTCAAATTAAAAGCAGCTCTTGCCCCGCTTAGAGCCGGTGAAAGCTGCTTCGAAGGCGTTTGTAGAGTAGGGATTGGAAATGTTCAATGCAAAAGTTAAATCGTGACAGTTGTCCCCTAAATGATCTGCTAAATTAAGGATCCGCTAACATTTGTGAGTCTACCTCCCTGCATTCCCCCCACCCCCACCCCCGCCCCCTTGGCAGAAGGGATAAAGATGGTACCTAAAAACAATGTGAAGCGGCTGCTAAATCGAGTGACTCTAAAAACATTTTTCTTTCCTTGAAGTTCAGTGTGGAAAACCAGACTGGACTTGTCAGGGATGCAGACCTATATAGGGCCCATGTGCCTGGCCCCTTTCCTCACTTTCTAGCACAATGGTTTTCATTGCCACCTCTCCCGCGCCTTTCCCCCCTTCATAATTATCCACTATTTTACTTTCTGTGTCCTGACAGCTACAAGAGTAGTTTTTGTTTTTTTGAGCTGAGTAGCTGCTAAATATTCCCCAGCAGCCAGATTCAACGGCTGGGGGGGAGAATAGGCCAAACCTTGGCATCCCCTGTTGCAAAAGTGAAAAATATTTCTGTTTGCAGTTAATTTTAGTGGCAAGCAGATCATGTTAACTGGATGTAATTGCTTCCAGATATGGCCGAGGGTTTTGTGTGTTGAGATGAAGGGTCTGGTAAGTGCTTACTTCCTGTGTAAATTAGCCTATTCCATTCAGTCTTTCATTCTGGCCAGCCCTGGATTCTGTCATTCTGCTCCCATTTTCCCCCTCCCCAGCCTGCAGCCTGGTGTGAGAAGCCGCTTGCTATGTTCCTCTAAGTGTAATTCTTTTGTCACTTGGAGCCACTCTCCTCTTGGTTCTTGATGTGAGTTTGCCCTTAAATAATGAGAAGGGTTTGAAAAGATGCCACCTGGACCCCAGGCCACCTCCCGCCTCTTTCCCAGCAAAGGCAGATCTGAAGAGCATCTCCTGGTCATGGGGGTTGCATCTTGGAACCCAGAACTCCTTGTTTTCTATGCATTTTTTTTTCCTACTGCCCTCTGACCCCCGACTCTCACCTGGGAGAACACCTTCTCTTTCTCTCAATTAGTCCGACTCCTCCTCAGCCTGAACTAAGCACGTTCCAGTGGGTCCGAAATCTCAGAAAAAATGAAACGGCTGTTGCGCAGAGGAGAAGGTTGTGGCCACAGAAAGGAGTTGCCTCATCAGACGTGAAGCCGCCACCTTGCCTTGCAAAGCAGGCTGCACCTCCTGACACACCTGCCCCTCCCTGCAAGAAAGGGAGGGGAAATCCCACCCAAGAGAACCTTCTCCAGGTTCCTGTGGGTTTCCAGGGTTGCAACTGAAGAAAAGTGTTAAGATTCATGTTCTCCTAAATTCTGCTTTTGTCCTGTGGCCAGTCCCACATTCTTAGTGCTATTTGCATAAGAGGTTGCTGTTTATCTTCCTATATCAGCCCCACTGATAACCCCTGTGGTCTGTTTAACAACCTATGAGGAGTAGATTACTTGATAAATGCCAGTTTTTCCAATATGCAAAGATAAACTGTTGGGGTCAGGGTGAGGGGTGGTGTGTTATGAAGGAGGGGACAGGTGGGGAGCCAGGACCCTCTTTTAGTGGGCTGGAGAAGTGTGAAAGAGCCTGATGAAAGAAAACAGGTAGCTTGTCACATACAACAGCTGCATTTATCATACGGTTGATCAGCTTCCTGCCCTCACCTACTTTTCTCCTCCTTCATGTGGACATGCAGAGTCTCTGAGAACATTTCATCAAGTGGGTTGCCTATGCCCACATTAATACAAGATGGGAAAGGGTGGAGGTTATCTTTGCTTTTTAAGTTCCCATCTTTTTCTCCCTTGGTCGTCTCCCACCCCTACAAGTTGTTGGCTGGTAAGCAATTGATGCTCAGAAAAATGATGTTCATCTGAAATCTTAAATGAGTGGACTTTTTCTACCTTCCCTGACTTTGCAGGTGCTTCTTGAAGAGCCAAGGAGAAAAGAAAACTTCTGACCTCATCACCTAGTCAATAAGCTGTCTGAGAAACAAACAAAAGAGTTTAGACTGGCTGCTAAAGCTAGGAACCCAGCTGATAGCTTTGTTTTGATGTCCTTGTAATGTTTGCGGATCGCAGAGGGTGCTATTTAGAGCAGGGGGCATCTACTGGGACAGACTCACTGGGAAGTTGAAACAGCTAGCTCAAAGTCCAAGAGATGCTAAAGATAGTGAAATACAGCCCAGGAATTGAGGGGGAGGGGGTTCCTCACTCAAGAAGGAGACTTTCTAGGAGGGGGCGGGCGTGGTATTTTCTAGGGACAGTATGGAATGAAGGGAAGAAGGTTGGCTTTAGAAGGAGGCACCCTGTGGGAGGCTGAGACAGGTGGGTCACCTGAGGTCAGGAGTTTGAGACCAGCCTGGCCAACATGGTGAAACCCAGTCTCTACTAAAAATACAAAAATTAGCTGGGTGGCAGGTGCCTGTAATCCCAGCTAGTCGGGGGAGGCTGAGGCAGGAAAATCGCTTGGGATTACAGGTGCCTGTAATCCCAGCTAGTCGGGAGAGGCTGAGGCAGGAAAATTGCTTGAAGGAGGCGGAGGTTGCAGTGAGCCCAGATCCTGCCGTTGCACTCCAGCCCAAGACTTTGTCTCATTAAAAAAAAAAAAAGAAGAAGAAGAAGAAGGAGGCACCCTGGATGAAGACTCAGGCTCCAGAATTTACTATCTGTATGTCTTGGGCAAGTGGCTTAGCTTCTCTGAGCCCCTGTTTACTTTTCTTTTGAAAATGACCACCTTGTCCATGGTAATGAGGATAAAAAACGTGTAAAGTGCATAGCAGAGTGCAGGTGTACTGGGTAGACATGTATGATTGCGCTGTAGCCCTGTTATGGCCCGGGGAGAAACTATGAAAGGAACCAGTGAAATCTTTTGTTTTGGGCACTGCTAAATTGATGATAGTACTAACCCTGTGCTAGCAGCCAGCTGGTGAAATAATAGGTGAATAATGTTAGTACATTGTGAATATAAAAGTTTCCATTTGCAAAGTGCTACTGCTGTTCTAAAGAAGCCACATTTCTAATAAATGATTGCTTAATCCTGTGATGCTGCCACAGCCCCACAGAGTTTGGGAATGTTTGGGAATTCTTTCTGAAGTGTGTGCCGCATTCTTTTGCTTTGCCTTTTGGGAGGGTAGATGTGACTATTGGAAATGGTCAAAATAATGCAGTAGCAAATCTGTTGACTATAGTGAGTGATAAGCACTGTCGGCTGCTGTGTCTGACTCGGAAGGCAGATTCTGGAAGGGGTGTGTGGGGAAGGCTTGTTGGCTCAGCACTGGGGTGAGTGTTGGCCTCACTTCTTAGGTGGGAAGTGGACAAGGCCAAGGGGCTTTTGATTTCCAGCTACTATGGCTGGACTCCCAGTGAGGAAGGAGTCGCTGCCATGGATTGCCTGGGACTGGGAAGACTCCTTTTAACTGCTGTAATGTTTCTGCATTTGTGGTTTGGCCTCCTGTGAGTTTGGGCTCCGGGGCGGCACTTCTGTTGTTAAAAGAACAGAAAAGAAAACAAAACAAAACAAAAAACCAGGACTGTCACTGTTAGATGTTGGTTGAGGCTAGAAAGAATGGATTGAGTTTTGACCCCCTACACCCCGGGGAGTAGGGAGGCCTGGGAGGCACAGTGGCCTGAGTTTGAATTCTGACTCTGCCTCTTTGGAAGGCTCTGGAAGGTTAAAGGAGCTTGTGTGTTCAAATCTTAGCCTGGTACCTGGCATATACTCAGCATGTATTTTTTTCCCCTTTCCTGACAATGTTCCTTGCCCCGAACACTTGAATAGTGGAGAGAGGAATGTTTGCTTTTCCTCTCCATTGAACCAACACTCGCCCATCCACTGAGCCCAAGATTCACCTTAGGATTGTCTGTTGGACTCGGCTCTTTTGTGACCTAACAGTGCAGGGGCCTTGTGCTGAGCTGCACATGCTCGCTCTCGCTGGTGCTCCCTCTCTCTC
Organism: Homo sapiens; assembly: GCF_000001405.40. Taxonomy (NCBI): domain Eukaryota; kingdom Metazoa; phylum Chordata; class Mammalia; order Primates; family Hominidae; genus Homo; species Homo sapiens. The sequence goes on from NC_000011.10 coordinate 114,080,455, forward strand.
TCTCTCTCTCTCTGCATTATTTATAGTAAACCATATTAGAACAGAGTGTTAAAGAGGAAGGATGAGTCATTCCCATTGAAACCATTGATGACATAAATAAAAGCAAAATGCTTACTATGTGTTTTGTGCAGTATTTAAGGCCAGGTTGTGCTAATTTGAATGCTCCCAAACTGGATCTGTGAAAGCATACATATGTGGGAAAAAATTCAGGTTTAACTAGAGGGAAGTTATTTATTGAAAATCCATTTCAGTATCTGCTTTCTCCCTTCTATTTACTTCAGATCCATATTCATATCATGCTTGTTGTTCTGGCTAACGAGAGGGACTGGCTTATTCACTAGCTAAGGTTTGTTTATTTTCGGAAGGTTGAGGAATAGCACAGAGAGGTTGTCTAAGTGTCCCTGTCTCCATTCCTCCTCTTGCCACCTGTTGAGGAAGGCACTCTCCACCTGCTTTGCAGGCGTGGGCTCTCAATGTGTCCAAGAATCACAGTCAGAGCTGAAGGGCCCTTGGAATCATTTATTGCAGCATGCTCATTTGGGAGGAGTAAGTGGAGGTCCAGAGAGGTTCTGTGATTTTCCCTAGGTCACACAGCAAGCTAGAGGCAAAACCAGGACCCTCACTCCCAGCCCACTTTAATTCTTCCTTCACAAGCCTGCCTGTGACTGCCCAGGTCTGTTCTCTGCTTCTACCAAGGGGTAGGCAAGACTAGAATCTGACTTGAGAGCAGTTTCAGATCTTTGTCTGTGAGGGATGCTGGGGGGTTTCTGGCATGGTGACTTGCCTCCTGGGACACTCATTAACCTCTCTGCTGCTGAGCCTGAGCAGACTAATGTACATCAACTCCTTAGGATTTACAGACAATGCCCTATGTTGGGGGTTTTGAGACCCAAAGATTGCTAAGACATGGGACTTTTCCTTGAAGAGCTTATACTTTGAGTTAAAATATGTATGTTGATATCTATGACAGAGAATAGGAAATGGAAAGACTATGATATATATATTCAGAGTTGAAATGACTTCTGTCTGGAGTGATTCATTTTAAATTTTAAAACCTTGTTGAGCACTTACTGTCTGCTGGGCACCTGGGTAGGCCCTGGGAATACTGTGATGAGCAAGATAGACAAGACGTCTACCCTCCTGGGGCTTTCCTAATGGGGAAGAAAGATCCTTACTTAGCTAGCAGTCCTGTCCGTAACTGTGTAAGGGTGATTTTGATACATGTTGGGAGCCTGGATGAAGTAGCACATGAGTAGGATATTAAAGGATAAGTAGGTTTTGAAGACGGGGACAGAAAGAAGGAAAATTGTGGTCAGGGCCAGGGGAGAAAACAAGGAGTAACTTTCTTTGGCAGGAATGAGGGTGATTCATGCTGGAATGGTAGGCTGGGGTCAGACTGTGGTGCTATAAATGCGTGGAGAGAGATTAGAGAAGGCAGCATGAAGAATGGAGAGAAAATGAGTTTGAAGTTGAGCAGACCCGGGTTCAGATTTTCATGCTGCCACTTGCAAACTGTGTGATGTTGGCCATCAAGGACTGTGAACTGGCTGGGTGCAGTGGCTCACACCTGTCATCCCAGTGCTTTGGGAGGCCAAGGCAGGAGGATTGCGTGAGGCCAGAAGTTTGAGACTGGCTTGGGCAATATAGCGAGACGATCTTTACAAAAAAAAAAAAAAAATTAAAAATGCAGCTGTGCATGCCCATAATCCCAGCTTCTCGGGTGGCTGAAGAGGGAGGATGGCTTGAACTTATAAGTTCAAGGCTGTGGTGAGCTATGATCACGCCACTGCACTCCAGCCTGGGCAACAAAGTGAGACCCTATCTCTATTTCAACACAACAACAACAACAACAGCAACACACACCATGAACTGTAGCTTCTTCATTCCTACAGTGCAGTTATTGTGTGGGATAGCCTGAGGATTTGGGGTAGTGTACTTAACACACTCTGCACAGTGCCTGTAACAGTGTAGTTGCTCAATAAATATAACTGCTGTTTGTTTTAACTGCTGTTTCTTTTTGGACTTTATCCCGGGAGAGTTGGAGCCTTGGAAGGCATTTGAAAAGGAGAGTGACGTGACTGGAGTGCTCCATACTGATGTGACATCCACTAGGCATGTGTCTGACTGCCCCCTGCTCCTTCCCTGCCTTCACGAGCCTGTCTGAAAAGGAGTTTAGTGCGTGATCATCAGCTCCTAAGGAGACCTCTCCCCTGTATCTTGTACCTGGCACTCTACCAAGATTTGATGAGAGGACATGAAATGGACCCTTGCCACCTCTCGGTGGGCGGGGAAGCTGGGAGAGGGGCCTGGGGAGAGGGGGTCTTCAGCTGTCAGGATCAAAGGAAGTGACACTCTGAAGCTGGTCTGCCGGACTGTTACCCGTCTCTCTAACTCTCTTTTAATAGAAACCCAGTCTCCCCTCTTGCCTCCCTGATAGTGAACAGCGACGCTATCTCCCGCGGGCCAGTCTCGGCTGTGGTCGTAGCACTACGCAATGTCTGCAAACCGACAGTGGCATGGGGAGATAAGGGCCCCAACGTTGTGTAACGAGGGGCATGGGCTGTTTGCCCGAGTGGCTCCTGGCCCCTGGGTAACTGCTAACCTCAACGGAGGAGCGGGCCGGCCTTGGAAACGCCGTTCCAGGGCCCCTCGCTGGTTCCACGGATGCCTTTTTGTGGTTGGATAAAGGAAGCTCATGTAGGCCGCCCACAGCGCAGCATGGCCTTGGGCTACGGGTGTTTGGTTGTTTTGTTTTTCTCTTTTCTTTGTCTTTTTTAAAAAAAGAAGTTGAAAGGGGGATAGTCTTGCTTGGCACCTACCACCTTTAACCCAAAACCAAATAAAACAAACAGTTCCTAAATATAAATTAAACTTCAACCTGCAGTATAGACATCCTCCTTCCCTGCCCGAAACCCACTGGCCACTGGAGGCTAGCTTTAAGAAATTGGTTTTGGAGACTCTGGCTTGAAAAGGAGCCATGCCCACTTGTCTCACGTCCCAGTCGCTGGCTCCAGGGGGCCGTGGTAGAACATATATTGTACTTCAGCTGCCTTTCCCCTCCAAGCTTCCTCAGCCACCCACAGCCCTTTCAGATGAGCTGAGCCCTAGCACTGTGCCCTCTCCCCTCTGCCCTCTTAGGGTGATAGAATCCACTACCCTGACATCTGGGGTTGCCCTGTTCTGCTGTGGTGGGAGATGGGCTGGAAGGGACTTCGGAGGCTCTCCCGTGTTCTGTACCACCCAGCTTCCCCTTGGATCCCTCCACCCCCGCAGCCAGGAGAGGGAAGTAACTGTTCTTTGAGCAGGACATTTCATTTTCAAAGTATTCTTGATGCCGCCCCCCCGCCCCACCGCCAAGAATTCTGCTCTGTGGGTGATACTTATAAGGTAACTATATGGCTTCCTTATTTAGGCAGCAGTTTCTCTTCTATGATTTTAGTTCCTCTCATGATTCTTATAACCCTCTCTCAGATACTTCCAGGATGATAAATCTTCTATCACTGTTTCATCTGATCACATCAGGGTGATTATATTTCGTGACATAACCAGGTGGCTTTAATCCGTTGGTGGAAGAACCAGGCTCTCACCTCCATTGTTTAAGATGTTATGTTTCTACTAATCTGTCCACTGAGTGTCTCCATCCTATTGTTTCCATTGCATGCTCTCAGGTTATTTCCTTTGTTCTTGGCTGTCTGATTGCTCCCAGAGGCTGCAGTTATTTTATTTTATTTATTTCATTTTTTGGTGGCAGTAGGGGATTGATCTCTCTCTTGCCTTTAGCTTGAATGGGTGGTCATTTCCAGGCTTACACATTGCTCCATGCCCACTGTAGGGGTCTGGCTTAGAGATGGTCGGGGGAGAGAAGGTGGTGATTTAAAAGATTTGGAGGCGGTGGCTTACATTGATTTTAGCTTATCTAACCCTTTAGCTAGAGGCTGCTCTTCCCTCAGAGTGTCCAACTAGCTGTAACTTAAAGCAACAGAGAAATGTATATCATCCCTTTTCTTGCATTAATTAGGGCTGAGAAATTCATTATTTAGAGGGATAAGAGCTCCGGAGGAGGAGGGTTTTTTGAACTAATGTAGAGATCTGTGGCCAGCTGTGTGATTCTCAGGTAGCAGGTGAGCGGGTGGGGGTTGATGAGAGGGGTGAGAAGGAGCAGGTGCCAGGGTCAGGCAGGGGAGGGAGCCCCCACTCCGTGCATCATCCCAGAGCCCTGTTCCTCCAAGCCCAGATTAGACACCCTTCTCCACGTGGGGCCTCAAGTTAGAAATCCTGGGAGGAGGCCTTATTGCTCAGGATCATCTGGGAATGTTGCTTTCTGGGTTTAAAATACAGTCAATGTTTAGATGAGCTGCTGTTCAGGCACATGGTCTGGTTAGCAAAGGGTTAAATCCTGCATCCCGTTTTTAGTCATCAAGCTAGCTCAGATCTGCCCACCTTGGAGCCCTGTGCTTTCCTGCCTTAGTGGGCAGAGTCTAGGGGACCTGTGGCATGTTCAATGATTGAGGACTCTTGTCCAGATTCCAAAAACCTACTGTGATGATGCTGTTCTGAAGCTGTGGTAGGCGGTGATTGAGTGGAGTGTGTAGTGACCCTCAGGAATTCTTCAGAAGTTAGGATTTTGACGATACCTCTGATAAGTTGGGTTTTTAATTTGCTGGTTTATCTTAGAGTGGAGGCTGTGGCCCACAGCAAGTAGTACATTTTCCATCTCAGCCCAGTGCATGGACAAACGTACCTCAAACCAAAGGTTCAATGAAACTCTATTTATCTTTACTATATGCTCTGGTATCTTCTCTTCCATTCTATCTTATTTCATTTAAGAACGTTAATGAAGACCCACTAATGGATTGCCACCCATGGTTCGAGGAGGTCCCCCAAACAGTGAGGCCTTAGCCATAGGTATTCAATTCAAAAAGCATTTACTGAGCATCACTGTGTACTAGGTGGTTGCTAAATGCTATGGGGGTAATGCAGAGAAATTAATAAATCCCTGTAAGAGTTCACTGTAAAACAGAAATGACAGCCATATGTGTATGACTTTGTGTGTGTGTGTGTGTATATATATATATCAGACTGTATGATTAAATATTATATAAGTGAGGTATGGGGGAGCAGAGGAGAGGAATTGAATTTTGAATTTTGATTGAAGATTCAGGAGGGCTTCATGGAGGAGGTAGCATTTGGCCAGGTTTTAGAGAATGGCTAGGCTTTGGACAAGTGGAGACAGGAACTGCCATTTGGAGGTAGGAGATGAGCTAATGTGTGGCAGTGTATGGGTGGGGGCAGGTGCCTGTATACAAGGTAGTGTGCTGGAATGGGGCGATGGGCATGGGGTAGGATGGGAGATCAAGCAGGGAAAGTGGATTGGGGCCAGGTCCTAGAATGATTTGAATACCAAGCTAGCTTTCTGGACATTTGTAAGGCGCACTTGATAGGGGTTGGATCATTGCGATATTATTGGAAGACAAAACTGGGGAGGGTGTGAGACCATGTGGCTGCTCAGAATGCAGAGCCCCTCTGATGTCCTCAGCCTTCTACGTATTTAGTGATGGGGGTGGTGGTGGTAAAGAGCCTTGCAGACAGCCTGGCTTGGGTGCTTGCTTGAAGTTCTTACGCCCACTAACTCCTGCCCTGCTCTGTGGAGCCTGCTGAATGGGGCATTAGGCTAGTCACACACCTGTCCTTTTTCACATTCATGCTGTACCCTTTGCAAACATTACGCAGCAGTGCAAACTCAGCCCTGGGCCTCAGAGGAGCCAGGCGTGGCCAGGAGAGTGGGATTTGGAACGGAAGTGCTTTTGTTTTTGGCATTCACTACTCCCCCACCCCCACTGGCACTTGGATTGTCCTTCTTTTTCTCCTTGGTGTCTCTCATCCTGTCCAGCCTTCAAGACCTCCTCAAGTCAGGCTTCTCTGGGAAGCGCTGTCTGTCTGTCTTGGTGCTTGCTGGCTTCCTCTTCTGTCTCCTGTGCCATCTCCAGTTTGCACCATTTGAGTATAAGCTCTGCTGCCTCGTTTGAGTTTAAGTTTTATCCCCCCAGCCACAACCTAAGTTCCATGAGGATAGTGATTGTGGTTTATCTTCTCTCCCTCAGCTGTCTGCTGACACCATGCTGAATACATAGTAGGTACTCAGTAAATAATAGCTAATTGAGCATTTACTATGGACAAAGCACTTTACTTGCATTAACACATCCCATCCTCACAACCACCTGTGAGGTGAATCCTATTAAAAGGAATACTTGGGTGCTTTCAGAGTTATTCTCTCCAGCTTTGGACTTCTTGTTTCATTTGCCCTGAGAGCTCCTCAACTCTGTTGATGCTGTTCTTTCAAAGGTTGCTTGTGACCTCTTAGTTCTCAAGAGCACTGTATTAGGTTGGTGCAAAAGTAATTGCTATTTTAGACATTACTTTCAATGGCAAAAACTGCAATTACTTTTGCGCCAACTAATACTTTCCCAGACTCCAGTATTGGCTCCATTGACCCCTCCTGTTCCTGCCAACTTCTCCCCCTCCTCCTCTGGTATTTCCTGGAACTCCCTCCCTAGGGTCAGTGCCATGTGGTGCCTGGAACTCCCTGGGATCTGTGTTTGAATCCTGACATTGCCACTTTCTAAGTGGCAAACACTTTGGCCACCTCCCCCTCTTCCTGAGTCTGTTTCATCATCTGCAAAATGCTGGTAGTTTCTCTTCTCACGGGAAAGATGGTGGTTGTTCATCGATGTCTGTTGAAACCGTGACCCTCTCTGCTGAATGTAGAAGAAGATGACCTTACCAGTTCTCCTGTCTCTCCAGTGTCTTTCTTGACAATCTTGTGGTTTCCACAAGCAACCCTCTGTGGGTGATTTCCAGATCTCTACCTCTAGTTGTTTTTCGTTTTTTGTCTTTTCTTGTGTTTCACACATTCTTTTCCAGTAGCCTCACGGGCACACCAGTCCTGCAAGGATCTAGAATGTGATGTGTTTGAGCTAGTTCAACACCTTCCTCTCGAATCGTCTCCTGTGTCCTCATGTTTTGTGGTCTCTGCCCTCTTCCCAGGCACCCAACTGCAGACTTTGGCATCATCTGTGGCTCCTGTCTTCCCTTTGCCTTCCATATCCACCATTTGCCTCTCCAGCCTACTTAACCAGATGGCTGTCCTGATTTCCTCACCAGCCTTCCTGCAGTGCACCCCTGCAAGGCTCATCACCCCACTTCCCTGAGCAGAGTAGGGCTCTGATGGGGTTGCTCTCCTGCTCTGAACCCTGCAGTGGCTCACTATGGCCTATTCTAGAGAAGAAACGAGAGAATTCTTAGCGTGGCATTCAAAGCCATCCGGGATCCTAGATTCCAGCTACATTTTCACTCTTCATCCCTTTCTCTGCATATTTCTTAGAATGTACACCCCTGAAGGCAGGGACCATCTTTTTCACATCTGTGTTACAACCTTTTAGTCCACTCTCTAGCATATGGCAACTCAGCAGATGCTGCTGTTGAGTAAACTCTTATGCTTCCCTTCCCATGCCATATCCTTCTCTGGTCATCGCAACAGGGCCAAATCTCTCATGCTTCAGTGTAAATGCCCTCTCCTTGCAGCATCCTTTCCTGGGGCATTCTTCCTCCTTGCATCCAGTTGGAAATAATATGTCCCTCCATTGGAGCTCCCACACCAGAAGAGGTATAGATAAAGCCAGATACTTCTTTTTTTTTTTTTTTTTTTGATACAGAGTCTCACTCTGTTGCCCAGGCTGGAGTGTAGTGGCATGAACTTGGCTCACTGCAGCCTCTGCCTCTTGGGTTCAAGTGATTCTTGTGTCTCAGCCTCCCGAGTAGCTGAGATTACAGACATGCGCTACCATGCCTGGCTAATTTTTGTATTTTTAGTAGAGATGCGGTTTCGCCATGCTGGCCAGGCTGGTCCCCAACTCCTCGCCTCAAGTGATCTTCCTGCCTTAGCCTCCCAGAGTGCTAGGATTACAGGTGTGAGTCACTGTGCCCGGCCTGGATCTTTTATTGTTTGTATTTCTGTTCATTTCTTCCCTAAGAAACCCCACGTTTTTGTGGGCAGGACCTGGAATCCTATTCAGTTATACAGCCCCGCTTCGTCCACTGCTCCCCTTCAGAGTCTAGTGCCCTGGACATCATAGGTATTCAGTACCTCTTGCTGGCTTAGGAACAGGAGGATGCCTGATGGCCAGGGTGTTCCTCTGAAGCAGGGGTGGCTGAGCTTTTTGAATATCTGCATTGTGCTAAGGGTTAACTACCCAGGCAGTACTGGTGGGGAAGGGCCCCAGAAGCAGGCCCAGACTCAGGTATTGTTAAAGCAGAGTCATCTTTGCTCTGAAGTTTTTTCTTTTATCTTTTCTTTTCTTTTTTAATTGGGGGAAACCTTGTCCTAATTGGCATCTTTATTGTGGCAGGAATAGGCCAGGCAGGGCTGGGGGAGTGTGAAGTCTGTGAAGGGAGGTGGCCTGGGGGCCCCCCCACACAATGCCTGATTGTGCAGGCATAGGTATGAACACATTGCAGCCTGTGTGCACCCACAGGGTGACCACGAGCAAGGCCTGGGGACGAGGACTACGAGGCCTGCAGCTGGGTCCTCTTTTCTCCCTCCTCACCCCCACCCAGTACCCACGTGATTGGGCCACATCCCAGTAACAAGCAGTCCTTGTGGAAGAGCCTTCATGAAGACCTTTGCTGGGAGTGGCGGGCAGGGATCTGCGGGGAGCGTTGCTGGTTCAAGCTGGGGCTTTCCTATGGATGATGTCCTGTGAAGGGTAGATCCTGGAGGGACAGACAGGTGTCTGATCTTTGGCAGGCAGGGATGTCTCATTTGTACATTATAGGTATTCAGTATCTCTTGCTGGCTTAGGCTTCATAATGTCTCATTTGTACATCATAGCCTTCAGTACCTCTTGCTGATTTGGTTAACCCAGTTGTTATACCACGATATTGATTTTTCATGCCATTTTCTTTAGGAAGATTGGAAGATCATTGAGGATAGGGACTGTGACCTTTTCTTTTTTTCTACCCCAGTACCCAACCTGGCAGGTAGCACAGCGCAATGATCCACGATGTTTAATAGGTTGAATTGTAGAGGGGGCCTCTGATTCCAAAGATGGGGGCAGAATATCAGTCCTCTCCAGACTGCCTGGGAATCCTCCTCTCTCCAGCCTGGGCCTGGCCAGTGGGAGACAGAGGCTGCTGAAGTAGCTGGCAAGGAGGCAAAGAAGATGATGACCTAGCTACGGTCCTCATGTGCCCACTGGGGAATCATCTTTTTGCATCTGAGTTAGTCAATGTGCTGTGCATTCTCTGCAGAATTTGTGAACCTGGTATAGGTATGAGGTGAGAGAGGCCAGGAGGTCTGGCTGCTCCCCCTCTAGACTTCGCAGGTAAAACCCAAGGTGTGTGCCACGTAAAGGTTCAGAGGTTTTATAGGCATCCAGATAGCACATGTGGGTCTCTGCCCCTGCTTGCAGCCTCCCTGGGGCAGCCAGCCAGGCTCAGGGCAGGAAGCTGCTGATTCTGGGTCACTTGGCTGCTCTTGCTTGCTGCTGCTGTGATTGTTCCTACAGTTAAGATCTTAGCTCCATAAGGGACATACGGAGGTCATCTAGGTCATCTCATGGCTCTCAGGCAAGAAAAGTAGCATTATTGCTCTCATGCCCACTTTATGGATAAGTGACCGAGGCCTGCAGAGGCAGAGTGGCTATTCCAGCCATTAAATGTGGCTCCCTGCTATTCTGTTCCCTGCCAGGATATTCTGTGGATGGTTAGGGGAGGGGTCTTACCTCAGCTAACGAGGTGCATTTTCTGTGGGGTGAGGCCATTCTTGTCACTTAGGTGTCTGAGGCCTGATGGTGTTGGGGAATGTCCTGGTTCTATTCCCAGGGCTGTAACGTGGGGGAAGGATGGAGGAAGACAGAATGGCCTCTGGAACTTTTGGATCTTTCTGAGTTGAGGCCTTGTCTGGCCAACTCCGGGAGGCTGCTGGCATGGCAAGCAGGGTAGGGATGCCTGGCCTAGCCAGGGGAGCTCCCTCTCTCCCCTCTGCTGCCCCTCTTTCCACCCCCATCATAAACACGTGTGGACTTTCTGGTGGTGAGAAGATGGTTTTGGAGGGCTGGGCTGAGGTCTAGGCAGGCAAGAGCTTCCAAATGTGTGGCTTTGATTCTCAGCCTTTTCATCCCTCAATCCTGGGAGACTCATTTTAAAACTTAAAAAAGGACTTCATTCTATTGGATGCTATGTGGGCAGGCCCTGGGCTGTTGTAGAGAGGCCTGAAACCCACTTCAGTTTCCTGGACAGGCTGGGAGTGTGTACCCATGGGTTCCCTGCTGCCCTATTCCTGGAAGACACTAATATCCCTCCCAAACTCTTGGTTGGTTTCTGCTTTTTTTCTGTAGCATTTTGTCTTTGTGGGAAATTTTAAGAAACATATGTATGGCTTTTTGGTTTCCACTTATTTATTTTCCCCTCTGAGTTTCAGATTTCATCCTTCTCCACCCCTTCCCCCTGCCCTAAGGTGGGGCTAGTGCAAATCGCAGTGTGTGTGTAGTGGGATGGTTAAAGAGCCGTACATCCTCACACCTGGTGACGCAGACTAAGGCAATTAACCTTCTTTAGTAAAGACCCTTTCAGCTGGGTGCGGTGGGAGGCACTTCGGGAGGCCGAGGTGGAAGGATTGCTTGAGCCCTGGAGTTGGAGACCAGCTTGGGCAGCATGGTGAAACCACCTCTCTAAAAAAATATAAAAATTAACGGGACGTTGTGGCATGCACCTATAGTCCCAGCTACTTGGGAGGCTGGGGCACGAGAAGTGCTTGAACCTGAGAGATGGAGACTGCAGTGAGGCGAGATTGCACCACTGCACTTCAGCTAGGTGACAGAGTGGGACCCTGTCTCAAAACAAAACAAAACAACAACAAAAAAAGCATGTTTTCCTGTCTTTCCCTTCCTCTCCTCCACCCCCTGGCATGAACTCTCAACTCCTGGCCTGTGGATGTCCGTTTCTATAAATGCTGGTGCTCGGTGGTCACCGTAGACGTCCGAGCAGCCCCTGGGGCTTTGGCTTGTGTTTTCTCTGTACTTGTGAGGGTGGTTGCCACTTCTGGCCTTCTTTGTGCTTTCTTTTTCTTTCCTTTCCCCAATCTTTTGTTCCTCCCTCCCTCCCTCCCTCCCTTCCTCCCTTCCTTCCTTCTGCTTTCCTGTTTAAAGTATATGGCTGCACCTAGCATGACACAGTTCCTATTTATTCCTCAGACTTGCTGGGACAGTCTCCTCTGTATGCGGCGACTGAGGGTGGGTTCCAGTGCCCCAGCCCACTCCCCTTCCCCTTGTTTTTGTCCACTTGGCTGGACAAAGAGAACAAAACCAAATGGCCTCCCCTCCCCCTCTCCTAAGCCGGTCAAGCAGTGGTATTCTGGGATGATTTTCCCTGCAACCATTTAAACAAGTGCTTTGATGCTTACGAGTCATTGGAATGACCAGGCCTGTGCGCCCCTTCTCACTGACACCCTTAGACCAGGCTGGGCCTCACCCTTTTGTCTTGCTGCCCCTCGGTGCCCAGTGGGCGTGGGCAGTAGGACTGAGCAGAGGGGCCGAGGCTGTGCTGGCCGGCAGCTCTGTTACAGTAGAGTGGAAGGAGGTCCCGGCCAGAGGGGCAGGTCAAACAGGCCTCTTTTATTTACAGTGCTCTCTTTCACGGCCTCACTGAAACAGGAGACCCGAGAGGCTCCGGTGAAAGGGCACTGTGTTTGTGCATTCAGGCCTTCCAGGGCTGGCTACAAAGGTGGGGGCACCCGGAGCACTGAAGGGGCTTTTTGTCATTGGCAGTTTGGCTTAGGGGAGAAGCGAGGGAGAGCCAGTGTGGGAGCCGCCTCTAGGATTGTGAGCAAGTGCCTGTTTAGACAGCTCCACGCTGCTCCTTAAAACCTATTTTGTGGTCTGGGGTTGGGGCGGGGGCACACTGCCTCGATCCTCTTGTTGTGTGGAGCAAAGTGATTCCTCTCTTCTTGTGTTCTCCAGATGGTTCCGTTGTCCTCACATCCATTGTGGTTGAGGATACAGTGCAGAGAAGACCCCGCTGTCCTCTGCTCCCCCTCCTTTTCTCTCCAAAGAGAAGTTTCAGGGACAGCAATAGACTTCTGTGGGGCCTTTGTTCCTTGTAGCTTTCATTTTTCAATTCTTCTTCTCCCTGTATTATCTTGCTAGGCCTTAGTTTGTGCATCTCTAAAATGGGCTGGGAGGTGCTAGCCCATACCTAATATATAGGGCCGTCGTAAGGCTTAGGTCCCATAACTCATGGGGTTGGCTTGCACAGGGCTCTCTCCTTTCAGACTGGTCAGGCCATGGTCCTTTTATGAGTCTGAAGAGCCAAAATGAAGACCTCACTTTCTAGTATCCCCAATCTTCCTCCCACCTTTCCCTGGCTCTTGAGGGTTCTTTGGGCATGTTCCCTTCTGGTCTCCATTATTATATAGGGAAGAGAAATTTTCCAGAAGAATATTTGAAGGATTAAAGTTTGAGGTTGTAGAATATGTGAAAACACACACACACCACACCACACCCCAAAATCACCCTTTTAAAGAAGATTAAAAAACCACCAGTGCCTGTCCTACATTGGTAAACTCTGGCAAGCCTCATAATGTTGACTTTACTGACCTGCCTGACTTCAGTGGCCGAGTCTACATGGGGTGTTAAGGCCCCACGTGTTTTTGCCTGTGCCCTTTAATTGTATCTTCAGGACCATATTTTCAGAACCAGAAATCACAGCCACAGTTTGGCAGTGGCACAGAATGGTTCAATTTAGGCCTATCCCAGAGAGGCTTGGGTTGTCTGTGAAGTTCTGGGTGGTCTGTATTGTGGAGAGGTGAACACCGTATTGCTGGGGGTGTGGAGGGGGGATGTTGCTGTTTCCCTGCTACAGAAAGGCCAGGCTTCCTTTTCAGCCTTTTGTTCCCCGATTCCCCTCTCTTCCTCCACTACACTCAGCCCTGCTGCTGCTTCCAAGGGACAACTCCCTCTCTTGTCCTTGCCCATCTTTGAGAGAGGCGGTGAATAAACACCAAGGCAAGAAGAAGCAACGGGACCCCTAGAAGGAGATGAGTGTGTGGCCCAAGGATGGTGGAGCATTGTCCTGAAAGGTAGAACCAAGACTATAGCCTCCGAGGCTCTGTTTACCATATTCTTGGCTCTTGTGCCACTTCTGTGTCCAGCAGCTGGAGCTTGTAGAAGAAAGATGGGAAAGACATAGTACAGGAAATGTTCCCATTCAGCCAGCACTGATTTATCTGCTGCCTGGTTTCTCAGGAGGCCTAATCTGTAAGAACAGTCGAGAACTTTATTTCTGCCCTTTAACCTATGTCCATTTTCTAGATAGTTTCTAAAAAAGGCATCACACCAGCTCTTTGAGACAACATGTCATATGCAACTGTTGGTTTTGGGTGGAATGAAACTGAATTGTCAACGGACATTTTTTCTTTCTGTATTCATGTGTTTGGAATAGTGACAACGTCATTGGTTCAGACTTTGAGCCCCCTTCTGGTTAGGCTCTTCAGTATAAGCCCTTAAAAATATTTTTGACTTTTCAGGGCCAGGCGCGGTGGCTCACGCCTGTAATCCCAGCACTTTGGGAGGCCGAGGCAGGTGGATCACGAGGTCAGGAGATCGAGACCATCCTGGCTAACACGGTGAAAGCCCGTCTCTACTAAAAATACAAAAAATTAGCCAGGTGTGGTGGCGGGCGCCTGTAGTCCCAGCTACTCGAGAGGCTGAGGCTGGAGGATGGCGTGAACCCGGGAGGCAGAGTTTGCAGTGAGCTGAGGTTGTGCCACTGCACTCCAGCCTGGGAGACAGAGCAAGACTCCGTCTCAAAAAAATAAAAAATAAAAAACATTAAAAAATTGACTTTTTGAGTAAAACAAAAACCAAACGAGTCCGTGTAAAGTCTAAGATGTTGGTTCATCTCAACATTGGGATATTGGAATAGGCCACTTTGGAAGGTTTCTCTAATTGATGAAGGGCATGGGCCACCCCATGGATTGCAATGCTGTGGCTGTTTGGGTGGCATCCAGCTTCTAGGGGATGGTGGCAAACTTGGGTGTGCAGGCAGTAGGAAGGAGGAGGTAGCTTCCAGAGAGAGCCATTGCTGGGGCTCAAGAAGTTTCTTTCTGGGCTCAAGCATGGTTGCTAGTGGTCCACACAGTGCTTTCGTGTGAATTAGAAAAAGCACCCTTGTTGTGGATGGATGTGGCTCTTAACTAGGGTCTATCCCACAGTGAGCTGGTTGGGGCTGGATCTCAAATCTGTTTGCCCCTCAATCAGAGGCAGGAGGTCCCTGGCCCAAGGGGCTTCCATGGTTGGAGTGGTCGTCAGCCGAAAGCTGTTCTGGTGAGATGTTTTGAGCTATCAGTTCCAAGTTTCCAAAGGCCAAGGCCTCTGGGATCAGTTTCACTGATCCTTCAACCAGCTTATGTGCCCTGTTAGCCCAGATACCCCTCCAGAGTGCTTCGCACTGGGCTGCAGGTCACTGTGGCCCCACACCATAGAAGCTGGGGGCCTGTCTGCATGTTCTGGCATCCATAAAGCTGCCTGCAAACGTGAGAGGGGGTTTATGGCACCCTTTTAGCATGACTGTCTCTTGTGACCAAGGCCAAGAAAAATAGCACAAAGATGTAGGAGTGGTGAGGAATGAAGATGCACGTGCACGCGCCCTGCAGTCTCAGTCAATGCGCTCTTTAGGGTTTAGTTTGGAAAACCACAGTGTCGTGTCTTATGTAACCAATTTCTTTTCTTTTCTTTTCTTTTTTTTTTTTTTTTTTTTTTTTTTGTGATGGAGTCTCGTGTCTTGCTCTGTCACCCAGGCTGGAGTGCAGTGGCTCGATCTCGGCTCACTGCAACCTCCGCCTCCCAGGTTCAAGCGACTATCCTGCCTCAGCCTCCTGAGTAGCTGGGACTACAGGCGCCCGCCACCACGCCCAGCTAATTTTTTGTATATTTAGTAGAGACGGGGTTTCACCGTGTTAGCCAGGATGGTCACAATCTCCTGACCTCGTGGTCCGCCCGCCTTGGCCTCCCACAGTGCTGGGATTACAGGCGTGAGCCACCACGCCCGGCCACCAATTTCTTATACATAGGTTATGGAGCAGGGAGAAAGAGACATGCAAACAAGGCAGAATTGGGACCTTTGCAAGAAGACCTTCTTCACTCGCCCACTTTCTCATACTTTTAGTCACCAAGGCAGGGTCTTTTTAAACAACTGCGAGGCTCAGGCCTAGGGGGTTAGGAGAGTAAACCCTAAATCCCTTTCACCCTAGCATGCTTGGGTGCCGTGTTGACAAGGTCTCTGAAGTGCCCATGGGAAGCAGACCAGGCTCTGAGAATAATTTCCATGGAATTAATTATTGTTCTTACTCCAATAGATTTGAAATCTATTTAACTTTTCAGGGTCCCCTAGCTTTTTAAATGTTTCAAGTGTATTCTCTCTGATAGGTTGCCTTTTCTCTCCCTGTAGGCTATAATTAGTGTCCTTTACACAAAATTGGCTTAGAATTGGATTTAGAGAAGATAAGAATCAAATTACCAGTATTTATCTTGTAAATTCCAAAAGATCTACTTAAGACACTGTATTAAAAAAGGAGTATAAAAGAAAAGTTTATTCTATGAAAAAGTAAATTCCTCATGGTCTGAGCAACCAGGGGTATTTTAATATCAAATCTCCAGACTTCCCTTGGAGGCACCTAAAATTGCCTTTTCCCTTGTCGCTCGTTTTTATCTCCAGTTGAGCTTCTGAAATATGTTGCCAGGCTTTGGATATTGGAGAGCTGGTGTGGTTTCAGCTTTCATTAAAATTCGGAGGTTTTGACTTATCTATTATTTCTGATTTGTGGTAAGACATAAGCCTCTAAAATATGCTATCTTAAAGAGATACACACAAATTTTATCTTAGCATGTTAAGTTTTTAAGCCGTTGAGAGATGGGAGAATAGACCTCTGTGGTCTCCTGTGTGCTTCTTCGTCCTAAAATGTCAGCATGCTGGTTTTCATGTGCTGCCTCGTACAGTAAGTCCCCAGCAGATTTAAATAAGGTTGTGTCAAAACATATGCCTATGTTTTTTTAAACATCGTTGTCTCATAAGTGTGCAGTAATGGCATATTGAGACTGTTCATAGACTGGTCAGCTGCATTTCCTGCAGCCGAGGAACCCTTTATTAAGGTGCATTTCTGGGGTTGAACTAAAACTGCTCACCCCCATCAAATGAGGAAACTTGAGGGGTTTGCAGCCCAGCATTTTACGGGCACTTTTGCGACTGTGTACCCTTGCGTGGCTTCCCGCTTCAGCGACATTGTTGACTTCAGTTTTCTAATCTAATTCTTTTTTTCTTTTTTGGTTTTGATGAGAGTGTTGGATACCAAAGCACAAACGATGGATTCCTTTTGAAAGAACAAAAACATATTTTGTGAGCAGTTTTACTTCTGGGAGTGTTATGTGTATACACACACACACACACCCCCTAAATAATTGAAAGCAGGAACTTGAACAGATATTTGCACACCCATGTTCATAGCAGCATTAGCCAAAATAGCCAAAAGGTGGAAATAATTCAAATGTTCATTGACCCATGGATAAATTGACAAAATGTGGTATATACATATAGTGGAATATTATTCAGCCTTAACAAGGAAGGAAATTCTGACACATGGTACAACACAGATTAACTTTGAGGGCATTATACTAGGTGAAATAAGCTAGATAGCAAAGGACAGATAGTGTATGGTGCCATCTATATGAGGCATCTGTGCTTATATAAAGCAAATTTGTAGAAACACGAACTAGAATAGATGTTGCCAGGAGCTGGGGAGAGAGGGGAATGGGGAGTTAAGGTTGAGTGGGTACAGAGTTTCAGTTGGGGGAGATGAAAAAGTTCTGTGGCTGGATGGTAGTAATGGTTACACAACATCAGGAGTGTACTAAATGACACTGATCTGTACACTTAGAATCTTTAAAATGGTAAATTTTAGTTACATAGTTTTACTACAATAAAAATGTATTTTATGTTAATTGCAATACTTGGCATTTGAGAAAAAATTCTTAGAAAATACTGAGAATATCATACTGATAAAAACCCTCTGCTAAATTTTTTTTAAAAAAAACACACATCGCCTGTACTCCTGAGTATCAGCGATCAGTCTAGCGTTGCCCTTTAACTATCATTATTGTTATTGTTAAAGTGATTTTTATTAAGTGCTATCTCTCAAGTGGTATGATTACTTGTTGAGGTCTTGTGTTGGTATTTGTCATGTGATTCTAGAAAAATCTCCCCCTTTTTGGCTCTGAGACATTCTCTAGTTGACCTCTTCCCAGAGAGAAGTTAAGGAAAATCTTCCGCTCTGATTTTTTTTTCTTTCTGCACTTAAATAATTAAATAATATCTGTGGCCTTACAACACAGGGAGGTTTCAGTGAGGAAGAAAATTCAACTGCATTTGCAAAATGTCTGAAAATTATGGGAGAGATGTTTCTGCTTTTAGACTTGGTACGTATGTGGTCAGGTTTTCAGAGGTTTTCTATTCACCATCTGTGACGGGCCTTGTCTCCTCCTGCAACTGGTGGCAGATGTAGCCAGAGATTTTGTGAGCTTCTCAACAGCATCTTTTTCCTGCTCTTCTTCCCTTCCTCTTTGTTTGGTTTTTATTCACATGAAAATTTAAAGACCCATAAGGAAATTCAAAGTGAAAATCTATGCCCAAATAAGTCAGGATCTCAAGATGAAAATATAAGTTCTGGAAATGGAAGTTTCCTCTGCCCCCGTGGTGGTATCATAGCCAGCAGCCTCGTTCTGTGCTTTTGAAGGTTTAATGGCCTGCATGTGAAGGTAGGGGCGCACTATATATATAGTACCAGGCGTGTGGGCGCACTGGCACGGATCTGAAAAAGCGTAAGTTTGGCATTTCTAGGTTTATTTTAAACTTACAACCTTTAACGCCAGACACAGAGCTTCTTTCCCACTTAATGTAACTATACATTGATTGCTTTTAATTAGTGTTGGATCTTTTTTGGTGTTTTGCAGCTTGGGATATATAAAAAGTCTGACTTAAATTAAAAAAAAAAAAAAAGCTAACTCCTGACATTCTCACGAGTCTTGCAAAAACCAGCACGGGAGCCTTAGAAATTCTAACCTCCTCGTCCTCTTTATTTTTATCTTGAGTCAGGTGGGCCAAGAAGCAAGGGAAGAGTCCAATATAACATACTTAATGGATGGAGGTAATTTCCTTGGACTGTTTTGGCAGAAATTAAGCATCTGTATTTAGATAAAGGTAGTGGTGGGTTGGATTTTCATAGCATAAGCATAGTTGCTGAAGATCAATAATATCAAATAATGGGTTCTTGGTGAGGGGAAAAGGAAATGGGGGAGGGGTCTTTTCACTCAACAGTTTGGAAATGCTAATGATTATTTGTGGTTTTCAGCCCAGAATTCTTCATATTTGCTTGCAAGCTTCTATGGCACTGCCGAATTCTACAGTAAATATTTCGGACATCCTCAGCCCTGTTCTCCTTTCCCTTCAGTAAATTACATATTAAAGTAGCCTGGTAACTGAGCACTGGTTGCTGTGAGATAAGGGCTGGGAAATCAATATGTTTGCCATGTGGCTGCTTGTTTATGACACCTGCCTCTAGAACAGTTGAGCAATGTTCTGTTTGTTAAAGCTGCATTTCAGAAGCTTGTATCCTCCTAAAACAACCGTGATCTTACTGGGGGAGAGAGAGGTGCTACAACAGATATTGATTTTAGTTTTTCTAAGTATGGAATTACACTTCTAAACAGTGGTCTTACAGCCTGTGATTTTTTCCCCATGAGGAGGAGATGTAGATACTCTGAATATATATATACACATACACACATATATAAAATAAATCTATTTTATAATGTTTATGATGTGGTCAGTTAAAAAAGGAGTGTAGTTTATAATAAGGAAGTGTAGGTATTATTTAGATTTATCTCCTCTCTTGGCACCTGGCTTAAAAAAAAAAAAAGTAGTAACAAGAAACATAGCAGCTGCTGGGAAACATGCATTTTAATCTAAGTCTCCAGTGTGGTTTTAGTTTAACCAGTGGATGATACTGTAGTCTCAAGGCTTAGCCTGCTGGTGAGTCAATGGTTCTTAAAGCTGTGTGGTGTCAGCTCAAGTGAGCGAAGCAGTGTGTGGTGTGTGTGCATTGGAGGGTGAGGGGTATGAGGAGGTAGTCAGCCTTGGAGGGAGAAGGGAGACAGGCTAGGTCTTCTTCACGTGGCCTTCCATTTTGGAAAACAGAAGCGATGATACAACTTCTCTTCTTGCCCAAGGGATTCAGTAGAAAAAAATACATTTCCAAACACATTGCGCTACAGTCATTGAACTTCAAAGTGTAAAGCATGGATTGTGTTGGTGCACTTGTGGGTGCCCATGACACACACTCTTCAATGCTCCTGTGCCTTCCTAAGAGGTGTCTGTCTTTCTCAACCCCAGTGTGTGTCCTCTGACGTCTAGTGGATTGCTGCATACACAGTCAACCCTCCTTAAAAGGTTTAAAAAGAAACATGAGCTCCCTTTTAGAGCACCCCAAAGCAGCTGCATTCTTGAGTTGGTGCCCTGCACTGGGATTCCCATGGACTGGGAACATGATCTCTTAATGACACTAATATATTCTGAGATCTGATTTTTTGTTTGTGTGTTTTTTAACCCAGGTTGGCAGGTTCTCCTTAATCAGTAGTGGCAAAATGTCTCTTTCCTTTCTCCACGTAATGCTAAATGGCTTATCCAGTCATCTCTCTCTGCTCATGGTCAGCCCGAGGTGACAGTTAAAATTGGATGGAGGTAGCTTGGGGTAGGAAGACTTGGTGATTTTGGCGGCACTGGGTCAAACCCAGGGAAACTGAAGCTGTGTCTGCACAGCTGGTTGAAAGGCTGTGTTGTGATCCAGGGATTTAAGTAAAAATATTCTTTCCTTACCACCCTCTATGCCCCCTACTCCCCAGTAATATAGTAGGCATGGGGGTTGACTTATTTTGAGGGGACTAGTATGTATTTAATATTTCATCTAATTTTTGTAGCCCTGGCCTGGCTGGATGACAAAAGTGTTTAAACTAAGACCGATTTGAGCAAGTATTTTATCCTCCCTCTCGGGAGACTATGGGCATAGAACGGTGTGGGGATTTGGAGGTGCTGGCAAGTCTGGCCCCTTTCCTCTTGCGTTTACTCAGGCACAGATGGAAAAAGATGAAACTCAATGAGGACCCTTTTGTGAGATGCGGCACATTTCGCTTTGTGGAATTATTAACCTTTTATAAGACTGGGATACTTACAAACTTACCGCAGGACCAGACAGTGACTATCAGAATCCTCTCTTCTAAAGATCAGCGATCTACAGCTTTCGCAAAACTTAAGGCTGACTTGGGAATCTAGACAGCCCCTAGTATGGTGAGTGACCCTAGAGTGGTTTTTAATGAGGAGATACTCACGGGAGCCAGCATCTCGGGGGTCCCCGGGGGGTTCATGGCCAGGAGCGTTGCAAGCTGGTTTGTTTGTTTGTTTGTTTTGAGACAGGGTCTTACTCTGTTGCTCAGGCTGGAGTGCAGTGGCATAATCTCGGCTCACTGCAACCTTGCTTGCTCTCCCTGGCTCAAGCAATTCTCCCACATTAGCCTCCCAAGTAGCTGGGATTACAGGTGTATGCCACCACAGCCTGCTAATTTTTAAGTTTTTTGTAGAGATGAGGTTTCACTGCATTGCCTAGGCTGATCTTGAACTCCTGGGCTCAAACAATCTTCCCTCCTTGTCCTCTTAAAGTGCTGGGATTACAGGTGTGAGCCACAGCGCGAGGCCTTGTTTGGTGTTTTTGTTTGTTTGTTTGTTTGTTTTATGGATCATTACCTATAAAGTAATTTAGAATACCCACTCATTTATGATCCAGCCTTCCCTGCATTTTCTAGCGTTGAGGTCCTTTGGGGCCATAGAAGTATGTTTTTCCAAGACTGATTGCTTCGTGTATTTAACCAGGTTTTTTGTGAAGGGTTTGATATAAACTGAGTGACTGAAGAGAGGAACATGGTGTGATTTGGTAGAAAGATCTGTAATTTTGGAGTCAAGACTGGCCTAGATGGACAGCTTGGCCACTTTTAAAATTTTGTGTCCTTAGCCCCATAAACATTTTGAGATTCAGTTTTCTCTCCTGTGAATTGGGGACGATATTGCCTAACTTGTAAGGTTCTTGCAAAGATCAAATGAAAAAATACACATAGATCTCCTGGCTATTATTGGAGTGCCCAGTAAATGCTAGTTGCCTTATCCTCCATTTTCTTTTTGAGAGCTGAAGACCTGATTTTATTTCCTTGCATTTTTCATGTCATTGCCTATAGGGAGATACATTCATATATTTGTTGCTCATTTTTGTATGTGTTACAGTGGTGATAAAGAAACTGATGGTATCCCAGATGGGGAGGGGCAGGTAAGGTTTTATCAGTGGCTTTTAATTTCTTTATGAAATTGGATGTGGCTCTAGGGAATAGATGTCTCTGGGATGGTCATGTTTTCCCTTGCCTTTTGGCTCCTGCAATGAGGACCTCTTTCTGTTGGTGTGGGTCTTGTCTGAGCATGCCAGGGATGGCAGTGAACACATCGATGGTGGTTGGGACGTCCTCATTCCCAGACCTCTGGGACATACTAATTCCCAGACCTCTGAAACATGGGTCTCAGCTGCTTTGCCCTGCAGACTTGTTCTCAGTAGCTATTTACCTTTAGGAGAAAAAAAAAATCCTTAACCAAATGCTTTAGGAAGGCTTTCTTATCGTGGCTGTAAGGTGCTGGTGGGTTGTTGGCAGCCAAGTTTGGGTTTAAATCTCACTGGGGGTTGAGGCTGCTGAACTGCTATTCCTAACATGCTCTTGTGTTTTTATGCATAGACCGTCTTCTGGATCCTTGGTGAGTTTTTTTTACTCTGGGGTTTTCAGGAGAAAGGTTTGTCATTCATCATCACTCTTCTCCTTCATCACAGCAGTGGTAACAGTGGTTAGAGGGAGGAGGTAGAATCAGTTGTTCAAGTTCTTTTTTCTTCCAGGTAAGTCCCCCCCACCCCCCGGCTGCCCCTGCCCTTCCGCATTTTCTGGGAAGTGAATCTATTGGGAAATGCATGGGCCTGTGTTTCTGGGATGATTTTAGCATATGTAGTAAGAGGGGTGCTTTTTGCTGATAGCCCAGGCGTTGGTCCTGTAATCCTGAGGTGTGGTTTAATAAGAGCTGAACAGTCATTTAATTATTTATTGGGTGCCTGGAGAATTTTATAGGCAGGAGAGCCTAGAGCTATTCCAGAAAAAAGGCCAATCCTAGAGCTTTTTGTGTGGCTTTCTTCTTGGGCTTGAAGTTTTTGATGCTCGCCAACATTCATAGTAGCCCCCAATGCCACCCACACATTGGGAAGGGACAATAGAGCCAGCTAAAGCTCTTTCTTTGTGTGTGCCCATATTAACCCATCTAGTCAAATGTGGGTACCCTTCCAAACCATTATGTCTTGTTCCTCTCGGCTGCTGGGAACATTAAAAGAACCTTATTTGAAGGCAAACATTACTGTATCAGTGATGCTGAAACTGGAGGTCTGTCAATGGCACTTCATTGCATTGATAATTGTTTCTGCTTTGAACCACAACACTGTGATTATTGAGGTTCGACTGTAAGGGCTGAGGGAGCCTTGAGGCCATTGAAAGCATTCTCCTGCCTTTAGGCCAGGCCTATGTTATAAGTGAGAGACAGGTGTGGAGTGTGCAGGGAGGGAATTAAGATAGATGGTGACCTGGAATTCAGAAGGTGGACCCCCACCACCCCCCAGCCTGAGACCAAAGCACAGTTTAACTCTGTCATGGGTCATGTGCAGAGGGAAGGGACTGCCCCAGAATTAGCAGTTGGCTGAACACCCTGCTTAAAAACTTTTTCTTTTCCTTTTTTTGTGAGTACCGTCCGCTTGGACTAAAGAAGTTTTGGTCGTTGTTTTCTTAATTTTGGGCTACAGAGTCTCTACCTACATTTGTGTTTTGTGTTTTGGTAACCACATGTAACAGCCGGTGGAATCTTTTTTCTCTTTGCTTTCTCTGAACTTTCCAAAGAGTAGGCCCCTATCTCTCGGGGGATTAACTCCTCGTGGCCCCTGGGTCGTTGGTGCTCCCCCACCCTGTGTCAGCATCTAAACCTCTGCACACAGGATGTTTTCTCTAGCGCTTATCAGATGCTTTAGAAGATGCGGGGTGGAGATAGAGGTAACGTTTAACCCATCCTGGATTCCTTTCATGAACTCAGCCACAGAGCAGAGGGAGGCTTGGCTGGAGCAAACAATGTTGGGCCTTCTATTTCAAACAGAGGTGTGGGGGCTTGTGGTGGCATCAGTGGTGCACTGAACAACCCTCCCTGACCCTAGCGTGTGGGTTTGGAGCCTGGGGAATCAAAGAGAAATCTAACAAACTATTCTTTTTCACGTGTGGGCTGAATGAATGTGTGGGTTATCCACATCAGTTTCTTCTCTCTTCTCATCCTCCCTCCTTCCTCGCAGACCAGCATTTTGGCCAGGGTGCCCAGTTTGAGCTCATTTACCAAAGGTGAATAGGGAAGGGAGTAGAAACCAAATTAGGCACCTGTCTGACAACACAAGGATCTTTTCTACAATGGTGCATTTGGATTATGCAGAGTTTTAGATTTTCTGTTTTATCCCAGGGTGAACGTGTGTAGAAAACTGGGACCTAACCATGTTCTTCTCTTCAGTCTTATGGTCATTGCTACTTTGAAGGCAGAAAGGATAAAAGTAGCATAGGGAGTGGTTTACCATAACTGCAAGTAAATACCAAGCATGTGCGAGCCTGTAGACATTGCCTGCTATTGGGGAAAGACGGAGTTAGCTGGGGAAATACATCAGTCTTCACTCCCAGCACCCAAGATGTAAACATTTCTTACTCTTCCTGGATCAGGCTATCTCTGCTTTGCCTTTTCTTTCACCTACCTCCTTCTTTCATGGCAGGAAGGGAAAGGGAAGTACCCCCAAGCAGCCAGCAGTCAGCACTGGGGCCTCTAGGGAAGAGTGGATTGGTGTTGTTTTGCTGTGGTTTGCTGTGCGTTTTCCAGAATCTCTCTTGGATGACTATCAGATTCAGTGAAGGGATGGACCTGCAGGAAGCTGAGAGATAGGAGATCCTGTGGCCTGGGAACCCAGAGGCCTGGGCCCTGGGAACAACTCACCACAGGACTCAGCCTGCGAAATAGGAAACATCATTGTAGCTTCTGCATCATGTTTTCCATGTTCCACTGGAAAACCATCTGTTAAATGGACATAGACCAATTCTTGCTTTTCTTCTTTCTGGTACCAAAGAGAACGGTGGTGTCTCTTGTCATCTAGATGTTCTTGTAGGGGCACCAGAGTCATTGCAACCATTTTGAGTAAAGATTGAGTCCACTGGGGCATCAGAAGGGGAGTGTGTCATTGCTGTTGTTACCACACAGGCCGTGGTACTTGCCTTTTCCTGACCCATTTTGCAGAGCAGGCCAGCTACTTAACCCCTCGCCACCCACTCACCTGTGGAAGGCACATTTGCAAAACAATAGACCAGTTGGTAATTTGGCACTTGTTAGGTAGACATAGTGGTACATTGAGGAAGTTCCTCCTGTTAACTAACCTAGTTTTTCTTGCTGTAATCCGAATATACTTCTCTGATTTTTTGAAAAAGCCTGTGAGTGGAGCCTGGCTCGACAGCCCAAAACGCTGAATTAATTCTGTCTCTCTCTCTCTCTCTTTTTTTTTTTTGAGACGTGGAGTCTCGCTCTGTCACCCAGGCTGGAATGCGCTGGCACGATCTCGGCTCACTGCAACTTCCACCTCCTGGGTCCAAGCAATTCTCCTGCCTCAGCCTCCCAAGTAGCTGGGACTACAGGCATTGCCACTACGCCCAGCTAATTTTTGTATTTTTAATAGAGACGGGGTTTCGCCGTGTTGGCCAGGCTGGTCTCAAACTCCTGATCTCAGGTGATCCACCAGCCTTGGCATCCCAAAATGCTGGGACTGCAGGAATGAGCCACCGCGCCCGACCCAATTCTCTTGAGTGACATGCTGAGTGGGGCTGCTTTTTGGTGGAGGTAACAAAAAAAGAGTTGAGGTATTGATTTTAGTTTCATTTGAGACAGCGATCTGTCCCCTCCCTGAGTTCCCTCGTTTGTTTGTAAACTGCTTAAATGAACTTTTTCCCCTGTTCCTCCATCACTCTGCTGTTCTCTTCTCCTCCTCTTATCCTAACAGTCTCATAGGTAAACTTAGAAGGAAGACAAATACTTACAAATTGTCACCGAGGGTACCATAAAAGAGACATTTGGACAGTAGTTCTGGGGAGATCCTTGTCTTTGCTTCATGTTAATACAGAGGGATTGGGGTAGCCCAGATCACCAGGGGAAAGTGGTTTTTCTTCATTTAGCTTTTAATTGCTTTCTTTCACTTTTATGTATAAAAGATTGTCCATTTAATTAACTCAAGAATGCAATTTCAAAAACACTAATGCTTTACACATGACGGCTTTTAAAATAAAAGTAGCATTCTAATATTGCATAATGCTTTTCTATCCCCTTCCTCTCCCCGCGTTCACCCCCACCCCTCCAGACTGTATTAACCTTTCATAGCGGAGGGTTGTTAGGAGGAAAACGCTGTTCTGGATGGTGCCTCTCTGCCTCTCCTTCCCACCAACCAAGTACAGCAGCACGACAGCCGCAGGCCTTTCTGAAGTGTTCCGTAGCTTCTGTAAGAAAGAGACTACTCATCCCTTCCCCCTTGGCCGGTTTCATGCCTATATTTACCCTCTTTTGGGGGTCACTGTGGCTCCTACTCCCATTGCTGCCTTTTAAGAAGCATCATTATGATGGATTACATGGGAAAATTAAAAAGAAAATAAAACCCCAACATTTAGCTCTGGTTTCTTTTGAATAATTTCATTAGAAGAAACTTGTATACATTGGTCTATGATTTCACGATCTTCTTTTTTTTTTTTTTTTGAGACAGAGTCTTGCTCTGGCACCCAGGCTTGAATGCAGTGGCACGATCTCAGCTCACTGCAGTCTCCACCTCCTGGGTTCAAGCGATTCTCCTGCCTCAGCCTCCCAAGTAGCTGGGACTATAGGCCTGCACCACCATGCCTGGCTAATTTTTAAAATTTTTTTAGTAGAGTTGGGGATTCACCATGTTGGCCAGGCTGATCTTAAACTCCTGACCTCAAGTGATCCTCCCACCTCAGCCGCCCAAAGTGCCGGGGTTACAGGCATGAGCCACTGTGCCTGTCCCATCTTCTCTTTTCTGATGGAAAAGAAATCTAGCTCTTTTTCATTCCTTTTTATCCTGCTTCCAAAATGTTGTGACTTCCCTATGGCATTGGTCTTTCTTATTTTGTAATGGAAGTTCCCCTGATTCCAGAATTTTCCCTTTATACCAGCTCTCATAGCCCAGTCCCTGCTAGATGGGCTTTTTATTTTTGAAAGCACAGTAGTTTCGACGAGTTTTATTTTCAACAGTTAGACTTGGGAAGGGGCAGGATGCAGATGGAGATAAATGCACATACATATAGATGCCCCTGAGAAAGACAGCTCTGGAACCTGCTAGAGTGATCCCAGCCACGAGGCGCCAGGGCCCTGGTGATCGCTCTGATTTTCTAGGTGAGATAAGGGAATGGAATCACAGAGGGATCAGTGACTTGCGCAAGGTCACGCTGTCAACAAGGGTCATAGCCAGAATGAGATCCACTTCCTAGGTGCATGGGAGGTATAAGCCTCACCTGCCTTGAAGCCTGCTTGTGTTTTGTTTCTGATGATATCCAGAAAAGAACTTTTTAGACCTTGTAATGTGCATTATAAAACACTTCGCATTTAGATCTAACTTCACTCCCTCAAGTCTCAGATTAAGACTGTGTTCTTGTGTTCCGTCCTCCCCAGTGATGAAATGCTTGGTTGT
The DNA here is from genome assembly GCF_000001405.40 of Homo sapiens. NCBI lineage: Eukaryota > Metazoa > Chordata > Mammalia > Primates > Hominidae > Homo > Homo sapiens. The sequence goes on from NC_000011.10 coordinate 114,107,438, forward strand.
CTAGAGTGAACAAATCCAACAACTCTGCCAAGGGGTTCTCTGTGCAGGTCACTTTTCAAAGGGATCTTTTCTCCCTTGGTGTCTCTCCTCCAAAGAGCATGATTTCTGAGCCTACCAAAGTGATTACTGTGCTAAAATTTCCACCCTAGAAGAACTATTGTGTAGCTGTGAGAAGCGACTAAAAGATTATTTTCTTTTCCCAGGGTGGGTGCGCAACATTGACTTTTTCTCAATGTGTGATGTGGAGATATATGCATCTTGGGAGGAGATGCATAATATGTGTCTGATTCTATAATATGTTGGTAAAAATGACCTTGGTGATGAATAATTTTCAAAGAGAAACAAAGCTGGGCTGAGAAGAGTGGAGCTTGGATTGGAGATGATGTGCAGTCTACATTTTTTGTTTTCTGTTTTATTTGAGGAGAGAGATTTTCAAATTAATTTGGAGTGAACAGAAAATACAGTGGAAATTTGGGACTTTTTTTTTTTTAAAGCCTGTGTTCCTTATAGTGGGATCCCATTTTCACCTCCTCTCCTCCCACCTTTATTATGATGATTATTATCATTATTATTATTAGTTTGTACTCAGGAAGCATTGTAAAAGATGCTGGGAGGGTTTGAATGCTGCTTGTGAGAGGAAAGGATGAGGAGACCATACGGCTTTATCATTCATTAATTCCTGGGTTCATTCATTGAGCTATTTAAACTTCTGTGTGTAAGACGGCAGCCCCAGATGGTCTTTTGGTGCCTGCATTAGCTCTGAGACCCCAGGCCCGGACAAAAGAGGGTGCACAGAGCAGCTGAGTGTGCAGAATGTTTCCAGCCGTTAGAAAGCTGCTCCCGAGTCTTTCAGCTCAGGAGCTAGAACACCTATCATCTCCAGCATCTAGAGAATCCCTTTTCAGGTCTTTTTCCTTTCTAAAAGGCTCAGTGCGAATCTGTGAGCCAGCTTCTATTACTGCAGCAGTAGTCACAGTATCTAATTTTTAGAGTGAAATTGATGGCCACGGGCTTATTTGCAGGTCTTCTTAGTAATTGCTCTCTGTCTTCTTGTTCTGGAAGGAGTTCTGTTAACACTGGTGAAAACTTTGAGCTCATCTCCCTTCTTCCCCCTCCACATTCCCCTTCCCTGCTCAACTCTCTAAAAGACCTGCAGCTATTAAGAAATTTCCAGTCTGGGCTGATGAGGCTAGATGGGGGTGGCTGCCTGGGTTGAACACCTACCGTCTGCCCGCCTCTGAATGCAGCGATGGTACACACAGCCCCATTCAGTCCCTGCAACAGGCCTCTGGCATCCTGGCATTACCGATGAGAAACTTCAGCTTTACAGAGAAGTTCAAAGAGGTTAGATGTTCAGCTCATGCTTTTAAGGTCGGTAGCTGGAAATCAAATGCAGGTTTTCCCGATTGCTTGGCCTGAGCTCTTAATGCCTTCTTGGATTTCTTTGTGGCTATTGGGACAGGCTGGCCTCAGTGTTGATGGGCAGGTAAGGGTACCCAGCCAGTCCTAGCTTCACTAAGTTGCCGCTCTGCCTACCTCCTGCGTGTGCTTCCCTAGTGGGGCTGTCCCACTTTTGGAGTGGGGACGGGGCTGATCTGTGTCCTAATCCATAACAGGCCTAATGGAGCTGAGACCTGGCACTGCAGGAGCGGAGGCTTTGGGGTCAGTCAGGTGGAAGAAGGAGAGGAGCATGGGGCATGCCCCATCCTCCAGATGTCTGTTCTTCTAGTGGACTTCACTTTGGCCTTTCAGTAGCTCTCCATCTGAATGTGGCAGTTGTCTCAGGAATTTTGTCCTAGCATTATCTGACTTTATTGCTCTTATAGAAAATGCTGGTTCCCCAGAAATAATAGCTGGTCTGTGGTGAGTGAGGTTGGGTCATTGTGCCTTGAGGTGTGACATCTTCTTTGGCTTAGTCAGGTCTTTGGCTTGACTACAAATGTCTGCGCCTTTTCCTCACATCTCAGATTCTTGCAGCCAGGCTCTGTCCGCCATGCCCTGTTGCTCCTTACTGTTGGAGAGACCTGGAGGTTGGTGGAGTTCTCCAAGGCTGGAGTTGGGGTACACAATGAGGCCGAGATGTTTTGCATAGTTCCTTCCATTGCCCCGATCAGGAATGTGTTCCCGCAGGATGGGTTATGGCCTGGAAGTGAGCCTAATGTAAACATCCTTGCAGAGGCCATCCTCTTAATCAAATAGAAATGGTTTGAGGGATGAGCAACTTGGGGGTGGGGGAGATAGGAAAGGAAGAGTTGGGGGAGGGGAGAGATTTAGGGATTGAACTCAGAGAGAGCTGTCTGGGGGCCATCCTTCCAGCAGTCCTGACAGAAAACTGGCTTCATGGAGTTGGTGCAGTGCAAACTGGAATGATTCTCTTAGGGAACTTGGTTCTCTCAGACAGTGTGGTATGTTGAGGGAAAGGAAGGAAATCATGGTTTGGCTGAACAGCTGGGCAGAGCAGCAAGGGAAACTGAAGTATGTTAGAAGAGCAGGACCGGAGGATAGAGCAGACGGGGGCCACAGGAGGACTTCTGGAAGGAGCCCACAATTCAACTCCTTTGAGGGCCTTCAACATCTATTTAACGTTGTAACATTTTGAAATTCTATTTTGAGGGGACTAGACTCTCAGAGAAGGGGCGTGAAGAATGTGGGGGACTTAGGTGCAAATGTGTGTGCTGGGGGGCGGTATTTAGGGCTCTTGGTGGAGCCCCTCATGTCATGGAGAAGCGAACCCTTTCCACTGTGCCCCCACCCCCTTTTCCTAGCCCTATGAAGGGCTCAGACTTTCTTGGAGATGTGGAGCATTTCAGCCAGACCCTACGGTCAAAGATCAGTCACAGAGCAGTCTTCTGTGGCAACCTGTGCACAGTCCCCCAAGGCAGCAATCTGGGGTCACCAGGGAAGTTACTGTTACTAATCTGACCTGGGAAGTTTTCTTTTTCGTAGGGGAATCTAGAAATACTCCAGGGAAAGCCACGGCCAAGCCTTTGCCCAGCCAGTAAACTTTTAGGGCTTTTGCGTGAGGTTGGTTTAGAAGAATTTGCCGATGCCAAGGCTGCTATGTTGGTTTCACTGATGCAGATTTAAAGAAGGAGGGCCAGTGAGACCTCGGGAATAGGAAGGCAGAGGAAACCTTTCTATTCTGATGTCTTCAAGTCTTGGTGCTTGAATGTGCCAAGGAGAGTGAGGATGTAAATAATTTAGTTTGCCTTCAGGATGCAGGATCTAATCTAAACATGATTAAGCTGATTTGATTTTATAGATTGGAATTTATAAGTGATAGAAACTGATGAGGTTAATGTGAAATATTTACGTAATAAAAAGCTTCATTACCTGATGCTGAAGGGTAGAGGGAGAAAATATTCTTGGCAACATGTTTAATCTTTTGGAAATGAAGTTGGGTTAAAGTTTTCTTTGTAAAAACTGAATTCTGTGATCTTGTTTTTACACATGCTGTGCTTAAATATTAACACCAATTGAGCAAATTGCCTTTTAACTGCCTTTATTTGCTTTCATTAACAGTATAATTTAAAAGCTCAAGAATTTGCATGGAACCTGTTGTGCATGTTGGGGGGAAAACTATTCATAAATTAATTAATCGTGAGAACATTATCTTTAAGGAAGGTCACAAAACATGAGCATGATTTCCAAAAAGCAGTGACATGTTTTTGCCGTTTCTTGGGGACGTGATGTACTTTTGGCTTAGAGATCTGTGCTGCGTGTGTGTGTGTGTGTGTGTGTGTGCACGCGCGAGATAACTTGGCTGGATCAAGAAAAATTTTAATGACTGGGCATGTTTTAAGTTAAGTTGAGTGAACCTAATTACACTGTAGTTTCCAGAGAGCTAAAGGCAATAATACCATTGGTATTTAAGCACTAGTTTGAAAATTAAAGCCAACCTATATAATTGGCTGTGCTCCTTAGATGGTTTATTTCTTTCTTCCCTCCATTTCTGAAATCCCCCTTTTCTTTCTCTTTCACATTTAAACCAATAGAGAGAAAGAGAGAAACTGCCTAGCGCTGCGAACCACAAGACGGTCCTTCCAGTGGGGAACATTAACTGCATTGTCCTCTCATGAAATGACGCTAAATAATGTTAAAGGTTTCCAGTATGATTTCACTGAAATTGGTTGCTTCCTTCTGTACAGATGTTTTTGTGGTTTAGAACCTCAGCCAAGGCAAACATTATGAATGAGATGCAGAGACCACCATGTCCTATGAAGGGCTGAGAGTTCCTTTGGGAGTTATTTTACTTGTGATTCTGACACCTCTGTTTTGACAAAGCTTCATTCTTTCAGTCTCTTCTTTCCGTCTCCCTCTCCTGGTGCTATTGGTTTGTTGTGGGTGGTTTTCCTAATTAAGTTAATCTGCAACCTAGTTTTTCTGGGTCCACAGATGCCAGAATGCTGAATTTATTTATCTTGAATGTTTTTGTTGGCTACTGTTGAGACACATTCTTCCTCTTCCCCTTTTACCCCAAGTCTGTTTTAAACATTTTTTTTTTGAGGCTTCCAGACGCACTTCAATAAAGAAAGAATTTCTCTCTGGTGTCCATTTGTCAATTTTTTTGTGGGGGATGTATATTGTAAATAATATAATAGATATGTAAAAGGTTGTAAATAAAACCCAAAGGTTATAGAGGAAAAGATGTGTAAATTTGACTACATCAAAAATTTAAAACTTTTTGCATGATTTTCTTTCGGATTTTTGCCTTTTCCTTGCACATTTGTTGGTTCTCTTTCGATATAAATCAGAAAAATGAATCTTTTATCTGTCAAATGCATGGCAAAGATTCTTCCCAGTCTATCATTTGTCCTACAGTTTTGATTATGGTTCCTTTCATCACAGAACATTTCTATTATTTATTTAACTAAAAAATGTCACAATGATGTCTGTAGCGTAGATTTTATAAAGCATCTGATGGTCATATTTTATAATCTAAATTTTGGAAAAGTATTTGGATAATGAGAGATGGAGAAGGTAGAGGGAGAGCAAGGGAGGGATAGAGAGGGCACGAAGATGAGGAAGGGAGGGATGAGGAAGAGGAGAAAGACTGGTGAGAATGAATGATGTTAAAAGATTGATTTTTCTTCCTGTAAAAAAGTTGGCTGTCGTCAAAACACCCCTTCTGTCTAAGGGAAATATTGTCCTTTTGGCATGTACTTGAACCATAAAGATTTCTCTACTTGAGGAGACCTTTCCTAAGAGTTACCTGTCCAGAAGGCAGTCCTACTGTTCTCTCTCATAGCTCTACCCAGTCTTTAAGACCTAGTTGAAATGTAGGCTCCATAAAGCCATTTCTATTTTCACACAGTTCATTTTCTTTTTTTTTTTTTTTTTTTAAGACAGGGTCTCGCACTATCACCCAGGCTGGAGTGCAGTGGCCTGATTATATAGCTCACTGTAGCCTCGACCTTCCAGGCACAAGTGATCCTCCCTCCTCAGTTTCCCAAGTAGCTGTGACTACAGGGAATGCACTACCATACCTAGGTTTTTAAATTTTTTAAAATTTTTTCTTAGAGATGGGATCTCACTGCATTGCCCAGGCTGATCATGACCACCTGGGCGCTCAAGCCATTCTCCCGCTTAGGCCTTCTAAAATGCCGGGATTACATGCATGAGCCGCTGCACCCAGCCCACACACTTCATTTTTATTCTCAAGGTACCTGCTGCTTTCTGGCTTATGGAAGATACATCTCTGCATGTCTAATCTTTCTTAGAGTGTCATGTGATAGCAGAGATGCTGTCTTCTGTCTCACTCGTCTTTGAATTCTATACTGTCTTTAGCGGTGTATAACAACCATTTATAAGTACATAAGTGATTTACCAGACAGGTCAATTCTTATCCATTCTTTCCTCCTATACGTTCTTCTGGGACATTCTTCAAAAGAGATATTTGGGGTCTTGAAGTCCAACACTTCGGGTATTTGGCATAAATTAGGTTGAGGACACTGGTTGGAATTTTGGGAAGAATGAAGGGGAGAGAACCAAGGAAGAAGGAATTCCAGAGCTGGTAGCGTTGATTTCAGAGTATTCTCAATCTAAAAACCCTGTAATCATGACCTATTCCCAAAGGTGAGTTCATGGCAGCTTATTCAACAGATATTTATTGAGTACCTGACAAGTGTTTTGCTTTGAGTGAGGCACTGTAGGGCAAGTAGGAGTAAGTAAAGATCTTTGCCCTTCTGAAGCTGTTCTCCAGTTTGGGATTTAGAAAATTTGTTCAGGAAGAGGGCTTAAAAAATAGAGACATTCTGTAAATGACCTTTCTTTGAAATCCCTTATTCTACTTTGACTACTGCTGTCTATTCCTCTTCCTAAATGAAGCTAGTGGAGGCTTTTTCAAAATCAATTCTATGGAGGTTATTGGGGCAGATATAAGTTAGTCATCTAATCATCCAGTTAGTCCTGAACTGAAACCTGGAATTCATTCTTTTATTTTTATATTCATTTATTCAATTAGTCAACACAAAGTTGCACAATCAATATTAGCTAAATTAGCCAAGTTTAAATCCATGGTAAGGCGAAACTCCCACTTCTTTTCTATTAGAAAGCTGATTTCTTAGTGGCAGTAATGGGTGGTAGGGATAAAAACTCATCCCATGGCTGTCTTAGAACCTTCAGGTGATTCAGTAGAAATAGTGCTGTTTCTATCTCCATGATTTATTTTCGGGAAATAAGTAGAGATACTGGGGTCCAGAATAACTTGATATTCTAGTTGACAATGATTTCTGGAGAACATGTCCCTGAGACTTCGTCCATGTCGGCCACAATGTTGGGGAGCAGTGAATGTCTGTTGAAAGACAGAATAATGGATGAAGTCCAAAGGTAGGAAATTTACAAGCGATGTTACTTTGGGATGACGGGGATGGGAGGGAAACCTGACTGGGGAGGGACCACCGGGCTTCAGTGTATATGAGCAGTTTGCTATCATTTGTTAGACCTTTTGAGCATCTGAAATATTTAAACAGTTTCTTGTTATTCTCCTACTTGGTTGATCTTTATCTTTGCTGCTGAGTTCCAGGCTTAGCTCAATAGAGGGAACAGGGAGATGACTGAAGGCATAGTGTTTGTAAAAAGAGTTTGTTTCAGTTCTTATCAAAAAGTTCTTTCCAGGAACAGAACATACTTTTCATTATATGGGATGGAAATCAGGATGGAAGTAAATATGTTCTCTAGAATGTTCTAGCTCTGAGTTGATTTGCATAGAGGTCCTACAGATCATTCTATGCTATATGTTTTTTCTTTTTTTTTTTTTTTGAGGCAGGGTCTCGCTCTGTCACCCAGGCTAGAGTGCAGTGGTACAATCTTGGCTCACTGCAACCTCTGCCTGCCAGGCTCAAGCGATCCTCCTATGTCAGCCTCCCGAGTAGCTGGGACTGCAAGGTGTGCACTACCATGCCCAGCTAATTTTTGTATATTTTTTGTAGAGACAGGGTTTCGCCATGTTGCCCAGGCTGGTCTCGAACTCCTGAGTTCAAGTGATCCTCCCGCCTCGGCCTCCCAAAGTGCTGGGATTACAGGTGTGAGCCACTGTGCCTGGCCCAGGTCGTTCCATGCTGATGGGCTACAGGGGCACAGAAATAAAGATCTCAGGGCACTCATTATTTTCTTTCTTCCTTTCTTCTTTTGTTAAGAGGGAGGTAGGAGAGGGTTGTGTAAGGATGGAATATTGCTGCAAACCTGTATACTTCTTTAATTTCTCTACCCTCGCCTGAGACACTGGAGCCTTTTACTACCATCTTTGGGAAAGACCTTCTAGAGAAAAGAACCTTTGCTTTTATAGGTGAGCAGGGACGGTGTATGTCCTCCAGCATAGTTTAAAGTGTTTGGTCTGTTGCCTCTCCAGAGATCAAAGGTGAGACAGACTTTTTGTTGGTGTTGTTTTCCTCCCTCCTTCCTCCTTTTTTTTTTTTTTTTTTTTTAAACTCCCTTTCCTTGTTATCTGAACTTCCAAACATCAGCTTTGATGTCTATTGTTGGGACTTCAAGAGGACTCTTAGCACATCGGCAGGTGTTGGTTTTAGTGAGCAGGCGAGAGTCCCACATTCTTCCAAGGAGAGAGATGGGTCCCACCACATTCCTACCCCTAGAGCAGAAGTTCCCGCGCTGTGCCTCTTCTCTGGCTGCTTGCTGAGGACGTCTCCCAGTGGGGTACTGGGTGTACACCAGCTTTCCTTCCCGTCTTTCTGAAGCCTGTCTGAAGGGATCTGTCTTCTTTCAGAGCAGCTGAAGAGAGGTTGTCTAACAGCCACGTATTAAGGTTTCATTAATCAAAGACACTTCCACTGCCCCTTTACAGAAACACAACTGCTGTGGCTGTCCTCCGCTGACGGCCCGCTAATTTGTCTTTCCCAGAGGAGGGGAGGGGAGAAGGACAGAGAGGCAGGCGCTGCCCCTACCCTGCAGTAGGGATCTCCATACTGGCTCCCAGCGAGCATGCGTTCATGTGCTAACTTTAGGGGACTGTGCCCGGGGCTTCACATTTTCGTGCAGAGCCATGGGCAGCTGGCTATACCCCCTCCCCACCCTGTCCATGAAGCAGGGAATCAAAACCACTGGAAGCAATTACTGCAGATAGATAGGTTTAGGTTGTCTTTTATTTGCAAGAAAATTTTCATTTCAAGCTTCAAGGTTTTCACTCCCAGCTTCAAGGTTTGCTGAAATTGGGGGCAGAAAGCTCTAGAAGAAATAAGAATATGGGTACATGTGTTTAAGTATGCTTAATGGACAGCCTCGGCGAAGTGAGGGGTGATGGGGACATTAATAGCTGGGGAGCCACTGACCTGAAATGGTACAGTCTTCCTGTAGTTACTGACGGATGAAATCATGACTTTATGAAATTTTAATCCTTGGGTATAGAGGCACAACTGACTTTATTACTGGACCCCAGGTGTGTGTGTCTGAAATGAGTGTTTTGAATCTAACTGCATATTTGATTACTTTCTAAAATTTAGGCGTTGCTGAACTTCTCCTCATGCTTAGGTTGGAATCTGACCTTCTGTAACCCTCAGCTCAGAAGATGGATATTTGGGCATTTGAAAACCTCTCAGGGCCTCCTAAGTAGGTGATTGAGCATTGCGTCATTGCATCGTCATCTTCTTTTTTTAAAGCTAGGTCCTGTCCACTGGGGAGCAGCTTTGAACTCACTTTATTCAACTCATCAAATATTTACTGAATACCTACTAGATGTGTTTGGCTCTGTTGGAGAAGTAATGGTGAGGCGTAATGCGTTCCTAGCTCTTAATTTGGGGTTAGAACTAGTACACACATGGCTGTAATGAAAGATAGAATAAAACATGTTCCCTAAGACAATTGGTAAATGCAGTGAAAGCTCCAAGCGGGGAATGATCACATCTGACTTATTTATTCAATGAGTGTTTATTGAGTCCTACTGTATACCAGACAATGGAGATACAGAAGTCCAGAAACTTGACCCTCGTCCCCAAGAATCTAATAAGCTGGTAGGGGAGGCAGACACTGAGACATAGCAGCACTTTATAGTAGAATACAAGTGGTAATAAAATGTAGAACAAAGTGTAGAGGAAATGGAGGTGAAGCAGCAATTGACTAGGTTTTGGGAGGGGCTATAGATAAGGCTTTGCTGAGAAGGTGACTTGTAAGCAAGATCTTAAAAGATGAGAGGAAGATCACTGGTTAGACCAGAGGGAAAGGCATTCCAGGTAGAGGTAACAGCACACGCAAAGGCCGGGGGAAGGAGGGAGAGAGAGCTGCAGGCCATTTGGTTTCACCAGAGCTTGAGATGTATAAAGAGGTTGGTAGAGATAGTAGCTGGAGGTATGGTTGTGAGCCTATCATGAAGTCTTGCTTGTGCAGCAGAGAGAGAAGCCGACCTTTTATTCTGTAATTTGGGAGAAGGTGTTGAAAGGTTTTAATCCCGGGAGTGAAATAATAGGAATTATGACTTGGAGCACCCCGAGCACAGCATTGGGGATGGATATGTGGGAGTCAGAGGAACCACCTAGGAGCCCGTCAAGTGGTCTAGGTGAGAGAGAACAAGCAGAGGTAGGGAAGTAGCAAAGGAGGTGGAGAGGGAAGGGCACATTGTAGGGGGAAATGAACAGGTCATGTTGATTGGGGGTGAAGTTTGAGGAAGGAGTTGGTTGAGACTCCTGAGGTTTTGGCTTGGATAACTGGTGGATGGTGGGAATAGAGAAGGAGTTCTGGGTGGAAAACCAAAGTCTCTCTTTTGGACATGGAGTTTGAGGAGGTCTTGGAAAAACTATATAGAGGTAGTCTGCAATATTTGCAGTGGGTCTTGAAGGAAAGATATTTTGATAAGCAGAAGTTGTCAGTATACTAATTCATTTGCATTCATTGAGTTCTGATGATATTTTAGCATGAACAAGAATGAGAAGTATCTTAATTTCCTGGCAGAAAACAGTATTTTTGGAGTCCCTTGAATAATGTAAAGTGTTTTCATCAAAGACCTTCATTCATGTGTGTGCTGACATCTGGAGAGCAGAGATAGATATTTTCCTTAGGTCTGGGTTCGTGAGCTATAAACTCTTCCCTTGCTCCTAATTAATCCTTTGTAGTTACTGACTGACGAAATCATGACTCTGTGAAATTTTAATCCTTGGGTGTAGAGGCACAACTGACTTAATCACAGGACCCCAGGTGTGTGTGTCTGAAATGAGTGTTTTGAATCTAACTGCATATTTGATTACTTTCTAAAATCCACAGGGTCTAGAGAAAACAGATTAGAGGTGTTTTTGATTTTTGTTGCTGTTGTTGAGACAGAGGCTCGCTCTGTTGCCCAGGCTGGAGTGCAGTGGTGCGATCCTGGCTCACCGCAACCTCCACCTCCTGGGTTCAAGTTATTCTCCTGCCTCAGCCTCCCAAGTAGCTGGGACTATAGGCACCTGACACCACACCCAGCAAATTTTTGTATTTTTAGTAGAGACAGGGTTTTACCATGTTGGCCAGACTGGTCTCAAACTCCTGGCCTCAAGTGATCTGCTTGCCTCACCTCCCAAAGTTCTGGGATTACAGGTGTGAGCCACCGTGCCTGGCCCAGGCTAGAGTTTTGGGAAGGATTTGTTTATTTATTTATCTGTTTATCTATTTATTTGTTGGGCAGTCTTGGAAAGGATTTATTTAATTTATTTACCTATCTATCAGTCATCATGAGTAATTCTCAAATATCTATTATGGAATCTTAGCACTTGGGGATCACACAATTTGTTATCTTTCCTGAGGACACTTAGGCCTGGGGAGATGAAGTGACTGGAACCAGGGCTTTCTGCTTCATATTGCATTTCTACTCTCACCCCTAGGAGAACAGGTAAAAGATAATTTGTGTTGAGTGAGGGGTTATGAAGAGACAAATGTTTTTAATAAAAGGAGGGTTGCGTCTCTGTGATGAGACAGAGTGTTCTGGCTTTCATGGTTTTCCCTGTCTGAAAGTAACAAGCTCTAGATTACAACAGTGAGGAATGGAGGATGCACAGATGGCTCAGACAGTGACTTGGAGTTCAGGTTGACATTTCAGGTTGACTTTTGTTACAAAGAATTTAGAGGGGGCCAGGTGCGGTGGCTCACACCTGTAATCCCAGCACTTTGGGAGGCTGAGGCAGGCGGATCACCTGAGGTCAGGAGTTTGAGACCAGCCTGGTCAACATGGTGAAACCATGTCTCTACTAAAAATACAAAAAATTAGCTGGATGTGGTGGTGGGTGCCTTAGTCCCAGATACCTGAGAGGCTGAGGCAGGAGAATCGCTTGAACCTGAGAGGCAGAGGTTGCAGTGAGCCGAAACCACACCACTCCGCTCCAGCCCGGGTGAGAGAGTGAAACTCTGTCTCAAAAAAAAAAAAAAAAAAAAAAAAAAAAGAATTTAGGGGGCGTTGTTAGGGGGTATTGTATACGAGTTTGTGTGTGTGTGTGCGCGCGTGTGTGTGTGTGTTTGTGTCTGTGTGTGTGTGCACATGTGTGTACAGGTTCACTCTCTACCACTGCTTTCCCCTTTGCTGACCTGGACTGGCCTGCTGGATTTCCCACCAGGAGCTCTCTAATGCAGTGTCGACTGCTATTCTCAATGAGGCCCAGCACTGTCCTGGTGAAACTGGAAAGAGAAAGTACGACAGGTGCTGTGTTTTTTGTATGGGGGTTGTAGGATCAGAGAAGTTTAGAGTTGGTGGGACACTCAAGGATGGATAGAAAACTTCTGTTTGGGTCTCTGCAGTGATGGAGCAATGTGGATTTTAACAACCAGAGTAGCAGCTCTCATCTCATGAGCACCTGTATCGTGTCAGTCTCTGAGTTAGGTTCTTTAAAAGACAGAGTTTTGTTAATCCTCACAATTTTGTGGTATTGTTAAATCAGAGTACAGATGATAAATGGAAGCTCAGAGTGGTTAAGCGCTTTACCTGGTGTCACACAGCTAGCAAGCGGTGGAGCGAGGATCTTGACTAATACTGCAGCTTTTCCCACTTCCATGGCACGCTGCCTCCTTCTAGCATTCAGTGAGGAAAGCTCTCACCGCTGGGAGTTGTTCACTCTAGACTGAGCGCCTTTCTTAGAGAAGGGATTTCTTGGAGAAAGATTGCAGAGTCTTCTCTAATGATTACAAGAAGGACAGAGTCCTGGTGGACACAGTTGGAGGGTCTTGTCTGGAGGCAGTGGAATGAGCCAGGTGGCCTCTTGGAGCTTTTTCAGGAGGGAAATCTGTAAGGGAGAGGAGATGGGACTCTACCTTCGATCACTTGGAAGGCGGTTGGCTGAGGCCAGAGAGTATCTTTCCATACCTTCCCAGGAGCCACCCCAAACTCCTCAGGCCTTTGTTTCTGAGGTTCTCTCAGAACCACTCCAGGCAGAGCCCACAACACATCCTGATGTTATGGGATGAATGGGGACATGGGGCAGGGCAGCAGCCTGGAAGCAAGTGAGGTTAAAGACCGCCTTAGCGAGTTTTCCCTTCCACCAGACTTCCCCTGGCTCCCCCTGGCTTTGTTCATCTTGAACTCCCTTCACCTCTTCTACTGTTTCATCCCTTTCCTTCAGTCCACCCTGGATCTCATCCTTTAAAGCCGAATCCTCTTTCCTGAAGAGGAAAGAAGGAAATCCTGACTCCTTAGATCACTATCGTGTGAGATGAAAGTTGCTCTTCTAATTTGTCCCATTTTCTTCAACTCTTCTTCCCCTCTGTCCCTGCTCCACACTCACCACTGGCAACCACTGAGTCTGAGACCCTCCCGCACACTTTCTCTGCGTGTCTTCGGATGCTGTATTTACTTAAGCTGAATACAGGGTCTAAAGGGTGGCAGTGTCACATTAGGGCCCATCGAGGGAGCAGAGGGCCTTTGTCAGAGTCTGCAGGTTGTGGGGATGGTGACTGGCCTGGAGTCGGGGTGAAGCAATGGGAACTGTAGAAGAAAGGGGAAGGAGAGCAGGGCAGCGTGGATGCTGGACCTGTCTCCTCTTCAGCCTTTTGGACTCTGTGTTCCCTCTCCTGGGAAGCCATACAGCCTTGGCCGCTTCAAGATGGTGCCTCCTTGGGCAGCACCTACTCTGGAGTCGGTCTGCATAGTTAAATGGTTGGAAAAAAGACTGGAGAGCCAATCAGGGATGCTCACTTGCAGTTCGTGTGAATCCTGCCTGACCCACGTTTAGAGACACCATAGAATTGTATAGAACCTTAGGTATCAAACTGGGTTTTTCAGATCCCACTTTCCTGGTGAGAATATTCTTCTGTTGATGTGCTAGGAAATGTTTAATCCAGGTGAGAAACACCAGACTGGTAGTGTTTGCGATTTCTGTGGTGTAGATACTCCCACCATGGCTAATTCCAAGCTGCTGGTGTGGTCACTGAAGGCGGAGTTGAGAAAAGGTGTACACAGTGGTGCAAGCCAGCTCCAGGGCACCGTGGCTTCTGAACGCAAGTGTGGAAGCGCTAGGAGTCCTAGTTGCTAGGCTCTAGAGTGGAAGTTGAATCCTTGGTGGGGCTGCCAGTAAGGTGGGGAGGTCATTTTCTCACCAAATCAAAACACAAAACCCTGGCTGTGTCGTCTTTCTTATTCTCATGCCTGGTTCTTGATTGTGGCTAGCACCATGGCTATTTCAGGATCCCACTCATACTGCTGCCATTGGTTGAATGCTTACATCCATTATCTCATTTAGTCATGACAGTAATCCCATGACATAGGGACTGGTATTATCTCCATTTTGCAGGTGAGGAAACTGAGGCACAGAGTGGGTCAGTAATTTGCACAGGGTTCTACAGCCTTTGAGTGGTAGAACTGGAATTTGAAATCATGACTGTCTGATCCCAGATCCCAAATCCTTGCCCAGTATATTATACTCGCAGTTTTGTAGCTTTTCACAGACATTTCCAAATTCTGAGTCTACTCTCAATGCAGGGTCTTCTAGCATAACCTTTGTTCCTGTTGGCAACACTTCATTTTGGACTGTCAAGATGCATTTCCTGAGATGTGAGATGTCATGACCCTGTGTTTGGTAAGTTTGGCTGCAAGGTACTGGCTGTCCTCTAAGACACTTCCTGAGTCCCAAGTCCACAGATTTTACTGAGGACTGAAATGGCTGCATTCTTCATAGACACTGAGTTTGCCTGTTCCAAAAATGGTGATTTCTATAGCAACCATTTATTCTAGCAGATGTGTGCCTGGTATGGTTGGCAGAGAGGGTGGGACCAAAAATGGAAACGGCCTTTTATTCTTCACTTCCTGAATGCACGCCCTGTATGTGAGGCATATAGGAGGAAAAACATGGCATCCTTAGAATCTGTAATAGATCTATGGCTCAGGAAAGAAATACGTGTTGCTTCAGACTGCTTTTTATCTGGAGCTTGAGTTGGGCTGTGTTTGGTTTGTGGCGTGTTCTTTGGCAGATGTACCTGTTGGTTTCAATTCAATGGATGTTTGTCATTTGGTCTCTGCAGAATATGCACATTTACTGTGGGGGTAGGTGGCTAATAAACAGAGAGAAGACACTGGCTTGGCTCTTAAAGATCACGACGTCTATGTAAATGTGTATTACATAGGGCTTTTTTTGGTGGAAAGTAAAATAACCAATTTATGCCAGCCTAAGTTAAACAAGAGGATTTAATATCATAATAAAGGAAGGTTTTATGGAGCCCAGGGACAGGAGCATGGCCCCATCTTTGAAAGGCAAGTGAGCGGAACTAAGAATGAACTGTTAGAAACTTAGGTGGAATTCTCTCTCTCTTTCTCATGCTTGTTTAGTCTTTGCACGTATTTCCATTTTCACCTCTCTGCAGACCACAGAGTCGAAAAATGACCACCCCAGGACTCCCAGGCTTACATGTGACCAGGCTTGATTCAGCTTTCCCTGTGTGTATCCCAAATTCTAGAAAGAGACACAGTCTGTCTGATGCAGCTTGGATAGTTATCCACTCTTGGCCAATCACTCACCGAAGGCTTTGTGGTGAGTGTTATTTATCTAAGTCTGCTCAGGCTGTCATAACAAGATACTACAGACTGGGTGGCTCAAACAACAGAAATTTATTTCTCACAGTTCTGGAGGCTGGAAAATCCAAGATTAAAGTGGTAGCAGATTTGGTGTCTGGGGAGGGCTCTTTTTCTAGCTTGTTGATGGCCTCCTTCTCGCCGAGTCCTCCCAGGGTGGAGAAAGAGACAGTGAGCTGGTGTCTCTTCTTACAAGGACACTATTCTGTCAGATCAGAGACCCACCCTTAGGACCGCATTTAACCTTAATTACTTCCTTACGGGTTCTGTCTCCAAATAACAGTCACATTCGAGATCAGCGCTTCAACATATTAATTGTAGAGGGGCACAATTCAGTCCATAGTAGTCATGTAGGATAACATGGCTGCTGGGATCCACTCTTGGGCCTTGGGAATAGAATGGATCTCATTGGCTCCCCCAGAAGGAGACCAGTGCAGATGAAAAGGCTGAATACCCTGCCAAGACAATGTCCTGTGCCAGATTAGAATCTAAACCTCATTGTCGAACTCAAACACATTGCACTTGGGGTGAATAGTCCTGCTGTGCGTGTGTGTATCCATATACGAGATGTGTGCATATATACACATATGTACAGGCATATATATACATATATGTATGTATGCACATGTCTGTCTGTGTGTATGTAATTAGAGAGGACTTTCTGGAAAAGGAATGTTTGAGGGTGGCCTTGGGTTCCTGTTGGCTGTGAACACACTCCTAATGAGCTGCCCTGTGTCTCAGTTTACACATGGTATTTGAAATTGAGTCTAAATTCCCATTTCTTGTACTTTCTGAGGAGCAGTCAAGAAAGAGCCAGATTTACAGTTTGCCAGTCTCTTAGCTCTATGTTCCAAAGGAATTAAGTCACTCTTCTTGACAGTGGCCTTAAAATAGGGTTTTAATAAAATGAAAAGAGGAGCAGTGGAGCCACCCACCCCTGTCACCTGTGGCTAAATGGATATACGGGCGCCAGGCTGCTACGGGAGCCTTTTGTGGTGTCACCTCCAGTGCCAGTGGGATACGTGCCGCAACAGAGACCAGATGATGAATATATTTTTAAACTTGGAACCCATGAACCACTTATTATTTCTGAATTAGGAATCAAAACATATGAATAATTTCAACAGGGTTTCAGCAGATGTATTCTGCTTTTAAGGTCACTCTGCTTTGCGGAGATGGTCGGGGGTAATGGGGAGTGAAGTCCAGCCTGATTCTCTTTGTGACTCTTAGGACATCTGTGTCATGTTTGCTCAATTTAGCAGTCACCGTAAGTGTGATGCGAGGCCCTCATTGCGGGGTCAGGGTAACTTATGGAAGCAAACAGCCTTCTTTATTTTTTAATACATCACTGTCACCTGCGCTTATGCCAGGGGTTATTAGAAGAAGAGGGGCTCTGGGTGGCCATGTGTTCATGGCTATGATGACTGAAAAGGCCACAGCATGCAACAGAGTCCTCAGATTTACCCCCAAATGCTTCTCCCACCCTCTATTCTCTCTTAGCATCTCTCCCTGAACCTCTTTCGCCAACCCCCTACCAAACAAGGTCCAGAATTGAGGTGTTCTGGAATTCCAGCCTTGCTAAGCTCTGGGATTAAGGCCAGTCATTTGGAAAGGGGATGGGGGAAGAGGCAAAAACAAAACAAAAAAAAAAACCAAAAAAAAAAAAAAACAAAAACAAAACAAAAAAAACCAACTGAACATTAACCCTTTGGGTCCATAGCACTGAGAAGACCTCACCATTTCGGCCACTGGCAAATCAGCATCTCTTGGCCATATCCCTGAAACCTGAGCTTCATGTACCAGAAGGAGACAGTTAAGCCAAGTCAGGCTGATGAAAATCTCTCCGTTCTAATGACTGTGCAGGGTACACCTGTTCCAGCCTCTCACTTGCTCTCATTGTCAGTTGGACGCAGGTATTGAATGACCACTGAGTGTGGAGTGCAGCACGAGGGTGCTGTGGAGGAGGAGAGTTCATGAGCAAGAAGAGAAGCAGTCTCTTGACCTCAGGAAGCTTGCACTGTGTTTGGGGAGGCATGGTCATGCTCACTCTCTTGCTCTCCCAGCACAAAGGGAGTGGGCTAAAGGGTGGGAGGGAGGCAGATAGTTACTGGGCCTGACCCTCTTCTCGGGGTCAGCCACAGATCCCAGATCCTTTACCTTCCTCATCTGCCTGTTTTCCTTTATAGTTCTATTGGAGTTAAAAAAAAAATGACAGCAGTGTCAGTAACACACACTCATTTTAACAAGAGAGGCAGTACAAAGATATCTATAAAGAATTAACAGTATTCCTTATTTGCTCTCCATTTCAGCTCTCCTCTAGGGAAATGAATGTGCTTTATTTTTATGAAATAATTTCAAGCTTACAGAAAAGTTTCAAGAATAATACAGAGAGCACCCATATCACCTTACCCATTTGGAGTTTACTGATTTTTAATAGTTTGCCCCACTGGTTTCCTTCCTGATCTATGTAACCGTAGAGCAGCCTTTTGAGGTAGGAGACAGGTGGTATTATCTTTTTGTGTGTTAGAGGTGAGAAAGCTGTGGCCCATGGAGTTGAGGAGTGTGCCCAAGGTTATCTAACTATCCGACAACAGGTTTCCCACACAAATTCCACATGATGTCATTCTTGTTTTCATTTTTGTCTTTCCTTGTAGGACTTTTTTTTTTTTCATCGAGCCTGCAGAAGGGGCCTGTCTTGCCTTCACAAGGAGGAGATGGTTGCAGGAAAGTAGGAGGTGAAAGGTGTCCTCCAAGTCTCCTCCCCCAGATCAGTCGGACCTCCTGGCCTCCTTTGGTTTTCCCTCTAGGGCAGAAGCGGTGCTGGCTGGAGGGGGTCCAGGTGCTGTTTGTTGCAGGAGCGCCATCTTGCTTTAGACCTTTTTCGTTTCAGACAGCTAGAGGAGGTCTTTTACGGTCCTACTTGACCCCCATAAAGGAAGTTCACTCCACAATACGCATCTCTTTTCACATGAAGAGGCAACAGAGGGAACAAAAGGAGCAAAGCAGCCTTCTCCTGAAGAGGTGAAAATATCACTGCCTTTTGGAGCCAGATCTGGGTTTGCACACTCCAACTCTTGGAGTGATGTGTCCTTATTTGTAAAAGGAGAGTTCTGGAGTACATTGGGAAGCAAGTCATCAGTCATATCCACAGCCTCCTGCTCCTGTTAAATGTGTCCTCCTAGATGGAAAGGTTGGAACAAGCTGTGCCCCATAGGTTCTGCCATTTTTAGGATCTTTCTGGCACTGAGACTTTTGCTTCTGTGATCTCTCATTGGAATCCATTTCTTTTGCCCAGGCGTGGATAATGCTTTTGTCTAATGCCAGCTCTGCCCCATCTGGTCTTAAAACGAGGTGAATCTGCTGCTCTGTATTGAAATATGTGATCTAGAAGGAGCCATAAAATAGGAACCTTAATAACTCTTTCTCTCTGTTTCATTATCCATGCAGTTTTCCTGGCAGCTGTCCATTCCGGCCTCATTCCCACCTCTGGGACATGTCAAGTTATTGAGGTGGTACTGGCTGTGGGTGACTATAGATCTGGGCCAGCCTGTTCAACTGGGTCTTCTGGGGTTGGTCCTGGGTAGAGCTGGGTGGATGTAGTCTAAAACAGAGAAGGTAGTGAGGCCCTTCACATCCATTTTAAGGAAGCTGAGTATTGTTGTTGAGAGTGGCCCTGGCATTGTCTTCATCAAGAATGGGGTTAGGGATCCGGCTGCAGTGACACTGGTGAGGTGAGAGGTTGAAGGGATGGTCAGACATTACTGTCTCTTGAGCGAGGTTCTGAAAGTCTATTCCTTGGAGACTTTCACAAACTGGAGGGAGACCCTGTGTGTCCTTGGCTGAAACTAGAGGCCCAGGTCACATGACCTTGGGAGAGAAGCCACTCATGGCCTGAGGACCCAGTGAGCTCCTTGACCTACGAGGGGCCATCCTGATTTCTCCACTTCCCAGTCAACTCTAGAATGGAGTCTCTGCCTGACGAAATTGTGGTTATTTTGAAATCAGCTTGTCATGTTCCTTGATTGTTTTGGGTGTAATAGTCTCTTCTCCGCAGCAGGTTGTAAGCATCTTGAAGGCCAGGACCTTGTCCTTTCTTCTTTCATTGGAGCAGAGGTTAGGGAATGCTGGCTTCTGGACCCAGCCTTGGACCCCAGGGTTAGCACTCCCTGGCTCTTGCAGTTCCCCCTTGCCCCCCAACTCCACTATTCCCCTGGATCACAGAGCTTGGTGACAGCAGTGTAGCCCCTTCATCTCAGCGTGATGGTGGGAGGGGGTCGTATGCATTTTCAAAGCCTTTCCTGTGTGATGTGCCCTCCTGGTGCAGCTTCTCTCATGAGAATCCCCAGCCTAGACGTCTCTTCTCTTCCATTGCAGATCAAGGGTTCTCAAAGTGACCTGCTGAGCCACGTGCATTGGACTCCCATGGTGTGCGTGTGAAAATTCCTCAGCCCACACGGATGGGCCAGAATCAGAATTCCTGGAGTGGGAGCAGAACTCTGTATTAAATAAGCCCCCTCAGATAATTCCAATGTACACTAAAGTTAGAGAACCACTGTAATGGTCTGATGTCCCTCACACTCCCCACCCCAGTACACACACACACATGCATGCATACACACATACACACTCTGTTAAATGGCTGCTTCTGCTGTTGCTAAGAATACTTTGCTTTTCAGGTGCTTGTGGATGGGTAGGAGGCAGTGCCTGATTTTGAGCTCTTGACTAGGAATTGCGTCAATAGTTAGAGGAGGGAAGGATCAGAAAGGGGACCTCAGAATGGGGTTATTTAGGGGCTGGGGAGTCAGAAGAACTCAGAAAGGGGCCTACTGCATTGCTGGTGAAGCCTGAATCTTCCATCCACTGTTAGCACATGGCTATGCAGACTCTGATTCCCATCTGATGCCATATGTGCTTCCTCCACAGTCCGGGAGAGGAGCTTTGGGTCATGTGATTAGCCTTTTGCCCTGGACAGCGCACCTAAGCTCAGCACATGTCTTGGGATGGAGCTGCAGAATCTTGGTGCCGTCTCCCCCTTGGAAGGCTAGAGTCTTGGCACTGAGAGGAAGTCCTTCCTCCATCCCCAGCCTCCTGACTCCATTGCTAGCGACTCCCAGCAAGTTAAGAAAGATTCAGTGGGAAGGGTATAGGGCTGGGAGTTGTCTGGATCTAAGCCTTTCTTGCTCAGTTTGATAGACTTTGGAAAATCTCTGTCTCTCTGGGAACTCAGTCTCGTCTGGTCCCTGGCTTTAGCACAGTGTGTCCACCATTGCAGCCATGGGCGAGAAGCCACTAGAGCTATGTCTCTTCCTTAGGAGAGCCTGGGGGGGATCCCAAGGTGTTGGTGGTTTGGAAGGGCAGTGACCCTGCATGACCAGGATCCATTTGCCCAGGCACCTGCTCTCTGCCAGCCTGAACACCCGGGAGCACCTCCCGGATACGACAGCCACCCACTACTTCTGCATGGCCGTGGCCACATGGGCACAGTGGGGTGAAGTGAAGATCTCAGACTCTGGAGTCAGACAGTCTGGGGTTTGAATCCGAGCTCCAACACTTCTAGCTGTAGGATCTTAGGCAAATTGCTTAAACATCTGACCTTTAGTTTTTTTCACCTGCGAAATGGCGGGTAAAAACTGCGACTAGCTCCTAGGGTGTGTTATGGGATGCAGTGAGGTGAAGCCAATAAAACCCTTATTAGCACCTGGCACACAGTAAGCACTTCATGAGGGTTAGCTGTGCTTGTTGTTCCTGGGTGTGTTTGGAGGAGACTTGTAATCTTGTAAAGTGAAGTTCAGGTCCTCAGAGACAAGTGGTGTCTGGCTGTGGGTTCTGGCCATTGAAGGCCTGGGTGGTTTAGAAGGGTTTTAAGTTAGTGCCTTCCCTAGAGGTGGGCACACGTCTGTCACCTGCCCCTGATGTGCTATTTATCCTGCCAAGCCCTGGGGCACTGAAGCAGCCCAGAGGCGGCTACTGCAAACACCAGGGAGAGATAGAGTCTCCAAGACCCCAAATAGAGTTTGCAGGACCTCTTGAGCTCTGGAGCAAGAAGGAAAGGGACAGAGACAGGCCCCAGTGTCAGTGGCGGGTTGGGAGGGAGCAGAGCACAGCTCCCCATGTGCGTTCAGGTGCCCAGAATCTGTTTGGCCACTTTCATCTGGGTCTGCGTGGGTGGGGGCGTGTGGTAGCCCAGAACCCACTTGGCACCAGGTACAATTTTGTCTTCAGCTCCAGTGGCTACTTTTCTCTCCTTTGCTTCACTTTGAAAATAGTCAGCAAAATCCTTATTTCCATAAGCATTTTTCTGGCTGTAAAAAGCTGAATCCCAAACCTGTTATTATAGCTGTTCATGCTATTTTAATCTGCTCTGTTTAGAGGTGAGAGGGTAGCAGTGACTCTGCAATTACTGAGTACATTTGATCCGTGGCGCAGCCACCGGAGCCGGCAGAGAACCCTTGGAGTAGGATGGTGTCGTGTGTGGCAAATCACTTTCAAATTTACTAAAACGATGCCCCTTTGCAGCCATGCAGATATCATAATTTTCCTCCCCAAGGCTTGTTGAAATGCCCATTTGCTTCCTGCCTTACGCAGGCTCCCAGCACGCGCCCCTTGGCCCACCTGCCTATTCCCTTTCATTCTTTGTCTTGGCCAGATTCTGTCTGGTCTCTCTTGCCCTCCGCCCCTTTTTCTTCTTCCTCCCTCTTCATTTCCTGCTCAGAAATATTTTATATTCTACTGACTGGCATGCTTGTGAAACCATTTTCCATTTGCCATGGTCAGAAGAAAAATAGTTAGCATTTTAAATCTACCAACTATTTCACATTTAAACAAGCTGGCAAGCCGCAATGACGCTGCGCCTCCTACATACAGTAATTGTTGCATCCCTAGGCTCCCTTTTCTATCTCTGTTCCTATTTCATTCATTTTTCTATTTGCAGCCAGCACAGAATATGGGCTTCTCCCCCCTCCTTCTCTCCTGCGGCCCGCTTTCTATCCAGTGACCTTGGCTTCTCTGAGTGCCGCACCGTAAATGAAATGTGGCATTGCCACATGTATCTTGATAAAATATATCAGTGGATGAATTGATTTTCATATTGATTTCCTTGGACGAGCAAGGTGTGTGTGGAAATCAAGTGTCTCTTAATGATAGTCCTAGAGAGAGACAGGATGCCCAGGGAGGAGCAGGCTTTGTTTTTCTTTCACTTACGAAAAGTTTCTGCTTGTTAGCTTGGGAGGGAGGCCTGTTTGCTTTGAAGGCACACTCTCTTTCTGGGGGTAAACAGCAAATGTCCCAAGGGTGTGTCCTGATCCCTGAGAAGACTGCATCATCCAGGTGACCGCCTAGAGCCTTAGGGAATGTATCCCTCTGGACTCCGCCAGCTGCATTGTCTTTGGAGAGAGCTGAAAAACTCTCAAGGCATGTTGGAGGCCCTTGTGCACCCTGCAGGGTGGAGGGTCTTGGCTGGAGAGTGGCCTTCTCCCTGGCCACTTCCACTTTCATATTTCAGGTTAGTTGAGACGTGGCACTTGTGAATCTAGGACTGATGCTGTGCCCCAAGGGCATGACTGTGTATAATTCATAAGTGTCAGCATCGATGGCTGGCTGTGTATGGGCATGTGTGCTTGCGAGCACACGCATCTACAAATATGTATGAGCTTTGTATATGGGTTGGCTATGAATGTGGGTAGGCAGCAGTCCCTAGGCTTGCAGTGGCTTTTATTAGCGAGCTCTGGACAACCAAAAAGACAGCATCCAGTGAGGTGATCAAAACTTCATTTCATCTCCTCTGCAGTTGCTTTCCCAATTCACTCTCCCAACTGCTCCTAAATAAAATAGATGCTTTCAGCTGAGAGTTGAATTTCTTTATGAGGCTAAGTAAGCGTGGCTTAAGGTGATACTGTGCATGTGTGTGTATGCGCATGTAAAGAAAATGAAACAGTTAACTGGAATATTCAGGATAGAGCGATGATAATTCATTACATTTTCTGGCTAACTGAGGCTTAACTGGAAAATCCTTTTAGTTCAAGCACTGCTGAAATGCTTTGCAAAACAGACTAGGATATTTTCCTGCTTTTGTAAGTAGAAGGTAGTGAGGTAATTGCATCCTTTGATGTTTCATGATCTTGCAGCACACGAGGGCCGGTATTTTGGTTATCATTTGTGATTGCACAGTGGCATACAGGAGATGGAGAACTAGCTTGGATTCATGTTTACCCTTTGATGGTGGTTCTCAATGGGGGACAATTTCGTCCTCCAGGGCACATTTGGCAGTGCCTGAGACATGTTTGCTTGTCACAACCTAAGAGGTTGTTTACTGATGTGTAGTGGGTAGAGGCTGGGGCTGTTTCTGAATTTCCTATCGTGAACAGGACAGTCTCCTTCTCCTGCTCCCCCACCCCACTACAAAGAATTATTTGGTCCAAAATGCCAATAGTGCTGAGGCTGAGAAACCCTTTCAAAATTTTTGTCCCAAAATTTTTACTAAATTCTTGCACATAAAATCTTTTGTTTTCTCTGTTTTTTTCTTTTTAAGGGTCAGGTGCTGGAAACGTTCTGAATAATTGAAACTTCGAATTCATTGACGTTTATTGTTCCACAGAACAAATAGGGAAGCCTGCCAGTTTGCAGATAGGCAGGCCTGTCCCCAGATGGCCCTCCAGTGAATGCCCAAATTCATTCAGTTATTTAGGGCCATTAAAAACCATGAGGGCCACACTAGCTTTAAGTTGAGCTAGGCAGAATAAACAATCCGAGAGGGGGGACATAGCTCCCCCCCTTTTTTTCATTGCAGTTCAAACTAAAATGCTCAGAGACTTCCGGTAGCACTTTCTAATGATGCAGGGTTTATTCTGCTTACCGCGGGTCAGAGACAATCTGACGATGACAGACTTAGAACTGCTTTCAGAATGTGTAAACATGTTCATTGGTTTGAATGGCTCTAAGTGAGTCTTCGGCAGAATCTGTCTGGTTTTGGTATGATATATGTATCTTGGGGAAAATGGGGAGATTTTGCATGCTCTGTATCTTTGACTTTCTTTGAGAAAATACTTGGGAGTCAATGAGTTCACATACCAAAAAAGCCTTATGCAGAATCTAACTGGGTGTGTGTGAAAGGGGGAGCGGCGGAAGTTAGGAAGACTGAAGGACCTCCTTTATGACAGTAAAAAAAAAATCTTTTAAACTTAATTTCAAATGAAACTTTAATGTCAAATGTTCTGGAACTGTCACACATCATTTTGTTAACCTATACCTATTAGGTATAGGTATAGGTCTAGAATGCTGTACAAGACGGGTTAAATGAAGTCTGTGTGTGTCTGGTGAATGCATATGAGTAGTTAGAGATACACCATTCAATACTTGATTTATTTGTGCAGGTTACCTATCATGGTAACCTCTGGCAGGGGCTCATTATTTCATATAAACTAAAAAGGAAAAAACTATGCCTGCAAGACTGATTGATTTTCTGAATCACTCACAAAGGGCAGCCATGCAGCCCAAACACACTTCATCTCTCAAGTTTTATTTTAGCCTTTTGCCTTACAATGTCTGTCAGTAGGGACAATGGTAGCACCAGAGGCCTGGGGGTAGAGTCGGAGGGATGAAGTTCCGCTGCCCTCTAGCTGTGTGACCTTAGACAAGTTGCTTACCCTCCCTGAGCCTCCATCCTGCCCCCTCGCAAGCTTGTTTTCAGGATAAAGGGATGGGAAAGCCCTGTGTAAATTGCCAAGAGCTGAGTAAATATAAAGTGCTCTGGATATTGTTCCATTGTTAAGCAACGGCAATACCATTTATAAACCAGGTTTTGAGTCCATCTCGAGCATTGTTCATGAGAGGGGCCGGAGCCTCCCGGCAGGCACTCCTTTAAGAGCTGTTATCACGGATTACTCCATCTGCTGCTTGCTAGCCGAAATGCTAAATGGAGTTGTGGGTGTACCTGGGGTCTTTCTTGTTACAGTATAGACTCTGAGGGGGTCTAGATGTGTCTCCCCTCCTTTCTCTGAGATAGAAGTGTATTTATAGCCTGGTGTAAGTACAATCAGAAGGTTCCTATAAAACTCTGTTATTACTGCAGTACAAAGTTAGAAATGCTTGAGGTTTCGGCTTCTTGGCTCTTCCATGCGGCAATGAATATTTTATGGGAAAGGAAATACTTAGTGTCTGACTCTTTTTATAGTGCAGCTACTCACAGTGCTGGTAACCTTCCAAATCTCGCCAAAATCAAAATTGCTGCCTGTCCATCTCTCTACTCCCTTCTTCACAAAATTGACTGGTGTCCTGCCTCGCTGAGGTGTCCAGACTCTCTTGGTGGACGGGTCCATTTACAAAATGTGGGGGGTGCAGTTTTCAATCCTAGTGAATGCCCTAAACCAGAGGCGTTGGCTCCTCCCCAGCCCTGCCCCACCCCTGGCACCTTGTGGTGCTGGTCAGCCCCAGCAGGGCCTGCTGGCAGAGTGCCCACTGGATCTTCCATTGAAGGTCTCCATCTGCCTTTTCTGCCATGCCCCTTTCCTGCATGCCCACTAGCCGCTGAGTGGAGGTGGCCCAACCTCTCCAAAGTTCACTCTGATCTTGGAATTCAAAAAGCAACAGGTGAGTTTGAGGTCCAACAGGCCCCTGAGGGGCTTTTAAATTTTAAGGCTTGAGCTTCGGCTGAAGCCCTGGCACAGAGCAGTCATCGGGCTGGTAAGATTTCCCTCTCAGGTCCTCTTCCTGTGGTCCCTTTAGTGACCCCACGCATAAGGCAGGAAAATTGGGCCTCAGTGGTCTTGGCCCTGGTTTACTAGATCAGGGACTTTAAGTAGAGGAAATGGGTCTCCTGGCAGGTCAGCATCCATGGAAATTGCTCCCCTGGTGGCCCAAGGGCATTGTGGCACAGGTGTTCCACTGGGTTGGCCCCATGGTCCTCAGAGACCTATTACGACTATAGCAGGACCGCAGACTAGGCTGATGGCCAGATTACAGTGTCAAAGAACACCTTTCTCAGGCAGCTATCCCTCATGGATCTCCTTAGAGGCCCCCACAGGCTAGTGAAATGTTGACATCTCCCATGGAGGTGGGCTCAGTGGCCTCGTCTTTTTACCAGTACCCAAAAAGCCCAGAGTGGAGAGCTTGGCAGGTGTGAAGTGTGGCTCCTGAGATGCACGGGAGCACAGCTGGTTGTGTCTCAACACTGGATCGTGACAGTTTTTCTTAGCATGGGCAGGGCTGTGAAAAATGCTTAACATAATCTGAATGTGGGCTCCACACTTAATTTAGTAGGACTCTGCGAGCTCACCAGCATCATTGCATTTGCCTTCTGCTCTGCCCCTGGTGTTTGTCTTGGCGCCAAAGTAGGTAAAGGGAAAAAATGATTTGCAAACCTCTGGCAGCTTTGGTTTGATCTCCCAACTCTGGTTGCATTGCTGCCAAACAGAGCTGTATTTTCACATGACAGCTTCGTACTGGGCCTTTTCTTTCTTTCTTTCTTTTTTCTTTTGTACTTTTTGGTATCCAAACTTGGTGGTAGCAGAAGGCAAGGTGGGGAATAGAGAGCTTTTGGTATCACAGGCTTAGAAGCTCATTTGTCTCTTAAGATGTGAGGGTAAGGAAAGGGCTAGTTATTATTTTTGATAAATGGGAATGGGGTCAGCCAATGGCTTACTGGAGAAACTAGATATAGCCCTTTATACTTAGGACTGACCACACAGTTGAAATTAATTAGCACAGTTGAAGTAATTAGCACAGTTAAAATTTAGGGTTCCTATGACCATGAAGTTGATGGGTGGGAGATAGGTAAGGCTCGAAGAACTGAAAATCCTCAAATGTGCTAAAAGCTTCATTATTGGTCCTTATTCATATTTTAACTCACCCTCCTCATCTGTGAAGTCATTTTTTTTAAACAATGAAAATGGATAAAAGAAATGGAACCAGAGAGAGAAGCAAGAGAGAAAAACTTTAATTAAGTGCCTATTGTATGATAGACACTGCTGTGTTCTTTTAAATAAATACCTTTCAGATTAATTCCAAAGCTAAGATTTAGCAATTCCCTGGTTCTGGGATTATTTGGCCCTAGGATCAGATAAGCCACCAGTATTCACTGAGTCATTCAGACTCCAGAGTTGCGCCAGATCCCATGGAAGATGCAAGAATGCATATAGGCTGTAGTTCCTTCTCTTGGGGGTTGAGATCACACAGCTGTATACCCATGTGTGCACACACAGAGACAGATACAGCTAGTGGATCATGCCGGGGGGAACTATACATTCCAGTGCTCCAGAAATTCCTGGCATACTGTGCCTGGGGTATTAGGAAGGTGACTTGTGAGTCCCTCCGTGGGACACTCCACCTCCTTATGGCAGCTTGTGGCTGCCATGATGAAATGAAACACCCACTCCTGAAGATGTACAATTTGTGAGTGTGGTAGACAAAATAGTGACTCCCTAAAGATGTCATCCTAGTCTCTGTAACCCATGAGTATGTTAGATTACATGGCAAAGGAATGACTTAAGGCTATTTACCAGCTGAGTTTAAGATAGAGAAATTATGCTGGGTTATCCACCTGGGTCCATTGTAACCAACATAACCTCAACGGTCTTTAAATGTGGAAGAGGGAGGCAGAAGAGTCAGTGTCAGTGTCAGAGTCAGAGGAGGAGTGAGCCATGGGCCCAGGAATGAGAGCAGCCTCTAGACACTGAACAAGGTAGGGGGACAGTCTCTCCTTGACCCTCCAGAAGCCACAAAGCCCTGCCAGCACCTTGATTTTAGCCTAGCGAGACCCATTTTGAACTCCTTCCCTACAGAACTATAAGATACATTTGTGCCATTTTAAGCCACTCAGTTTATCGTAATTTGTTATGGCAACAAAAGGGAACTAATATAGTGAGGCAGAAGAAATCTGAGTGGCTCATCCTTGGGCAAATGGGAGCCAGTGCTGATCCTTTTACTGTTCTCGGGTGCTCTTGCAACAGGAAGTGACTTGCAGAAGTCCTTTTTTATCTGAAATGCCAGGGAGGATGGACTCTTATTCAGCCTAGCTTCTATTCAGCTCAAAGGAAAGAACATCTGCCTTTTTCCCACATCTTCTCTGTACCCCTCACTTCCTTCTTGTGGGGGAGATTCCTTTTCTTCGGTGAGTTCCCTTTGCGGTGTGGAATCTCGTGGCAAGGGCTCTGAGTAAAGGAGGAGGGTTGCATGGAATGCCATTGAATTCATTAGGCTTGGACTCTAGCAGGAATGTTGCCTGGGGTGCTGATGTCCTTCTCAACCTTCCTTTGCTGGAGTCCTTCTTGTAACTTGTCTTCCTTTTGTGAACAACCTGGGTGTAGTTTTTAAAATAAGCGAATTCTCCTAGAAGTGTTAAAAATGAGCCTTCAAGTACTATCTCGGCATTTTGCAAAGGTTAAAGCCCCCACTGTTTGGGGGCTGAGGGTGCTCTATGGGGGGCCACCCAAAAGCAACTGTGGAAACAGAGTCTGGCTTCAGTCTCTCCAGATGTTGTGCACATAAGGGAGGGACTCTTGAGCTCATAGATCACAGATCTGTCCACAGGCTGTCAGTAGGAAAGAGCATCTTATTTTACAGATGGGGAAACTGAGGCCTAGAGAGCATAAGTGGTTCATGCAAGATCTTACAGAGAGTTTGTGAGAGTCTGAGAGCTGTTCCCCCTACTATTGCAACATTTGGAATGTTCTGAGGTTCTTACCTTCTATTATCAGTTTGAGGGCTGTAGATGAGTTGTGGTAGCTACAGAGATGAGCTTTCCAGTGTGCCCCCACCAAGAGATGAATGAAAGTCATCATCGGGCAGAT
Organism: Homo sapiens; assembly: GCF_000001405.40. Classification (NCBI taxonomy): domain Eukaryota; kingdom Metazoa; phylum Chordata; class Mammalia; order Primates; family Hominidae; genus Homo; species Homo sapiens. The sequence continues at coordinate 114,136,685 of NC_000011.10, forward strand.
CACTGCCTACTAAAAGGGGTGGGTTTTTTTGGGGGGAGGTTTTACTCTTCGTCACAGAACTTGAGAATATTTCTACTGAGGATGACTTTGTCTTTGGGGCTTCCATTTTATTTTTAAGATTCAAGTGTAGTTTTAACTGCAGGGCATTAGCTCCCTTGTAGGTCACCTCGTGCTGTCTCTGGGGTTTATGACTGAGCTCTCATTCCTTAGTCACATGTCCTATACTCACACTTCCTATCCCATTTTCCTGCCTCACCAAGATCACCACAATGATCCCAGGTTCTATATAGCATTTCTTTTCTGGAGGTCTTTAAAAATATTCTGGGAGATCTGTCTGGAATGCTTGAGTACATTCATTTATTCCTGTATGCATAGAGGGCCCAGGGACCTCCCAGGCTCTCTGAGCCCTCTGATTCTTAGAGGGTTAAACTATTATGGAAACAGACATTGCATCTGTGTCTTCTCTTGTTTCCTGCATGCAGCAGTGACCTTTGGAGTACATTGTTCAGGAGACCGACCCTTTTCTACCATTTGAAGTCTGCTATTCTCATCTCTCTACCAAAAGAGAAACTAAACTTCATTGTCGTGATTAAGGTCACAGCCAACAGCAGTTAAAGAAGCCGTTGGTCTTCCCACTCATACCGCTGCCCTCTCCCTAGCTCTCAGGAGGAAGAGCTCTCCAAAATGGAAGTGTCTTGGGAAAGAAATGGAAGTGGAAAGAGAAAGATGAAAAGGCCACCAATGGCACTTCCCGTGTCTCAGCCTCACCAGAGAAGGAACTTGGCCACACACTGGTTGGGTATACCAAAGTGACACAATGTGGATGTTCCAGTGGCAATTAAGTATTTATATGACTAGACTTGAGGAGTTCCAGGCCATGACACTTCCAAATCCTTCCAGCCCGCTTGTGGAGAGAGGCCCGGAGGCTTCCAGCGAGACAATTAGAGTGTGAATTAGATTGTGTCTTCTGGAAGGGAGATGAAGTTACCTGCCTACTCTATTACAGTTTATTTCATTAAGGTTGACCATGCCCTTTTTTTTGGGCAGAGGGAATAGGATGGATTCTCTGGAGAAAACAGTGTAGCAAGGCAATGGAGAAATGTCCACACTGGAGTAAGGGGCTTTCTGGGACCTGGATGGAGTCTCCTTCCTCCCCTAGGGAATAGGACAGAGGTGGGAAAGGTGCTGCCTGACTGCTCTGTGCACATCTGCATGTTGGTGATGAGTGTGGCCAGCCCCATGCTGTGCATCGGTGAGAGGACCGCTCAGGCAGGTGTTGCTGTGCTGGCAGCTTCTTAGGAAGGCAAGGAGCAAGGCGTGGGCTGTGGGGCCCTTGGGGCAGAGCCTGTCATGGAGTGGGATGAAAGGGTGCACGGGACCTGTTGGCAGCCCCAGCGGCCAGGCTCTGTTCCCAAGCTGGAGAGAGAGGCAAGTGGTGAGGGAGGGCAGGAGGACCAGTCATGGGTTTAATGCAAAATGACAGTTACGGGGGTTGCCATTTTAGAGTAAAACAGGCCATGTGACTGAGGAGCAGGTAGCATTCATATTATTCATATTTCGAGCTTGGTAGATGTAGAATTTTGCAGTGGAGGCCAGGAGAGGATGTGAGAGCTGCAGGACAGAGGCATAGGTTTTTGGAGGTGGTTGTGGTGTTCCCCGATGGCAATCAACTTCACGGAGAGAAGAGGTTATTTTCTACTTAGGTTGCCTGGAGCCTACATTCCAAACTTTTAGTCCTCTTCATCTAGCACTAAGTTTTGCATCTCCCTTATTCCTGTCATACATTATTAGTGTGCACTGTTTTAAAGTCTTTTACATACATATGTCTTGCATTCCCTACTTAATTGTAAGCTCCTTGAAGGCATTGCCTGTGTATTATGTTTCTTTGAATCTCTCTGTGGTGGCTAATGCTCTGCCCTGCATTTAGTAGGCAATAAGTTTGTGTTGAGTTTTGAGTCAACTACCACTCTTTTCTCCCTTCCTCTTTTTTAATTTTTTTTTAAATTATTTTTTATTTTTTATTTGACACAGAGTCTTGCTCGGTTGCCCAGGCTGGAGTGCAGTGGTGCGATCTCGGATCACTGCAACCTCTGTCTCCCGAGTTCAAGAGATTTTCCTGCCTCAGCCTCCTGAGTAGCTGGGATTACAGGCATGCACCACCATGCCCAGCTAATTTTTGTATTTTTAGTAGAGATGGGGTTTCACCATGTTGGCCAGGCTGGTCTCGAACTCCTGACCTCAAGTGATCCACCCGCTTCTGCCTCCCAAAGCGCTGGGATTACAGGCGTGAGCCACTGTGCCTGGCCTACTCCCTTCCTCTTACAAGGCTCCTTACTCATTTCCTGCGTCTCACCTGCTCTCTCAGCCCAGTTTTCTAAAAAAAGAGGTAAGAGATGGATGCCAGTCTCTTTCTCCTCCAGAGTGATTTTGTGAGGATTTGTACAATGCAAGTCTTGAGATGCAAATGGACATCTAGGAACAGAGGAATTGCTGGAGCATGGAGACCACACTTCTGAAGATGGAAGGAGACCCTTCTCCAGGCTGTCGCTTTTGATTTGCGGTTTTCCCATTGCCAATTGCTCACACTGATCCCCAGTCCTGAAGGGGATGGGGGCTGCCGCTAATTCCCTGGCATCTCATGACTTCCTGTTTTCCTCCAGTTATTATTTTTATTGTACTTCCTTCCTGCTTCTTCACTCTCCGGCTTCGCCAGTTTGTTCCGTGTGATCATTTCAGCTTTATTTGGAAACTGGAAGCCTCATTTTACTATAATAGTTTCTTGACGATTTTCTAAATGAAACTTGCATACTTCATCTGCTCCCCCACTGCTCAGATATTAAACAAATATCTCTAAGAGGTTTCCTTCTCCCCCCCCAAAGACCAGCAGTTTGCTCAAACAGATGGCGAGAGATGGCGTGTGTGGGTATGTGCCCGCGGTCCACGTGTGTGTGTGTGTGTGTGTGTGTGTGTGTGTGTGTGTAGTAGAGGATTCTTATGGAAGGTGCCAGTTTCTGCAGCATCTTCTTGCCTTTTTGGCATCCAACTACGGAGCAAGACAGAGCCTCCTGGCAAGTGACCAAACAGAGTGAGTGTCCGGAAGGCCCGTCACCCTGATATTCACGCAAAGAATCTGTTTCTCTGTGAATGGGCGGCTGTGGAGGAGGCCGGGGGAGCAAGTGGCTGGCCAGCCTCCAAGGCCAGATGTTCTGTAGTACCATATGTCAGGATAGGAAGGACGGCACCGAGGGCTCCTAGAGCGTGTCAGACCTCAGCTCTTGAACTCTGTAATCCTCATGCCCCCTTCCGTCCTCGGTCAAGAACGAACAATGCTTCCCTCTTTGTCTGCTTTTCAACCCCACCTCTTTTCTCCATTAGCTTTCTGGTCTAAACTCATTATTGAGACCCCTCCACAACATTCACCTTGCCTCTCCTTTGCCTGGCCCCAGGCTGGCTGCCCCTTTTTCTGGAATGATGCTGTTTTGGTGCCTGTTTCCCTCTCATCTGAAACAACCACCTCCTCTTCTATGTCTGCTGCCTCCTTGGTATCTTCTAAGCCCAGGCATGAGCCCCCCTCCTTGGGGAGGCCTGAGCTTTTGATTCCCACTCAGGCTGGGTGTTGAGATTGTCCTCAGGACCTGACGTGCACATGTAAGTACTGGTTTCTCTTATAGTGTGTATTGTCTTCCCTCTTCAACTAAAGCTTTAGGAGGGTAGGTTGGTGTCTTATGCTTTGGTTGTATCCTTCACTATGCCAAATAAATACCTATCAATCAATCAGTCAATGGATTCTCAACTTGCCTAGGCCCAGAACAGAGGAGACCTGTCTCCTAGCCATGTTGAGTTGGTAGCCAGTGCAGGGTGCTGAAGGAAAGAAGTGTAGCTCCTCGGCTGCCCATTCTTGCTGCCATCTGCATTCTGATGAGTAGAGGATGGCATGTTTAGTTGGTTGGAGGTAACGAACAGAAGCAACAGCTCTTTTGAGTTCCCTGCTGTGGTAACTCTTACTCCGTGGAGTCACTCAGGCACCTGTGCTCGGGAGTAGATGGAGATAGGAGGTTTGTTCCAGTCTCTCTTTTCTTGTACCTTCCTAGGGAATAGCAATGTCCTGTAGATGTGTGACAGTGATACCATGTTGGCATTTTGTTCTGGAAGGCTGACCTAACTACTGTCTTTGGAAACATTCTCCTTCTCAATTTAGAATTTGGGCCCTTTTCTCTGTCTGTCTCCTTCCATGGTCCCTGCCCACGCTGAGCCTCCCGCGCCCAGCCAGCTCCATTGTTTCAAGAAGGGCTTTGGGGCTGCTCGATGACTGCAGCACTGGGACCAAAGTCCTCAGCATCAGTCTCAGGACTCCGCATCATCAGCCCACTCTACCGCCTCCGCAGGCTCCTCGCCGCTGTCTTCACCACCTGCCCACTGTGGATAAGCCAGGCCAGCCTCCTGAAGGCTTGCCCGGCGGGGTATGCTCATTTCTAACACCAAGTCTTGGCTCATGTGATGCCTCCATCACACGGTGCTCCCCGTCTCATCCAAGGCTTTTCCATTCTTAACATTTCCAAACATGGGTAGCTAGAACCCTTCGGAGCTTCCAGAGCCCCCGAAAGGACCAACTGAATCTCACCATATCCTCAGACCGTCTGCAGTGACAGCAGCTACTGTTGATCTGCTCCTCTTCTGCACACCCATAGTGATTTGTTGACATATTGGCACATCACCACATCCTCCTCTGTCTCTTTCTCCATCTCTGTCTTGTTGTCCACTAGGTTATGGACTGGCCAGGGACAGGGGCCTTTCTCTTCTTTAGTCTTACACTAGCTACACACTTATCATAAAGACATTATGTTCTCAGTGTTGTGCTAAGTTGTTTTACATGCACAGTCTCATTTATGTACCTTCGCAGGTAACAGTATTGTTAGTCTGCTTGACAGATGAGAAAACTGAGACTTGGAGGATCCCAAAGTCTTAGAGCCTAGCAAGTTGTAGATCTGGAATTGGCAGACAGGGCTTGTGTCAGCCTAAGTTCTTAAACTTCCCGTTCTACTAACTAGTGGTATCAGGCTCTGCCACTTACAAGCTTAACGACCCTGGGTGAGTTGTTTATTTCCTTGTGCCTCAGAAAGAAATAGAAATAAAAATACCCGCTTCATAGAGTTGTCCTGAGGATCGAATGAGATAAGGCATGAAAATGCGCAGAATAGTGCCTGGCACATAGTAAGTGCTCACATATGTCTTGTACAGATTTGCTTCTAATTCTTCTTCATCACCAATATCATCTAAACGTTGTTGGTATTACAGTTATCACTTTTCGTGTCTCTGACATCATTTTAGCACCTGAGATGATGTTATGCTCTTGGCTTGTGCTCAGGAAATGCTTAATGAATGACTGAAAAGGCACTTGGGCTTCTGGAGGTGACTTGGTGACAAATGCTCAGTGTGA